>NC_000017.11:77236390-77536800 GCF_000001405.40 Homo sapiens | reverse complement strand
TATGAGATGGGAGACTAGGATTTGAACACAAACACAACTTCCATACCAACCTCAGACGCACACACCTGCTGTAGTCTACACCAGCGGATCTTAATCATGGCTCTGCCATGGACACCTCTGACATCTGCGGAAGCCCTTCTCAAAATAATATTTTTAAATGCCTAAAATGAAATACAGAGAGTTACAAAGGAAACCAATAAAGTTAAAATCCAGTTCTTAAAATATTTTTAATTGAGATATGATAGTATACATACTTCTTTCTTAATGCATTAAACAAAGAATAGTTGCTGGTTTAATTACCACCCAAATTTCTAAGTTATGATAAATGTAAATACTATTTTGAGATATCTGCAGCCACTTTGATGTTGCGGAGAAGTAACTGCTCATACTATTGGGTTATACTGATTCCATTTATAATGAAAGAAAATGCTAAACTTCAGTAAAACTTTCCTGAAAATAAAGATGCAAATTTATTCCATCCAAGCTCCCAGACCCCCTGAATTCTCTCCATAGACCCATGAGTGCCAGGTTATCATGATGTTCTGAAGAATACACAGTTTTCTGAAAGAAACAAACCACAACAACAGTGAGCAAAATTGACTATTCGAGAATGGAAAGAAAACCTCTTTCTCAGCCATCAGAATCAGCAGGCAGTCTCCACCCACTGTATGCCATTGACAATTCTGATGACTTCATCGAATCCAGTTCCCGACAAGACCAGGGTGTGGGGCCCAGGGAGGGCTGGGGATAGGAGGGGAAGTATTACGGATGATGCTATCTGATTATACTAATTGGAAATAATGGCCCAAACCAAGAACCCAACCACAAGTCGATTCATTTCGAAAGCTATGTAATAATGTTTAGGATAAGGAATTAATTTTTACAGCCACTGGGGCAGTTGGACATCCACCGTAATACAGATTTATTACAAATTAAAACTTCCCCTCAGGTGGTGAATGTAAAGACACCATAGACAACAGGAAGGACCCCTGAGTCACACACCCCCTTAGGTATGCAGGAAACCAAGGGTGGGTATTTGAGGAGCCACCACCCTCTGCCCGGACTGCACTCCCCACACCACACGTGGCTGCGTCTCATTTCCTCCCCTCCCAGGAGGAGAGCAGTACCCCTACACAAGGACGTTGCTTCCTTGTTTTCTACCGAAGAGACCAAGGGCACCTTGAAGGCCCAGCGCTCTGAACGCCACTTTTCCTGGCTGTCTGGTTCAGACCCTGGAAGAGGAGCCATCGGGCAGGGAGGGGGATGACGTCAGCACCCACAGCTCCCAGCACAACGGCTTTCAGCCTGGCACTCTCAGCCAGTTTTGTGTTCAGAGAATACATTTTGGTTTACTCTTTGCTGATAAAACTCCATGCCTGGCCAGGCGCGGTGGCTTATGCCTGTAATCCCAGCACTTTGGGAGGCCAAGGCGGGCGGATCACGAGATCAGGAGATCGAGACCATCCTGGCTAACTTGGTGAAACCTCGTCTCTACTAAAAATACAAAAAATTAGCTGGGCGTGGTGGTGGACGCTTGTAGTCCCAGCTACTTGGGAGGCTGAGGCAGGAGAATGGCGTGAACCCTGGAGGCAGAGCTTGCAGTGAGCCAAGATCCCGCCACTGCACTCCAGCCTGGGCGACAGAGTGAGACTCCATCTCAAAAAAACAAAAAAAAAAAAACAAGAAAAACAACAAAAAAAAACAACTCCATGCCTTTGTCCTATGAGAGAAGCATGGAAACTCCAGGGTTCCCATGCAGGCCAGACGTCCCGACCCCTCCTTCCAAGACTGTCAAGCCAGAAAGGCACTTCGCCTCTTGGGTGGGTCCCAGGCAAGGCTTGGTGTCAGTATCTCCCCCTCCCGCCATAACTTTCTGGCAATCAGCTGTGGCTGTCACCCAAGTTGTGCATCAGAGACAAGAGGAACTTTTAGAAACAGCTTCCCGGGCCTCACCTTGGCAGTCCTACCCAGGAATCACCTTGGGAATCACCTTGGCAGAGCCCGGGAATCTGCATGTTAAAGCACCCTCTGGTTCTGATGATCAACCTGTTGGCATCTGCATGACACCCTTCTCTTTGAAAGGATCTGAGAGCGGCCCTTCATACATGCTCACCTGCTCCCTCTGCTAAGTGAGGAGGCAGTCATCTGCCAAGCACCAGGCTGGGGGTGCTGAGCTGCAGGGACTCTTGGGCTTCTGAAACCACAGGGTGCCTTTCTTCCAAAAGCTGCAGGTTCTTAGAAGCAGAGCTGCCTGACTACTGCCAACGGGGTGGTGGGCTCTTGTCCAGATCCAGACAGGGTGGGAGTGAGTCCATTTTCACACTGCTGATAATGACATACCGGAGACTGGGAAGAAAAAGAGGTTTGATGGACTTATACTTCCACATGGCTGGGGAGGCCTCACAGTCATGGTGGATGGCAAGGAGGAGCAAGTCATGTCTTACATGGATGGCTCAGGCAAAGAGAGAGGTTGTGCAGGGAAACTCCCCCTTATAAAACCATCAGATCTCACGATACTTATTCACTATCATGAAAACAGCATGGGAAAATCCCACCCCCATGATTCAATTACCTCCCACCGGGTCCCTCCCATAACACATGGGAATTCAAGATGAGATTTGGGTGGGGACACAGCCAAACCATATCACACGTCCATGCCCAAGCATGGAGGGCCAGGAAGTGCAGGGTATACACACAGTGGATGGGTATGTTTCTTGGTACACAACTCTGACTCTTTATATATAGCATTTCCTGGACCCTTTTTGAGGACCTCAGATCATCCCTGGCATTTTGGGCCCATTGTCTGGCTTCATGTCTTTTTTTTTTTTTTTTTTTGAGATGGAGTCTCACTCTTGTTGCCCAGGCTGGAGTGCCTGGAGTGCAGTGGCGCAATCTCCACTCCACTCACCACAACCTCCGCCTCCCAGGTTCAAGCGATTCTTCTGCCTCAGCCTCCTGGGTAATACCAGCACTTTGGGAGGCCGAGGCAGGTGGACCACCTGAGGTCAAGAGTTTGAGACCAGCCTGGCCAACATGGTGAAACCCTCGTCTCTACTAAAAATACAAACATTAGCCGGGCATGGTGGCAGGCACCTGTAATCCTAGCTACTCAGGAGGCTGAGGCAGGAGAATTGCTTGAACCTGGGAGGCGAAAGTTTCAGTGAGCCAAGATCGTGCCACTGCACTCCAGCCTGGGCAACAGAGTGTGACTCCATCTCACAACATAAATAAAAATAAATAAATAAATTGAAAAGTCTAATTAAGAAGTAAAACTTCTTTTACTTCTAAAATTTCTTTTCTGCCTGCTTTTGCTAGTAGGAAATTTTTTTCTGTTTCCTCCGAGTTCAGGAGAGGAAACCCTGTTCTTCTCACAATTACTCTGCGTGAGAAAACCCAGGTAAAAAGAACCAACAGCACCGCCCCTGAGCCCCTCCCTTACCCACCCCCCCAGCTGAGCTTGCAAAGGAGGAAAGCATGTTGTGTGTGGCTGCAGCCATTTAAAATGCAGGCGGGGCTGGGTGCAGCAGCTCATACCTGTAATCCCAGCACTTTGAGAGGCTGTGTTGGGCGAATCATCTTGAGTTCAAGACCAGCCTGGCCAATATGGTGAAACCCCATCTCTGCTAAAAATACAAACATTAGCCGGATGTGGTGGTGCATGCCTGTAGTCCCAGCTACTCGGGAGGCTGAGGCCAGAGAATCACTTAAACCAGGGAGGTGGAGGTTGCAGTGGACTGACATTGAGCCACTGCACCCCAGCCTGGGTGACAGAGCAGGACCCTGTCTCAAAAATCAATCAATCAATCAACAAAATGCAGGAGGGAGTCACTGTTTCAAGGTGTCCTGTGGATATCCTGGCCTACTTGGGAAGCAGAATTGGTCTGGACATTTTTCTGGAGCAAAACTTCTTGACACCTGTAGCAATAGTGTCTCCCTAGACATATGACCTGACTGGTAAATGGCTTCATGTCCCAAAGTTTCCAACGTGGAATTTTTTCAGAAGGGCACCAGGAAATGTGTAAGACATAAAAATCACAAGCAAAAAAACAACAAAAATAAAAATCACAAGCATTCGACCTGAGCCACGTTGCTGAACTTCTCTGTGCCCATCTCCTCATCTGTAAAATGGGACAGTAAGACGTTTGGCTTCTTTCCTTCCCTACAATAAGTGTTGATGGGGGGCGACTATGCCGGGGATAGTCACACGCTCCCCAAAGGCCCTCTCCAGAGCTCTATCAGCAAGGATGTGGAGGGAGGACCCCGCGATATACTCTAAGGGCAGAAGATTCCTGACTGCTCTGGCAATCTGAAGGAAGGCAAGGGCAGTCCTGGTTGTTGGCATCATCACAAAACCTTCTGTGAGCAAAGGAAGAGAGGACCCATTCAGGACCCATTAAGTCCTGACTGTGCCATGGAAGAGACATCTTCTGGGTGGACACTGATGTTCAGTGGCCTCCAGGGGACTTGGCAGGTCCCCTTGACACACTGGAGGCTCCCTAGCTAAAGTCCCCTCCCAGACACCCTCATTCCTGTATCTCCAGGACTGGAGAGGCCTACTGGCCATCCAGGAGGATGTTTCTGTTGTCGGGCAGAGAGAAGTGAATTTTAGACCTTGCCTCCTGCCCACCTCCACCCTACAGCTCAAGAATATGACAATTTCCAGGACTGTGAGGACCAACTGAGACCACGTGATTTTGCAAGACATGGACGCAGCTGTGAGTCTGAGTTACTATCCCAACTATCGTCACCACCATTGTCTCTGCCGTCACCCTGTGAATGTGCCAAGGTCACTACCAGCACCTGGGTCCCCTCCAAGCTCCTGCAAGGGCAGTTTGTGGTGATGAAGACGATGTTAACTCCACACTGTCTCTGCTCTGACAACACACAGTGTCTGTAAGCTTGCTGGCCACAGTGGATCTGTGCTGCCCGACATGGCCATCTTGGCACGAACACAGTGAGTTACTAAACGGTCTCCTTGTTGAGATACCTACCAACTGTGGCAGGTGAAGCTTTCCCATCCTCTGCATGGGGCTGACCATCTGCCCGACAACAGAAACATCCTCCTGGATGGCCAGCAGGCCTCTCCAGTCCTGGAGATACAGGAATGAGGGTGTCTGGGAGGGGAATCTAGCCAGGGAGCCTCCAGTGTGTCAAGGGGACCCGCCAAGTCCCCTGGAGGCCACTGAACATCAGTGTCCGCCCAGAAGATGCCTCTTCCATGGCAGAGTCAGGACTTAGTGATCAAAACTGCCCAGGCCCCAGGAGGAGTTAGGCTGGGGTGTGGCACACAGGCCTGTACCCTCCCTAGTGACCACAAGGATGGCAGGGGCCACATCCTTTGACCCCACACAGGGAGACCTTATCGGCAAGTGGGTTACTGTTGAAAAACACTGCCACGGGCCAGGGCATCCATGGCTTCCAAATGCTCAAAACTGCTTCCGATCATCTTGGAAAATTGTCCAATTTTTGAACGATGGGGGTGGGGATAGGCAGGAAACAGGGTCTGAAATTTATTTCTCTGTCTTTTATTGGAATAACTTAATCCCTGCTAGTAGTTAAATATGAGAGTGATGTGACGTTATCATAAAAGTAAACACACAATTACAGTAGGGGGTAGGTGTAAAACAAAACAACACCCGAGCTGATTATTTACCCAACCAACTGGAAACACATGAGCAAAACCATCCTGCCCTGACAGGTGAGCACATTCATAATTGCTTTTAAACATGTACTTAAATGTTGATCTGTTGTGTAAATACCTTTTTAAACGAGTACGATTTAAGACAATGTAACTGTTACAGGGGCAGGGGGCGTGGGGCAGGAGAATGACTAAGGAGACCAACTTGAATTCCAGCACTCACCTCTGTGGTCCACGTCCCCTCATATCAGAGCAGGTGTTTTCATAGACCTGGCGGCTATCTTTGGGCATACATTTTGGATTCATTTGGTTCAACAGACCCTGTATTTGTTGTCGAGGGCTGCCACGGCAAGCCACTGCGGTCAGAGTGCCTTCAACAGGAACGCATCACCGCGCAGTTCTGGAGGCTGAAGTCTGAGATCAAGGTGTCTCGGCAGGGTTGGTTTCTTCTGAGGCCTCTCTCCCGACCTTATAGAACAGGGGTCCTCAACCCCTGGGCCAAGGACCAGTACCGGTCTGTGGCCCTTTAGGAACCATTGGATGTGCACAAGAGCATGAAACCTGTTGTGAACGGCACATGTGAGGGATCTAGGTTGCGTGCTTCTTATGAGAATCCAAGGCCTGATGATCTGTCACTGTCTCCCATCACCCCCAGATGGGACCATCTAGTTGCAGGAAAACAAGCTCAGGGTCCCTCTGATTCTACATTATGATGAAATGTATAATTATTTCATTATATATTACAATGTAATAACAACAGAAATAAAGTGCACGATCAATGTAACGTGCTTGCATCACCTCGAAACCACCCCCCACCCCACCCGGGTCCGTGGAAAAATTGCCTTCCACGAAACCAGTCCCTGGTGCCAAAAAGGTTGGGGACTGAGGTTATAGAAGGTCATAGAAGGCTGTATCTCCAAATACAATCATATCCTGAGATACTGGGGCTTCGGGATTTATTTTATTTTTATTTTATTTATCTATTTTTTTGAGACAGAGTGTCGCTGTTGTCCCCCAGGTTGGAATGCAATGGCGCGATCTCAGCTCACCGCAACCTCTGCTTCCCGGGTTCAAGTGATTCTCCAGCCTCAGCTTCTGGAGTAGCTGGGATTACAGGCAGCCACCACCACTCCCCGCTGATTTTTGTATTTTTAGTAGAGACGGGGTTTCACCATGTTGGCCAGGCTGGTCTCGAAATTCTGACCTCAGGTGATCGCCCCCAACTCGGCCTCCCAAAGTGCTGAGATTACAGGTGCTCGCCACCACGCCCAGCCAGGGGCTTAGGGATTTAATATATGGATTTGGGGAGGACACAATTTAGACCATAACAGATTACTTCCGCAAAAGCCAAAACCCACGTTACACAGGGAAGGAAAGGGTTGACTGAGAACCCAAGTCAGGTAGGGCCTAAAGCCCTGCGGGAAGGACACCTGGTTCTAGGTACTGGCTTTATCTTTAAGGATAAAGACCCTAAAGGTGATTTTAAAGTAATAAATAAACACTTCCAAGGCACAGAGAACATCCCAGAAAGTTCCAGACATGTAGGACTATCCTGATAAGAGAAGCAAGAAAGTGATTTCCAGGGTCAATGTTGGAGACACTAGAAGGGGGCAGAAGGCATTGGGGGAGAAGGCAGCCCCTCTGCAGGGCCTGGCAAGCAGGGGATATGCCCACTGCTCCTGCCTGTGCACCCGGTGGGCAGCCCCTCGGCGGGCTCATTAACTGCCATCCTCAGCACTGAGGGACCCGTTCCCGGTCAGGGAGCAGAACCGGCTCTTCCCCAGGGGGATGCAGGCAGGAGGCCAGCGCTTACCTGACTGACAGGTGTCAGGTCAAATCACCAGGTCTCCTGAAAATATCAGCCTCGCCTCCTGCCGGGCCACGCCAGCCAGGGATAGAGAGACAGACAGCTCCCCTAATGATGCCAGACAGACCTTCTGACAGCTCTGCCCTCCCGGGCCCCCGGAACAGCCAGCGCGGAGTGCTCTGCTCCAGGAGGGGTGGGGACCCTGGCTTTCCTGCCCTGCCCAGCCCAGCCCAGCCAAGCAGCAGAGAGAACAGGACGGAGGCTCCCATTTCCCAGGGACTGCAGCGCCTCCAAACCGCCCATCTGCGACGGCCCCGCGAGCGTGCGCAGCCCAGCCCCTCCCGGACGTCCTCGCCCCCGCCCGGGCACATCGTGCTCCGCACCGAGGCAGAGAGGGGCACGCGGATCCCAGCCCCTGCGAGCCCCTCTGCCCGCCGCCACTTCACACCCCGCATTGCCTCAGCTGCCGTTCCAGAAGATGCATCGTCTGGCGCGCAAAGCGGTGCACGGTCCCCAGCCCGCGCGCAGCAGCCTGGAGGGGCGCCAGAGTCCCCGTCCCACTTCCTGGCGGCACTGCCCCCGGGCAGCTCCCTCCTCCCCTCTCTCCCTCCATGCCCCCACCCCATCTTGGGACGCTTCCAGGACCGAAGAGGCAGGAGGGGGATCGCGAGGGGAAGGCGCGGAGCTGGGGAAGGAGGAGCAGCGCCGGGCGCAGCAGCTCAGGGCGGTCCGGGAGGCTGCGCGGCGCTCGCGGACCCACGCCCCAGGACAGAGGACGCAGCTCCGAGCATCGCACGTGGCTTCCAGATTCCTCCCACCCCTACCCTGGCGACCACGAGAGGGGGTCGGGGGCATCTTCTTCCCAGCCCCAGCTGGACAAAAAGCCTTGCAAAAGGGAAGAAATTAAAAAGCAGGGGGAGGGAAGGTGAGGAGGGGAGGGGTGGGGGGAGAAGGAAAAAGTCCCTTCCAGCCATAGTGGGTCCCAGAGAGGAACAGAGGGGTGAACATAGGCAGGGTCCTCGGGTTCCCTCCCCACCTGCCTCCTCCCAGGGTATGTGCAGCGGCCTGGCCCATCCGCCTCTGGGGCGACCACGGGACACACCGCATGGCCACTGTCACTCTGAGTCCCCACCTGCCACACACTCATCCGCGACTTCTGGCTCTTTGATCTTCCCTTTACAAAATAGTCGTGCTTTGTTCACGACAGGGTGAAGGCCCCAGGGACGCGTTCTGCATGGAGGATGGCAAGGGGGAGGTTTGGTTGAATCAAGAACCCTTGATCGGCCCCTTGGGTTTCCAGCCCCCAAGAGCGCTCACACAGCCCACGTGTTATGTCCCAGCTCCGAGCAAAACAGCGTGCCAGTGTGGATGCCCCGAACTCAGACGCGGCCCCCTGGACACAGATGGGACTTTCTGTCCAGAAACAACCCAGCCCCCACAACAGCCTGGACGTTACACTGAGTTCATTTCGTTCCAATCAAAGAGCAAAATATATACCGTGAAGGGCCCACCTTTCCTTTTCTCCTTGTTCTATAGGGCGATTAGCATGGAGAAGCCATCACACTGTAGTGGAGGGGAGAGGGTGGCTTAAAAATAAATGGGCTCTGGGAGGGAAGGAGTAACTTGCAATGCCACTCTTGGCACTCTTGGCATTGTGCAGGAAACCCAACCCTCAGCTCTCACCCACACAGAACCCCATCATCTGCTGAGCTTCTGCCACTGCTGAATGTACCCCCGGGAAGAGCTCCGAGCCTCTGCCCTGCTGAATGCACTCCTAGGAGAGGCTCCAGAGAGGCCCCCAGCATGGCTACCCCTGTAGGAAAGCAGGCCGTGATGTTTCTAAACACAGGGGTGGCTTACCACAGTAAACATGCCAGTGCTCTGAGGTGTGGAGACTGCGGGAAGCGATTCAATATTTTCATGGAGGCTCATTATATTTGCTCCCAGACCAGAAAAGCCGGAGCCTATTACTGCTCTCTTGGTAGGATTTTTTTTTAATCCTTGTATATTACAAGAACATGAATTAAGCTCTGATGAACGCGATATTAATTAATTACATGAAGATCCACGTGGGAGACAGGAGGGGGTGGAGGGAGAGGTTGTGCTATGCAAATGACCGGGAGGAGAGATGCTGCCGGAATTGTGCTTCTCATTGTTTCTGGCTCCAGAACGTGGAGGCGTGCGCAGTGGGCTCAGCCAGGGAGGTTTACCTGCAGGCAGCAGATGTGGCTTCTGCAAGATTTAAAGCCTCTGGCACCATTACAGACGAGGAACGTTGCGGGGGGCCTGGGCATTGCAGCAGCGGAGAGGGAGGAGGGGAAGAAGGACTCCGGTTCAGGCCGCCATCTTCTCAAACTGCAAAGAGGGAATTTAAAATCCGTTTCACATGTTCCAAAATGGCTGCTCGCAGCCCGAGCCCAGGAAGGTTGCAAAGGGCCTTGTGTGGCTCAGAGAGCCTCCTGGACTCTTTCTGTCCATAAAACAGAGCCTGAGTGTTGCAAGAAGAGTCCTTGACTACTAAAGGCAGATCATTCTCCTCCAAAATATTTTGCAGAAACCACTTAAAACTCCCTCTCCAGCTCTGAGCCCCAGGGGGAGGGGCTGCTGCCACTGAAAGCTGGCAAAACAAAAATGACAAGGAAAAATGGGAGACTGAACTTGAAGATCAAGAGAGGGGGCCTATAGCCTGAGCCCAGATTCAGTGGCCACTTCCCAGGTGGCCCTTGTATGCTGCTGAGAGGTGACAGTGTGCTGGCAGCCCTCGCTCACTCTCGGTGTCTCCTTGGCCTCGGCACCCACTCTGGCTGCCCTTGAGGAGCCCTTCAGCCCGCCACTGCACTGTGGGAGCCCCTCTCTGGGCTGGCCGAGGGTGGAGCCGGCTCCCTCTGCTTGCGGGGAGGAGTGGAGAGGGAGGTGTTGAGGGAGAGTTGTGGAGGGAGAGGCGCGGGCGGGAACCGGGGCTGCCCAGGGGGCTCCCCGGGCCAGGGCGATTTCTTGGCGGGCCCCACACTCTGATCCGCTGGCTATTGCCAGCGGCTCCAGGCAGTGAGGGTCTTAGCACCCGGGCCAGCAGCTGGGGGGGTCGGGGGCGCCGGGTCCCCCAGCACTGCCGGCCCGCCCGAGCCATGCTGGAATTCTCGCCGGGCCTCAGCTGCCTCCCCATGAGGCAGGGCTTGGGACCTGCAGCCCGCCCTGCCCGAGCCCCACCCCCCACCCCCTCCTGGTGGGCTTCCGCTTGGCCCGAGCTTCCTCGACGGGGGCTGCCCCCTGCTGGGCAGCGCCCAGTCCCATGACCGCCCAAGGGTTGAGGAGTGCAGGCGCCTGACGCGGCCCTGGCACAGAATCCACTAGGTGAAGCCAGCTAGGCTCCTGAGGCGGGTGGGGACTTGGAGAACTTTTATGTCTAGCTATAGGATTGTAAGTACACCAATCAGCATTCTGTGTCTAGCCCAAGGTTTGTAAACACACCAATCAGTACCCTGTGTCTAGCTCAAGGTTTGTAAATGCACCAGTCAGTGCTCTGTGTGTAGCTAATCTAGTGGGGACTTGGAGAACTTTTGTGTCTAGCTAAAGGTTTGTAAACGTGCCAGTCAGCACCCTGTCAAAACAGACCAATCAGTTCTCTGTAAAACGGACCAATCAGCTTGCTGTAAAATGGACCAATCAGCAGGATGTGGGTGGGGCCAGATAAGGGAATAAAAGCAGGCTGCCCGAATCAGCAGGGGCAACTTGCTGGGGTTCTCTTCTGAGCTGTGGAAGCTTTGTTGTTTTGCTCTTTACAATAAATGTTCATTCTTTGGGTCCGCATTGCCTTTATGAGCTGTAACACTCACTGTGAAGGTCTACTGATGCCACCGAGACCATGAACCCACCAGGAGGAATGGAACGAATAACTCCTGACGGGAGGAAGGATCAACTCCAGAGGCGCCGCCTTAAGAGCTGTAACACACGGTGAAGGTCTGCACCTTCACTCCTGAAGCCAGAGAGACCATGAACCCACCAGAAGGAGGAAACTCCAAACATGTCCAAACATCAGAAGGAACAAACTCCAGACACACCACCTTTAAGAATTGTAACACTCACTGCGAGGGTCGGTGGCTTCATTCTTTAAGTTCGTGAGACCAAGAACCCACCAATTCCGGACACACTGCCACCCCCCGTCACCTTCAGCGTGAAGCGGGATGAGCCCTAGATACATAGCACCTTTCTCACCCGGACTGGAGACCTGTCCCCAGGGTAGGGGGTAGATTCCTGGGTGCCACCAGGCAGGGTCTGGTTCAAATGAGAAGATGATTGGCAGGTACAGTGACATGAGCTATGGGTCATCTGGAGATCCCTAAACACATGAGGTGTGGGTCCAGGCAGCAGAGAATCAGGTCCATGTGAAGGCAGGACCGATCCTGGAAGGCCAGGGAGCAAAAAGTCCACAAGACATGAGGTTTGGGAAGGAGTGTGAGCAACTAACTAGAGCTGGAAGCCAGCAGCAGGAGTGGCTTTTGATGTGGCTGGATAGGCTCAGAGGCTCAGGAACTTTGGCTCTAAAGCCACAACCATCAGTCAGTGAGACAGGTATGGGGCTGCAGGTAGAAGCCAGAGTCACCAGGCTGGGGGAGGGGAGTGAGAGGGAGGAGCAGAGGAAGGAGGCTCCCATCATGCCCCCTCCTCTTCGAGAAGTGTTCGCGTTCTTTTCTCTCCTTGATGTGAACATCAGTCAGAACGCCAGAGTCAAACATGCTCCTTAGCTGTAAGGTGTTGTTTATTAGGGATTCTGTCTGCCAGATATAGAACATCTCAAAAGCACCAGTCATAAAATGTCAGACATTTCACAAATGCTGTGATCGTTAATTTTATGTGTCAACCGGATTGGGCCACGGGGTGCCCAGAAATTTGGTCAAACATTAGAGTGTTTCTGTGAGGGTGTTTTGGGTGAGATTAACATTTATTTATGACAGAGTCTTGCTCTGTCACCCAGGCTGGAGTGCAATGGTGTGATCATGGTTCACTGCAGTCTCGACCTCCTGGGCTCAGGTGATCCTCCTGCCTCAGCCTCCTGGGTAGCTGGGATTAGAGGTGTGTGGCACCACACCCAGCTAATTTTTCTGTGTGTTTTTAGTAGAGACACGGTTTCACCATGTTGGCGAGGCTGGTTTGGAACTCCTGACCTCAGGTGATCTTCCCACCTAGGCCTCCCAAAGTGCTGGGATTACTGGCATGAGCCACCGAGCCAGGCTGAGATTAACATTTAAATCAGTGGACAGAATAAAGCAGTTTGTCCTCCCTAGTGTGGAGGGGGTCCTCATCATCAGTTGAAGGCCTGCACAGAACAAAAGGCTGACCCTCCTCCAAGCAAGAATGAATTTCTCTTCCCTGATGGTCTTCAAGCTGGAACAACAGCTTTGTCCTGCCTTCAGACTTGACCTGACATTGGCTCTCCTGTGTCCCGAGACTGCCAGCTTTCAGACTAGAACGTATACCATGGGCTGTCCTGGTTCTCAGGCCTTTGGATTCAGACTGGAACTCCACCATCAGCTCTTCCTGGTCTCCAGCTTGCCCACTGCAGATCACGGGACTTTCCAATCTCCATGATCACGTGAGCCGATTCCTAATAATAGATCTCTTTATATAAACAGGACCAACAGGAGAGGCAGAGATATAGACAGAGGGGAGAACCCTGACTAATGCGAATATTCACCAGCGATTTCCCCTGCTTCATCTGGGCTGGGGACATAAATTCAAGATGGGTTTGGAGCTAAAGTAGATCCTGGCTGGGAGCAGTGGCTCTCGCCTGTGATCCCAGCACTTTGGAAGGCTGAGGTGGGTGGGTCACCTGAGGTCAGGAGTTCGAGACCAGCCTGGACAACATGGCAAAACCCCGTCTCTACTAAAAATACGAAAATTAGCCAGGTGTAGTGGCGGGCGCCTGTAGTCCCAGCTACTTGGGAGACTGAGACAGAAGAATCGCTTGAACCCAGGAGGTGGAGCTTGCAGTGAGCTGAGATCGCGCCACTGCACTCTAGCCTGGGTGACAAAGCGAGACTCCATCTCAAAAGAAAAAAACAAAAAAAAATTAAAAATAAACAAAAATAAAATAGATCCTGTTTTTATCTTGAAAGACCAGAAGAGAATTTTTCTATATGTCTGTGCTAGATACTCTCTATGGCATTCAGCATCCAGTTCCACCACCTTGTAGCATGGGAGCTAGAAGGCTAAATGCTACATTTCCCAGACCACCTTGATTTTACAGGATACCAGCTGTAAACCAAAAAGCATCTGAGATAAGTCTCAATTAATTTAGAAAGTTTGTTTTGCCAAGGTTGAGGACCTGCCTGTGACACAGCCTCAGGAGGTCCTGACGATATGTGCCCAAGGTGGTTGGGGCACAGCTTGGTTTTATACATCTTAGGGAGACATGAGACATCAATCAATATATGTAAGCTGGGTCGGTCATGGTGGCTCACGCCTGTAATCCCAGCACTTTGGGAGGCCAAGGCAGGCGGATCATGAGGTCAGGAGATCGAGACCATCCTGGTTAACATGGTGAAACCCTGTCTCTACTAAAAATACAAAAAAATTAGCTGGGCGTCGGGGCAGGCGCCTGTAGTCCCAGCTACTCGGAGGCTGAGGCAGGAGAATGGCGTGAACACGGGAGGCGGAGCTTGCAGTAAGCTGAGATCGGGCCACTGCACTCCAGCCTGGGCGACAGAGCAAGACTCTGTCTCAAAAAAAAAAAAAAATTTTATATATGTGTATATATATATATATGTATGTGTATATATATATATATGTATGTATATATATATATGTGTATATATATATATATGTGTGTATATATATATATATATGTGTGTATATATATATATATATATATGTGTATATATATATATATATATATATGTGTATATATATATATGTAAGCGGTACATTGGTTTGGTCCGGAAAGATGGGACAGCTCGAAGCGGGGAGGCGCCTTTCAGGTCATAGGTAGATAATGGTTGCATTCTTTTGAGTTTCTGATTAGCCTTTCACTGAATACACAATTGACAGTAATAGTCACTCATGCCTTGGTCTGGCTCAGTGAAACAGTAGGGCAGAGGAAGCCATCAGATCTGCATTGGTCTCAGGTGAGCAGAGGGATGACTTTGAGTTTTATCTGTCCTTTGTCCACAAGGAATTTCCTTGTGGGCAAATTGTGAGGGAGGTCTGTAGCTTTTTTTTTTTTTTTTTTTTTGAGGTGGAGTCTCGCTCTGTTGCCCAGGCTGGAGTGCAGTGGCCGGATCTCGGCTCACTGCAAGCTCTGCCTCCCGGGTTCATGCCATTCTCCTGCCTCAGCCTCCCAAGTAGCTGGGACTACAGGTGCCTGCCACCACGCCCGGCTCATTTTTTGTATTTTTTAGTAGGGACGGGTTTTCACCGTGTTAGCCAGGATGGTCTCGATCTCCTGACCTTGTGATCCACCTGCCTCGGCCTCCCAAAGTGCTGGGATTACAGGCGTGAGCCACCGCACCCGGCCTAGCTTTTTCACCTTTGTAACTATCTTCTTTAGGAATAGAATGGGAGGCAGGTTTGCCAAGCTGCAGTTCCCAGCTTGACTTTCCCCTTTGGCTTGGTGATTTGGGGGTCCTGAGATTTATTTTCCATTCACACAGCTGTAATTTAGGGTCTACCCATAGATACACTGAATGCAGTATTTAGAAGGTGCAGGGACACAGCAGTCCTAACTCTTTCCTGCAGCGGGGGTGGTTCCTGAGCGAGCCCCAGCATATCTAGCTCCTGATCCCCTCTCACTGTCTAGTCTCCAGCTTCACGGGGACAACAGCTTCGTCCCACCTTCAGACCTGAACTGACATTGGCTCTCCTGTGTCTTGAGACTGCCAGTTTTCAGACTCAAACTTAACACTGTGGGCTGTCCTGGTTCTCAGGCCTTTGGATTCAGGCTGGAATTCCATCATCGGCTCTCCTTGATCTCCAGCCTGCCCACTGCAGATCCTGGGACCGGGAGGTGGGAAGCAGTGATGATGCTAGTCAGGATTTTCTTCTCGGTCACTTTGGAAGCCAGGGACCTCCGGCTGACGATGCTCCACCCTGGGCCGAGTCTGGCTTGTGCACTAGTTCCCGAGTTCTTGTCCCACGCTCAAAAAGAATGAGGATGCTCTGACAATCTCAGAGTGAGCAAGGCAGGGAGTTTTAGCGAGTGATGAAACAGCTTTCCGCAGAGAGGGGACGGAGGGTGGCCCCCTTACCGGAAGGCGGGGATGTGGGGGTAGTCCCCTTACCCAAAGGTGGGGACATGGAGGTGGTCCCCTTACCCGAAAGCAGGAAAGTTCCCCTAATATGGCTCAGTCCAGGGCTTGTTATGGGCTCAGAGGCTGGGAGGGCAGGCCGTAGGTAGTATTGAAAAAGGCAATATTTGATTGGTTGAAAGGCATTATTCAGAAAGAATCAATCGGGGAAGGGCGGGCAAACAGGAACAGAAGTTCTCACTCTGCGTCTCGGTTTCATCCGGCACCAGCGGTCCAGTCTTTCAGCCTTCAGGCTGTTTTTGGCTTGAAGGTGGGTTTCACCAGGCACCCATCCCTGTCTACGCAGGTGGCTGCCTCCTGTTGCATGGCTAGCAGTCATTTTAGGGGCTCCCTCTCATAGCCACAGTGCCGTGACCCTGAAGCTAGTGATGGACCCTAATGTCTTCTGTTTTAGCTTTCCATTAACTCTGAAAGCACCTAATTTCTTACATTAAATCCCTTTTGAGGCCAGGCATGGTGACTCGCACCTGTAATCCCAACACTTTGGGAGGCCGAGGCAGGTGGATCACTTGAGGCCAGGAGTTCAAAACCAGCCTGGCCAACATGGTGAAACCGTGTCTCTAGTAAAAAATACAACAATTAGTGAGGTGTGGTGGTGCACACCTGTAATCCCAGCTACTTGGGAGGCTGAGGCACAAGAATCAATTGAATCCAGGAGGCAGAAGCGGCAGTGAGCCAAGATCCCACCACTGCATTCCAGCCTGGGTGACAGAGTGAGACCCTGTCAAAAAAAAAAAAAAAGCCCTTTTGGCTTGGAACACCCAGAGTGTGCTTCCTGGTCTTGTTTCTGACTTTAAAGAGACAGTCTTTATCATTTCATCACTAAGTACAATGCTTGCTATGAGTTTTTGGTAGACAACCATGATTACTAGATGAAGTTATTATTATTATTCACAAGTGACCATTAAATTTTAATCCTGTACCTTTTCCATGTGTGTTGAGATTGTCCAGTCACCAGTCATCTGGTTTTTAACCTTAATCTGTTGGAGGCACTTCTGACTATGTTGGCATGAAAAGGTTGGTGAATTCTCTCCACAAAAAAACAAGTACGAAATGGACAAAATTAAAAATCAACCACCTTTGGGGGCTAGTCAACCAAAGACAGACAATGAGTTGAGAAGCTTCCATTATTGAGAAGCTGCAGAGCTTTTGGCAAGAGTAGTAAAGGTCTGTGGTCTTCTTGTTTAGGGATGCTCTATCCTCCCCAAGCTGGATCAGCAAGAACAGTTATGGTAAGTTTGGGGTAAGCAGCAAACCAGTCAGGAATTTCATGGCTAGGCACGGTGGCTCACGCCTGTAATCCCAGCACTTTGGGGGGCCGAGGTGGGCGGATCACAAGGTCAGGAGTTTGAGACCAGCTTGGCCAACATGGTGAAAACCCATCTCTACTAAAAACAAACAAAAATTAGCTGGGCATGGTGGCGTGCACCTGTAATCCCAGCTACTCAGGAGGCTGAGGCAGGAGAATCACTTGAACCCGGGAGGCGGAGCTGGCAGTGAGCCGAGGTAGGGCCACTGCACTCCAGCCTGGGCGACAGAGCAAGACTCCATCTCAAAAAAAAAAAGAAAAAAAGAAAAAAAAGAAATTTCACAGGGAGAACCTAGGAATAAGAGAGTACTGGAAAGGCTGAAACAAACTTTCCACAAACACCGCGCTGACTGGGAAACTATGAGCCTCCTCGGGGCGGGCCTGAACCAGCCCAGCACAGAGTGGAGGCCAAGGGATACTCGGCTTCAAATGCACTCCCAAATCCACACACACACAGAGCAGCGAGGAAAGAAGGCTTAGGTAGGGCCTAGGCGTTTGGGCACAAACTGTGCCTGAATTATTGGCTGATCACTAGGCAATGCAGACTCAAGGATAATTCCTGGGAAGGCAGGCTGAAAGATAAAAAATCTGAGCAAAGCTATCAGCAGACACATACCACAAGGGGGACATCCCCCAGTGTAAGTCCAGGAAAGGAAAAAAAAAAAACTCAGAAAAATAAATGGAATCCAGGCCAGGCGCAGTGGCTCACACTTATAATCCCAACACTTTGGGAGGCTGAGGTATATGGATCACTTGAGGTCAGGAGATCAAGACCAGCCTGGCCAACATAGGGAAACTCCATCTCTACTAAAAATACAAAAAAAAATGGCTGGGCATGGTGGTGAACACCTGTAGTCCCAGCTACTTGGGAGGCTGAGGCTGGAGAATTGCTTAAGCCCAGGAGGTGGAGGTTGCAGTGAGCCGAGATCATGCCATTGCACCCCAGCCTGGGCAGAAAAGTGAAACCCTGTCTCAAAAAAATAAATAAAAATAAATGGAATCCAGAGCTACTGCATTATAATATTTAAAATGTCTAGTTTTTGACCAAAAACTATGAGATATGAAAATAAACAGGGACATGTAACCCATATCTGGAAAAAAAAAAAAAAAGCAGTCAATAGAAATGGATTCTCTGAGTGAGCCCTGATGTTGGATTTAGCAAAGATTTTAAAGTAGGTACTAGAAATATGTTCAAAGAACTAAAGAACTTAGATGCTGTTAAAATGACAAGTTGGGCCAGGCACGGTGGCTCACACCTGTAATCCCAGCACTTTGGGAGGCTGAGGTGGTCAGATCATTTGAGCCCAGGAGTCAAGACCAGTCTCTAGCAACATGGCAAAACCTCGTGTCTACAAATACACAAATTTGGCCAGGTGTGGTGACCCACGCCTGTAGTCCCAGCTACTCAGGATGCAGAGGTGGGAGAATCACTTCAGCTCAAGAGGTCAAGGCTGCAGTGAGCCAAGATCACACCACTGTGCTCCAACCTAGGTAACAGGGTGAGACTGTCTCAAAAAAAAAAAAAAGAAAAAAAGAAAAAATATATATATATATTTCCCCCCACATATACATATATACTTGTTATAACAATAAAAATGAGTTATTTAAATTTTCTTATTAAAAATCAGATAGAAGCATATGTTGTTTACAAGAGACACACCCGAAAGAAATTCAGTATTAAAGAGATACGCAAATGAGGCAATGATAGCTAAAGGGTACAAAATCTCAGTTAGACAGAAAGGATATGGGGGAGGGCTTTTTGAGATCTATTGAATAGCATGGTGAATATAGTTAATAATGGCATATTCTACATTTCAACATTGCTAAGAGAGTAAATTTTAAATGTGCTCACCACAAAAAATATTAAGTATTTGAAGTGACTGGTATATTAACTAACATGATTTAATTATTCCACATGGCATTCATGAATTATTTTGTATAGAAATCTTTACCCCATAATATACACAATTATAAATTATCAATTTATAATTTTAAAATATTAGAGCTTAAAAATTAAAACGCCAGCAAAAATTATTAGGTAAATGCAAGAAAACAGAAAACAGAGATAAAAATCTTATTAAGCATCACAGAATCAAAAGCAGAAGATATTAAAATGAATGGAGTTATTTTATATTAAGGGCAGAATCCACAATGAAAACATAACATAAAATATAATTTGTCTCAAAAGATATTTTGAAATGGTCAAAATGCAAAACAGCATTACCTCTGCAGCACAACAGTGACAGCCACTCTCAGTCTTTGATAGTCAAGTGGACAAAATATAGACCAATTATTTTAATAATATAATTCATAAGGTTGAACAACTTTCTACCTGTATCTATAAACAGATAAAAAGGTAGGTTGTGATAGCCGGCCTCCAGGATGATCCCCAGTGACCTTCACCTCTTAGTATTCACGCACCTGTGTAGTCTGCTCCCACGCTGTACTGGGGTTGGTCTGTGTAACCAATAGAATATGCAGGAATGATGGTATGTCACTTCCAAGGTTAGGTTATAAAAGACACTGCAGCTTCTCTTTCTTTCTTTCTCTTGGATCATTCATTCTTGAAGAAGCCAGTTATGATGTGAAGAGAGGCTCACATGGCAAGGACTGAAGCCTCCTGCCAACAGCCACACATATGAGTCACCTTGGAAGCAGATCTTCCTGCACCAGTCAAATCTTCGGATGACTGCAGCCCCAGCCTCCACCTCGACCACCTCATGAGAGACGCTGAGTCAGAGCCATCCAGTTAAGCTGCTTCTGAGCTCCTGACCCACATCAACTGTGAGATTAGAAATGTCTGTTGTTAATCAAAACCGCAATGAGATACCATCTTACACCAGTTAGAATGGCTGTTACTAAAAAGTCGAAAAACAGCTGATGCTCGTGAGGCTGCAGAGAAAAGGGAACACTTAGACACTGTTGGTGGGAGTGTAAATTAATGCAACCATTGTGGAAAGCAGTGTGGTGATTCCTCAAAGGGCTAAAAACAGAACTACCATTCAACCCAGCAATCCCATTACAAGGTATATACCCAAAGGAATATAAATCATTGTACCCTAAAGACGCACGCATGCAAATGTTCATTGCAGCACTATTCACAGTAGCAGAGACGTGGAGTCAACCTAAATGTTCATCAATGACAGATTGGATGAAGAAAATGTGGTACAGATACACCATGGAATGCTATGCAGCCATAAAAAAAGAATGCGATCGTGTCTTTTGTGGGAGCATGAATGGAGCTGGAGGCCATTATCCTTAGCAAACTAATGTAGGAACAGAAAACCAAATACCTCTTGTTGTCACTTATTAGTGGGAGCTAAATGATGAGAACTCATGGACACAAAGAGGGGAATAGCAGACACTGGAACCTACTTGAGGATGAAGGGTGGGAGGAGGGAGAGGAGCAGAAAAAAGTGACTATTGGGCAGTAGGCTTAGTACCTGGGTGATGAAATAATCTGTACGACAACCCCCCATGACATGAGTTTACTTACATAACAAACCTGCACACATAACCCTGAACCTAAAATAAAAGTTAAGAAAAAACAAAGAAATGTTTGTTGTTTTGGCTGTTATGTGCTGAATGCAGCAATAGGTAACTAATATATAGATAGATGGATAGAAAGATTTTACACTTACATCCTACTGCTGTAATAGCTATAATATGCCATCTTTTCAAACATCAATGGAACAGTTACAAAACTGATTATACGTTGAATCACAGCTTCTTTCTTTCTTTCTTTGTCTTCTTTCTTTGTCTTTCTCTTTCTTCTTCTTTTTTTTTAGAGGGAGTTTTGCTCTTGTTACCCAGGCTGGAGTGCAGTGGCACGATCTCAGCTCACTGCAACCTCCACGTCCCGAGTTCAAGCAATTCTCCTGCCTCAGTCTCCCAAGTAGCTGGGATTACAGACATGCACCACCACGCCAGGCTAATTTTGTATTTTTGGTAGAGATGGTGTTTCTCCATGTTGGTCAGGCTGGTCTCGAACTCCCGACCTCAGGTGATCCACCCACCTTGGCCTCCCAAAGTGCTGGGGTTACAGGCCTGAGCCACTGTGCCCAGCCAGCATTTTTATTTCTAACCACTTTCTTTTCTATCTGTACACAGCTAAAATTTGATAAATGTATAGATCCAGGTCAAAAAATGAAAATTACTGGGCAGAACCTGAGATGTAGGCCTTAGGGTCTGTCTGAAAGTCAGAATCATAACATCTGGCTCTAATACCTGATAGTGGTTTTATGGATTTTTTTCCCTCATTAAATATATCTATTTTTAAAAAAGATACACTTGATTTTGTATTACTGCTGACATGGCCTAAATACATTGAACACATAAAATCCTTTAACACTTTTCATTCTTGCTGCATTTGGGTTTTCCACACAAGGAACAAGGACACAAATAAGAGATCATTATATTTGCCTTAGTCTGACAGTGGCAAAGTAGGGTGGTAGGGGCTGTCTTTGCTTGCTGAAGCAAGCAATATGTATTTAAAGATACATGGGACCCAGGCACCAAGCTCCTTCCAGGAGGAGAGGCAAATACACCCTGTTCATGTGGTCCAGGAACACAAAACAGAGTCAAGCTTTTAGTAGCAAATGTTATTTGGCTGTATGAATTTTTGACAATTAAATACCCATTACACGCAAGTCGCTGGCCTTGTGATGTGGTTTGGCTGTGTCCCCACCCAAATCTCATCTTGAATTGTAGCTCCCATAATCCCCACGTGTTGTGGGAGGGACCCGGTGGGAGGTAATTGAATCATGGGGGTGGGATATTCCTGTGCTGTTCTCATGATAGTAAGTCTCAGGATATCAGATATCATGATATCTGCACACACTATCTTGCCTGCTGCCATGTGAGATGTGCGTTTGCTCCTCCTTTGCCTTCTTCCATGATTGTGAGGTCTCCCCAGCCACGTGGAACTGTGAGTCCATTAAACCTCTTTGTCTTTCTAAATTACCCAGTTTTGGGTATTTCTTCATAGCAGTATTAAAATTGGACTAATATACCTTGATATTAAAAGGCTTATATGTAACGATTTTTAAAAATCCTCTCACCAACAGAGGACATTTTGAGGCCATCTGAATAAACCAAAACAACACATCTGTTAATCCAAGAACAGTCTGTTTTCTGTCTTGTTCTATAAAGCAGTGAGAGCACAGTCTACATTTCCTAACCACAATTGTTTAAAATAGGAAAAACAGAAATTAATGGTCAAGTTTTAACAAAGCCTAACAGAAACACTCAGTGGTTTGGAAATTTTAAAACCTTCTTTTAATAATGATTAAGTCAACAAAGAAATCAAAACCTATTGTAGATTATTTAGAAAATAATAGGATACAGTCACAGTTGAATTTAGACGTGAATTCAAAACTTTATTATTGTTAAGGAAAATAAGAAATAACAAGAAAGTATGTTAACTATAGTTTTAAAAATAAAGCAAGTTAGCAGAAATAAGTCCTAACATCAATCTCAATACTCACAAATAATGCGAATGGATTAAAACCCTCTGTAAAAAGATAGAGACATTCAGATTCTTTTTTCTTCTTTTACTGGTTAGTTTTTATCGAGGCAAAATTTGCCTGCAGTGAAATACACAGATCTTAAGTGTAAAATTCAATGAGTTGGTAAATGTGTAAATACATGCTACCAGAAAACCAATAGCCTATTTACATCATCCCAGGCCATTCACATTGAGTCTCCACCTCCCCATAGGCAACCAGAGTTCTGGTTTTTATCACTATGGATTAATTTTACCTCTTCTTTTTTTGATTATTTATTTATTTATTTATTTATTTATTTATTTATTTATTTATTTATTTTGAGACGGAGTCTTGCTCTGTTGCCCAGACCGGGGGAGTGCAATGGCACAGTCGCAGCTTGCTGCAACCCCCATCTCCTGGGTTTGAGCAATCCTCCTGCCTCAGCCTCCTGAGTAGCTGGGATTACAGGCACGTACTACCACACCTGGCTAATTTTTGTATTTTTAGTAGAGACGGGGTTTTACCATGTTGGCCAGGCTGGTCTTGAACTCCTGACCTCAAGTGATCCACCCGCCTCGGCCTCTCAAAATGCTGGGATTACAGGCATGAGCCACTGCACCTGGCCAGTTTTGCCTCTTCTTGCATTTCATTCTCCGTGGAATTAAATACTATGTGCCCTTTGCAATAGGCTTTTCTGTTCAACATAACATTTTAAAGAATGAAGCATGTTGTTACATGTACCAGTAGTTCATTTTTAATTGCTAAGTCAAATTCCATTGTATACATATATCAAAATTCTTCTATTGATGAACATCTGTGTGTTTTCCGGTTTGTCTCTATTTTAAATCCAGCTTTTATGAATAGAAGCATTCCAGCACAAGTCTCTGTGTGCTTTGTGGACCATTCTTTCCCACGCTTTGCCTCTCTCGCCTCTTTTTACCATCATAGCCTGGCTTCCAAATAGCTACTTCTCACAGCTCAGTCTGAGTTAGGTGCCACCCCCTGGTTTCCATCACCCTCTATGCCAGCTCTGTCATCACACCTAATATCTTGAGTGTAGTTATGATAGAGTCATCTGTCTTTCCAGACTACAAACTCCTGGACAGAGGTTGTCCTGTCCTTTATGACTTAGATTCCTGGTAGTGAGCCTAGAGTCTAGCACATAGAGGTTCTCAAAAAAAGAAAAAAAAATCTTAAATGAACAAATAGGTAACTGCACAAATAAAGACAGATGAGCAAAATTAACACTAGCACATTCAGGAAGCAGTGAGGAGACTGGCCTAATAGTAGAATGTAGAAAGGTGGGTAGATTACACCTCTCAGCAGATTTTAATCCATACTGATGACCAACCTAGAAGAGGAATTCAGAGCTTTGAAGACATGCACGATTACAAGGAGCAAGTTCAGTTTCCTTTCGGAGATGCTGAGCATTAAATTAAACTTTCTAATACCTGAAAAGCAGCCTCAACACGATCTGCACACTTCTTTGTGCTCTGCAGCTGACAGGGGATGGGGAGTGGCAAATATCGGCCTTTGGAGCATTAAAGAGGAAGCTATTAAGGCTGCATATTTTTTCAAAAAGAAAGAGTACAAAGAATTACAAGAAACCCCCTAAATTACAAGTGTGGGTTACAGTAATTGCTAAATTACAGAGCTCCAACTTTATTAGATACACACCCCCTCAGATTCTACAGTTTTCAAGGGCTGCCTTGAGCTGACAAAAGCTAGAAAGCTCTGTGGGAAGTGTGGCGGGGAGCTGAGCAGGTTAGCTAATGGGAGCCCCCTTTATGGGCGAGGCCAGGACACAGAAATCTGGACCAGGACCAATGAAGTTTTTGTTTTCTGGTGTTAAATTACCCTGGGGGGCAATACAGCCTGTGCTGGGGTTTGGAAGTAGGACTGGGATGTTAGCATTTTTTTCATATGTGGAAGCAGCAGTGGCCTATGGCCAATTGCTATGGAATCCTGAGAATTCTTTCAGGGTCTTTGAAGTGATTGGGTTCAGGCCCAGAATGCCCTTCATCAGGATAGTATCTGTTATTATTTTTACCATTCCCAGCTGAAAGCTTCAAGAATAAGATCTTTCATCCTCTGAAAGTTACCACCCATCTCTGCACTGTTGCAATATCCTGTTTAACAACACTCACCTTTATACACCATGTTTACATCCTCAAAGCCCTCTGACCTTTCTAATACAGGCACACATTACGTTTTTCATACTGTCCTCTTCTCTCTCAAACACTTACTTAAGGGAAAGACCTGATCCTACTTTCAAAACATTTGAAGTGAGTGGTTAAGTGACTTTAACTGAAGCTTCACTAAAGCCCAGATCCAAGTCAACTGCATATTAGATTGACTCAGTCCCTCACACTAATGGCCCAATAGAAGAAGGGTACATTCTTTTTCCAGGAGACATATACTTACTATAGGCACTACTTTTTAAAAAATATACTACATTTCAGACTAAAAAAATTGCAAGACATGCAAAGAAGCAGGGCAATGAGACTAATAATCAGGGGAAAAATTACCAATAGAAGTAGACCCACAGATGACTGAGTGTTGGAATTATTAGACAAGGACCTTAAATAAACTAAAATAGAGATGTTAAAAGATCTAGTGGGAAAGGTAGACAGCATGTGTGAACAGATGGGAAATTTCAGCACAGAAATGGAAACTATAAAATAACCAAATGGAAATTCTAGAGATGAAAACTGTAATATTAGATACAAAGAGTTTGTTTGATGGGTTTAACAGCAGATTGAACACAGTAGAAGAAAAGATCAATAAAACTGAAAGGATCTTAAAGACTAGTCAATAGAAATTATCCAAACTAAAATTCAAACAGAAAAATAATTAACAAAATAAAAATTTAAAAAAGAACAGAGTGTTGAAGAACTGTGGAAAAATATTAACATACATGAAATTGGAGCACCAGAAAGAGAAGAAAAGGAGCATAAGGCAGAGTAAATATTTGAGGAATAGTTGTTGAGAATTTTCCAAAATCTAAAAAGATCAGCCAATAGATCCAAGAAACTCAATGAATGCATACTGTATTAGTCCATTTTCACACTACTATAAAGAAGTATCTGAGGCAGGGCACGGTGGCTCACACCTGTAATCCCAGCACTTTGGGAGGCCAAGGTGGGTGGATCACGAGGTCAGGAGTTCAAGACCAGACCAACATGGTGAAACCCCATCTCTACTAAAAACTACAAAAATTAGCCAGGCGGGGTGGCATGTGCCTGTAATCCCAGCTACCCAGGAGGCCAAGGCAGGAGAATGCTTGAACCCAGGAGGCGGAGGTTACAGTGAGGTGAGATTGCGCCATTGCACTCCAGCCTGGACAACAGAGTGAGACTCTGTCTCAAAAAAAAAAAAATCTAAGATTGTGTAATTTATAAAGAATATAAAGGGCGTAACTGACACTCAGCACTGGCCCTGCCAACAAGGGTAGGTGCCCCTCCTCTGGGAACCTTCCCCGGTGGCCCCCATGTACCTCTGTCATGGCACTGGCTTCATTGTATTATGATGCTCTGTGTACATGTCTGTCCTCCCCACCCAACCGGCCGCCCACAGGTTCAGAGTCCTGACTTATTTGCCTGCTTTGTTCCTCCAGGGCCCAGCATGGTGCTGCCTCCGTGAATAGGTGCTCCACATTTAAAAATAGATGCTGTGGTTCATGGCCCAGGAGAGAGGTCCCAGTACACAGAGCCAGCCTTGAGCACTTCTTCAGTCTGAGGCAACAGGGAGCCTGCCACCCCCACCCCCACCCCTACTGTGGGCAGTGAAGTGCAGTGGATGCCACTGGACCACAGATCAGACAGTGTTTTACATCCTGACTCAGTCCCTCACCAGCTGTGCACCCTGGCCAAGCTCCTTGACCTCTCTGTACCTCAACTTCACCGTGATGGCACCTGCCCCGTGGGACTATTGTGAACATTCAGGGAGAAGCAGTGCAGGGAAGCCTCGTACTGAGGACATGCTCAGAAAGTTGCTACGTCCCAGGAGGAGGGGTGCCAGCCAGGCCTGGGCAGCAAACAGCCCAGCTTCTCCTTTGCTGTCAGCTCTGCCCTCCACTTGGCTGGTTTTTACTCCTTCTGATTCCAGAGCAGAGGAGCAAGATGAGGCCACAGCAGGGCCTTTTTCTTTATTTCAGTTTCAGGATGTTGTTGATGGTGATGATGGAGAAAATGACGATGATATTGATGGTTGTGGTGATAATCGTGATGATGATGGTGATGGTGATGATAATAATTATGGTGACATTGATGGTGCTAGGTAAGGCAGTAGGTACGTTACATGGATGGTAAGGTAGTAGTAGTGATGATGATGGTAATGGTGGTGATGGTGATGTTCATGGAGATGATGGTGATGGTGGTGATGATGGTGATGATCGTGATGCTAATGATGGTGGTGATGATGATGGTGATGGTGGTGATGATGATGGTGATGATGATGGTTGTGGTGATAATGATGGTGACAGAAATAATGATGGGATGATGGTGGTAATGGTAATCACAGTAGTGATGATACTGATGATGGTGATGGTGATGATGATAATGATGGGATGATGGTGATAATGATGGGATGATGGTAGTGGTGATGGTGATCATAGTAGTGATGATACTGATGAAGTGATGATAATGATAATGATGATAATGAGGGAGATGGTGATGATGGTAATGGTGATGATCATGGTGATGGTGATGATGATAATGGTAATAATAGTGACGGTGATGATGGTAATGGTAATGATGATGATGGTGATGGTGTTGATGATGGTGATGAGATGATAATGATGGTAGTGGTGATGATGGTGATAGTGAAAATGATAATGATGGGATAATGGTGGTGGTGATGGTGATCACAGTAGTAATGATATTGATGATGGTGATGGTGATGATCATGATAGTGATGCTGATAATGATGGTGATGATGGTAATGAAGGGATGATGGTAGTAATGATGGCGATCATAGTAGTGATGATACTGATGATGTGATGATAACAATGATGATGATGATGGAGATGGTGATGATGATGGTCATGGTGATGATGGTAGTGATGGTGATGGTGATAGTGATGATAATGATAGTGAGGGTGATGATGGTAATGTTGATAGTGATTACAGTGATGATGATGATGGTGATGATGATGGTGGCGGTGATGTCAATGGTGATAATGATGGCTCACATCTATGAAACACTCATTGGCTAGACACTATTGTAAGTGCCTCACATGAACTAACTCATTTAATCATAACAATCCTATGAATTGGGTACTGTTGTTACCATTTTATAGATGGAGAAACTGAGGCATGGACCCAGGTTAAGTCACCCATCTGAAGTCACTCAGCTGGTAAGTAGAAGAACCAGGATTCAAAACCAGCTCCAGAGAAAACTGCCCTTTGATGACCTTTGCAAATGAACACAGTCTAAGAGCTTACAAAGAAAATATGATGGAGAGAGGAGGATGCGCATTACCTAAAAGAAATCAGGCTTTAGGAAAGTACAGTGGAGATAAGAAAAACCCAGAGAGCCTGGAGCTGAAATTTTCTCCCCTGCTGATGCCACCTTGAAGGGTTGACTCACTGAGGGCTTAACTGCAGGCAGTTTGCAAATGGACAGTGTGTTTGTTTTTCCCCTTTAACCATTTTGATGTGTGTAGATGGATGTCCCTGGTTCCCATTCCTCAGTTTTGCAATGCTGATTTTGTAACTCTGCCTGTGCCAACAGAGGGGTCATCTCACAGCTGGGTGCCATGCAGTGGCAGTGGCAGCACCTCTCCACCCTCATCCAAGAGTGCAGCTAATCTCAACACCTCCCCACTCAGGGCTAAACCCACAAACACAAGGCACAGCCTGGTGGGCTGTTTTGGACCCTATGTCTTTCCCCACATCTTGTGCTGTGAGGGTGTGTGCATTTATCGGAATTCTCACATGCGCACTCATAAACACACTCATGCACACACATACCTCACTCTGAGACCCTACATGTCCCAGCATGATGCGTTGTGAGGTGGCCGTGCTTCAGTCCTGGCTGCCTTCCAGAGAAGGTGGGGGCATAGGAAGAGCTGTCCCCAAGCAGCACCCGAACATAAAGCTCCCGAAGGAGGAAGTCTGGAGTCCAGGTCACCTCCACACTCTCCACTGCATGACTTTGAACCTTCTTGACCTCTCTTTCCTCATCTGTGAAGTGGAGCAGCAGCCCCTGATGTGCCCTCTTCAGAGGGAACACAAGGATGAGAATCTGTGCCAAGCAAATGTCAGGGTTCATTGTTCTAGGACAGGGTCTTTCTGTCCCCTGACCCCACCCTGCCCCATTCCCAGGCTGCTGTGCAGGGACTGATGGTCCAGGCAAGTCTCCAAGGAAGAGGAGTAGGGAAGGGCAAGGGATGGGGGCTGGATGAGGAGAGGGGCTTCCTGCAGGATTCCTCAACTCCCCTGCAGGGCAGAATATAACTATTATTATTATATTATTGAAATGTCTGTCTTTTGAGCACTTTTCCCATGTAGACTGGACAGGGTCAGCCCGTTGCCCAGGCTGGAGTGCAGTGGTGTGGCCATATCTCACTGCAGCCTCGAACTCCTGGGCTCAAGTGATCCTCCTGTCTCAGCCCTCTGAGTGGCTGGGACCACAGTTGCGAGCCACCACGCCTGGTGATTCTTCTTGCAGAAGAATCAGAGCAGAGATCCAATTCCCTCCCTCCAGGGACACGGTGATGGGTGTATGCGGAGAGTGTGCCTTGGACCCTTAGATAAAGAGTAAAGATCCTTAGGTCCTGCTGAGCCCCTGTAATGGGTCATCCCTTGGGTTGAATCTGGGGCTCCACTCACCTGCCTGAGACTGGGTCCCCACCTCCCAGCTCATCTGCTGGGAGAGACTGCTGCTGGCTCCTCCGTGTGGCCGTTTCCTTCAGAGGACTTACATTTCCTTCTGGTCCCGGGCTCTGATGAAGTTATTAATCAGGGAGATGGAGGAGGCCGTGGCACTGCTCTACGTGCCAGGACTGGCTGATCAGGCCGATGCCGCCACCCCTGGTGCCCGAAGAGGAGGCGGTGAGCGTCCTGAGGAGCGTGCACAGCTCCCGTGCAGCGACCAGCCTCTGAGTAATTAGTTTGTAAATCAGGCAGATGGTTCAAGAACCACTCACTCTGGGCCGCTTTAATTATTTATACCCCTTTGTATTCTGATTATGCATAGCTGTCCTCTTTGAAAGGGAAGGAAGATGTTTTCTCTGATGGGCTCTCAGCATTGAATCAGCTGCAACTTCTCCGAATCCCAGTGGAATCTGAGGCTTGCCTGGAAGCAGCAGTGGGCGCCGTGGGGCAGGGCCCTGGACTGGACCCACGGAGAGCTGGCTGGGGGTGTCGAGGACTTTCTGCATCACATGTCTGTGGGAGCCGCCTCACCCTGTTAAAACCGGACGATGCTGCAGCGCCCTGCTGGGAGCAGAAGGCAGAGGGTGCAGCGGGGAGAGCCTCGGCTAAACACAAACCCGGGCTCCAGAGCCGCTCAGTGGACCCGGAAAAGGAGCAGGCGCGGCCCACCCTTCAGGGCTCTCGGGGGAGCTAATGTGATGGCGGATATAGAACCTGGTGCAGGTGGGCGCTGGCCCCACGGTGGCTCTTGGCTTGGGTCAGAATTCATCCCGCCCCGGGGGGCTCCTTCTTGCCTCTCTCCCCCACAGTGTTGAATGATGACTACATGCTGGTCCTCATCCCCATCTGTCAGATGAGCTCACTGAGGCTCCAACCGTTAACCCCAGGCCCAAGCACACACAGCAAAGCAGGCCTCTAGCCCAGCCCCTGGGCTCCGATCGCACGTTCTCTCCACCTGGCTGTGTCCCCGGGCCTGGGACTGACACCAGCCATCCCAGGGGCCCCTTGCATCTCCCTTCAGCCCCTCTCTCCCCTCACCTACCCCCACTCTGACCTCTGAGGGGTTCCTCAATAAGCGATCTGTGAGGAATGACCTCCTGGACTCTTTCACATGGACCCAAATTCAAGAAATGCCAAGCTGAGCCAGGTGCAGTGGCTCACGCCTGGAGTCCCAGCACTTTGGAAGGCCAAGGTGGGAGGATCACTTGAGGCCAGGAGTTTGAGACCAGCCTGAGCAACACAGAGAGACCCTACCTCTACTTTTAAAATTTGTTTATTTTTATTTTTTGAGACAGAGTTTCGCTCTTGTCGCCCAGGCTGCAGTACAGTAGCGTGATCTTGGCTCACTAAAATCTCTACCTTCTGGGTTCAAGTGATTCTCCTGCCTCAACCTCCTGAGTAGCTGGGATTACCTGGGATTGCAGGCGTGCACCACCATGCCCAGCTAATTTTGTATTTTTTTTAGTAGAGACGGGGTTTCACCATGTTGGCCAGGCTGGTCTCGAACTCCTGACCTCAGGTGATCCATCTGCCTCGGCCTCCCAAAGTGCTGGGAATATAGGCATGAGCCACTGTGCCCGGCCTACTTTTTTTTTTTTTTTTTTTTTTTTTAATTAGCCAGGCTTAGTGACTTACACATGTGGTCCCAGCTACTCGGAGAACTGAGGCAGCAGGATTGCTTGAGCTCAGGAGTTCAAGTCTGCAGTGAGCCATGATCGCACCACTGCACTCCAGCCTGGGCAACAGAGGGAGACCCTGTTGAGTCTACACGGGAAAAGTGCTCAAAAAAACGGATATTTCAATAAATAGGGTCAAGGAGTGACTTTGTGCCTGACCTTCTGAGCTCCAGGAGACCTTCGTGTATGTGACTCTGAGGGTTGGCAGGCAAGCTCTCGAAAGATGCTTTGCCCATCCATGGGCCTGAAGGCAGAGACCAGAGACTCGATGGGAAAGAGGGGAGGGCTGGGAGCGGGAAGGAGAAGGGGAAACCAGTCCTCGGCCTCCTCTTGTCTCTTCGTTTACAACAGACTATTCCACCATGGGCTTCTGAGCCATCCCAGTTGCTTCTTGCTCCTTCTAAGTGAGTTTGCCAAACACCAGGCACCTCTGTCATCTGGGAGGAGGGACAGGGACGGCCCAGCCAGTCGCCGCACGGACCCCCACCAGGCCTCCAACTGCAGCCCAGGTGACAAGAGTAAGAATTTAGAAATCATCATTTCATTCCATATGTTGACAGGATGGAGTACTGCATAGCTATTAAAATTATTTTTCAAAAAATAATTTCGATTATCAAGTGATATGCACAATCGGAGCTTAATTTTGGAAAAACAAAAAAAACCAAATGTTTGCAGAAGCGTTTTGTTTTAACTCCCACGCACAGGCAGGCTGACCGGCAGGGGTGGAGTTCCGTGCCTGTTGTTGCTCTTGCTCTTCTCTATTTTCCCAACATTCTACAATGGACAGGCATTGCTTCTATTATCAGAGAAAACCCAGAGCATTTAACTTTTTGCATTTTACTGAAGGCCAAGGCCTTCAGGAGGAGCAGGGAGCCTGGTGGTGTGGGGTTGGGTAGGCAGTCCCCAGAGGTCTGCAGCCCAGCCCCGCCTGGCCCAGCCTGGAATCAGCCCAGGGAACGCAGCTTACCTGGGACTCTCCAAGGAGGAGGACCCGAAGATTTAGGCACCTTACAAGTGACATTTTAATCAATGACTGTTCCATGTGCAGGCACCAGCCCAGCATCCCCTATGCAGCTGGTTCTGCTTCTCCGGCCCCTCCTGGCCATGCCTTGAGGCAGCTCCAACATCTGTAAAGCATTCCTGCTCCCGGGCAGGAAATGCGCCTGGGCCCTGCACAGATTCCCACCACTCAGGACACCTGAGCTGGGCCCAACTTCGGTGGAAGCCTCTCCCCTCCTTGCTTCCAAAAGGATGGGAGGGGAGGGGAGGAGAGGGGAGGAGAGGGAGTAGGAGGGCGATGGGAGGAAGCCGGGGCGCTCTGCTGGGTTCTGCTCTTGAAGCCTGCTCCACCTACCTTTCCACCTACCTAGAGAACCTCACCTGGGCTCCCTGCTGGAGCAGAAAAACACCGGCCACTTTCTGGGAGCGCACGGGGTGGGATCCTCACAGCACAGAGTGCTTTGGAAGCCCTCAGGGGCCACACACCTTCCTCCCCTTCCAGTCTCCTGGGCAGCAGCCCAGCACCCCCAAAACCAGATCCAGCGGGATTTAGAGCAATGCATGGGGATCGTTTCCTCCCAGTTAACTGCAGTGGTTAAAGGATGCCGCACCAGGAGGGAGACCCAAGGCCGACACCCCAGGACCAGGGCTGGGGGGGCATCACAGGGGCTTTTGAGTGTCTTCCTGGGGTATTTATTTGTGACATTTCCCATTGTACACGCCACTTTTGTAGCAGAAAGTAGTGTTTTAAAATGTGAGAGAGTTGGCCAGGCGCGGTGGCTCACGCCTGTAATCCCAGCACTTTGGGAGGCTGAGGAGGGCAGATCACTTGAGACCAGGAGTTCAAGACCAGCCTGGCCAACATGGTGAAATCCTGTCTCTACTAAAAATACAAAAATTAGCTGGGTGTGGTGGTGGGTGCCTATAATCCCAGCTACTCGGGAGGCTGAGGCAGGAGAATCACTTGAATCTGGGAGGCGGAGGTTGCAGTGAGCCGAGATTGCGCCACTGCACTCCAGCCTGGGCAACAGAGTGAGACTCTGCCTCAAAAAAATTAATAAAATAAAATAGGAGAAAGGACATGCACATCTAAGAGGAGGTGCCAAGCACAGCCCCCGCCCAGTGGGCTCACTGGGTTCCCATCCGGCTTTCTCCCAGGCGCATCCAGGTGGAGCTGAGTGGAGCCCACCTGCCAGCATCCTTACCTGGCCCCTGAGCTCCAGAGAATGCAGGGACTCCTACAAGGCTGGGTCCGGAAAAGCCCAAAGCCTGCTTGTTGATTTTACTTTCTTTCCTGGCTTCAAACCTTGCCGCCTGGAGCAGGAGAGGAAGCAGGGACACAAGGTCTCCACAGCCCCCACGAGATTCCCCACTTCCCACGCAGGAGCTCAGAGCCAGTGTGAGAATGGTGCCTGTTCCTGGGGCCTTCCTGCTCTCCCTGGGTCTCTCCTTGGGGACAGCCTGGTCCATGCAGCTCCTTCAGAACCTCTGGGGTTGAACAAGTGTAGAGGCCAGGGCTCCCAGAGGCAGGAGAAGCGGCGGGGTGGCACGGGGATCCCACCCAGAGTGGCCAACTTGTCCACTTTGCCCAGGACTCTCCTGATTTTAGCACTGAAAGTCCTGTGTGCTTGGAAAGCGCTCATTTTCAGGCAAATTGTAACAGTGGTCACTCTGGTTCTACAGCAGGAGACTTGCTCGGTTGGGTGGCAGGAGGCCCTCCCTGCCAGCATCGCTGGATGGGCCGTGCAGGGTGGCTGGGTACCGGGGTTGGTCTGGTCAATGAGATGACCATGGCGTAGGGGGCAGGGGGCTGGCTGGGTATGGCTTAGAGGCACGAGACGCCTGGGAGGATCATGCTGGCCAAGTGGGGAGGAGCTGGAGTTCTGAGGCCAGGACTTGGAGAGGGTGGTCGGTCCCAAAGAGGGCAGCCGCTGGACAGGCTCCCTGTGTGCAAGGATGGAAATTGGGGGTGAAAATGGAGACACTTCAGTCTGCAGGAAGAGGGCTTCAAGGCAGAGGGACTGCCAGGAACTTCAGATGGGGGATGGACAAAGCCATCACAGCTGGAAGGGCCTTAGTGATTATTTAGATCCTTACCTTAATGACATCTGCAAAGACCCTCTTTTGGAATCAGGCTGCAGGCTGGCAGCCGCCCACAGGGGCTGACCTGACTCTCAACCTGCCTGTGCTCATGGCAGACACCGGCCCATGGCACAGAGGCTCCACTGGGCCAACGCCCATCAGTTCATTGAGAGAGGAACCTGTCTGCTTTCTCCAAAACATGCAGAAGTCAGGTGCCTGGCAGAAGAGCCAGGGGGTGCCCAGAGAGGCTGAGACAACCCCAAGTTTTGGTGGCAGAGTCACCCTGGAACCCAGACCTTCCGAGTCCCAAATTAGGGCTTTCCCACCCACCACTCTGCTGCCCATGTTGTCCTGGAGGTCCTGAAACAGCGGGGCGGAAGGGGATGTAGGGGGTCCAACCGTGTCTCCCACCTCACCAAATTCTCATCCATTCAGACCTTAGAATGTGACCTGATTTCAAAAGAGCGTCTTTGCAGATGTCATGAAGGTGAGGATCTAAATGAGATCGAACTGAATCAAGGTGGGCCCTCAGTCCTGGAAGAGTGCCCTCTTGGCCCTCTTGACCCTCCAGGACAGAGAGAGAGAAGGCTGTGAAGACGGAGGCAGAGATGGGGTGAAGTGGCCAGCAGGAGCTGGGGGAGGAGAGAGGAACCTCCTCTAGAGCCTTTGGAGGGAGCGAGGCCCTGGGACACCTGGATCTCAGACCTCTGGCCTCTAGAACTGTGAGAATAAATTTCCGCTGTTTTCAGCCCTGCTGCATGGTCATCTGTTAAGGCAGCTGCAGGGCACTAATACACGTGGGAGAAGGGATCCGGGTGAGGCCCTTCTGCACACGCAAAGGGCATACGGACCAGAGCTCCCTGAACCTTACTTCCTAAGCTCACCTGCAAAGAAAAGCTCACTCAGCCAAGGCTCTGACTTCTAATCTATTTGGAATCAAGTTCTCTTGGAATGAGTTAGGTTGGCATAAAACAACTGTCAAATACTGACCAGTCTGGAGTTCAATCTAATATAAATTTCTAAAAGAAAAACTTACTGTCAGCCAGGCATAGTGGCTCACGCCTATAATCCCAGCACTTCGGGAGGCCAAGGCAGGAGGATCACCTGAGGCCAGGAATTTGAGATCAGCCTGGGCAACATAGTGAGATCCCATCTTGACAAAAAATGAAAAAGTTAGCCAGGTGTGGTGGTGCACACCTGTGGTCCCAGCTACTCAGGAGGATCGCTTGAGCCTGGAAGGTAGAGGCTGCAGTGAGCTGTGATCGTGCCGCCGCACTCCAACCTGGGTTACAGAGCAAGACCCTGTCTCAAAAAATAAAACAGAAAAAGTTATTTTCAAGGATACACTAACTAGAAGCAGCTCACAGCGCCCCCTGTGGACGCCCTTCAGATCCCCCACTTTAATGAAAGCGTTCAGATCTGCCATTCACTTTTCAGTCATCTCCGCTGAGTGCTTCTCAAGCCCTGGGAACTTTTACCCCAGGTAGATTAAACAACGCCCCAGCAATCGCCTTGATGCTATTCTCACTCTTCACAGTGCTCTGGAATTATAAGTTCTCAGGGAGTTTGTTAGTTTCAAATCTTGGGAGTCTGAATTCGAGATCTGACCTGGCCTTACCTTTTCTTTTTTTTTTTTTTTTGAGATGGCATCTTGCTCTGTCGCCCAGGCTGGAGTGCAGTGGCATGATCTTGGCTCACTGCAACCTCTACCTCCCGGGGTTCAAGCGATTCTTCTGCCTCAGCCTCCCGAGTGGCTGGGACTACAGGCGCCCACCACCATGCCCAGCTAATTTTCGTATTTTTAGTAGAAACGGGGTTTCACCATATTGGCCAGGCTGGTCTCAAATTCCTCACCTTGTGATCCAACTGCCTCAGTCTCCCAAAGTGCTGGGATTACAGGCGTGAGCCACCGCGCCCGGCCTACCTTTTCTTGCCCATGCTTCTTGCCCACCTGCAGCTGACCCCAACCTGTCCCGAGGCCCAAAGAACTGCACTTCAGGGGCAGAAAAAACATTCTCACTCAGGAGCCTTCTGGGTTTCTGCATTTGAAACATTTATTTCAGGAAATACATTTTCAACACTTTGTCATTTATACAAAAAGACAAATTTCTCGGGAGGCACGTAGCAAAAGGCCATTGAGGAACAGAGCCTGATGAAACGAACAATTTTTCAAAGTCTGGTTACAGAGAAGGAAAGTGAAGCATCTCAAGGCTGGGATGCTGCTGCCCACCCCCACCCCACCCCGCCACCAAGTGACATTGAGGCTGGGCAGGCCACATGGCCTGGGCCCTGGCGCTGGCCACTCATTTCCTTCAAAATCTTGGTTTTGGCAAAAACATGGCAAGTTGGCAAAGTAAACTGTCTCACCAGTGGGGGTGGTGAGGGGTCCTTCCTCTCTTGGGTGGGGAGGGAGTCAGACGCCCAGTGCCCCAACTTCCATGCACACACACTCACACTCATACACTCCTTCTCGCTGACCTTCTCCTGGCTGCAAGCAGCCAGCCCGGTGCCTGCAGATGCACCTGGTGATGTGTGCACCTGAGTGGAGTCTCATCAGGCCCCTCTTTCTCCCCAGGAGCAAGACAGGTAACAGGAAGCAGGAAGGGACTTTGGTCATCTGTGCCCTGCAAAGACAGCCCCCATGGGTCCCCTCGTGGGGACAGAGGGTGAGGGGCCGGGCCGTGCTGCCACGAAACCTTGCTCTTCAGCTGTGGACTGTGCACCCCTGACGCCCGTTCTCTCCTTTCTAGGGGTTCGTTACCATGGGCTCTGAGGGGAGGGGCCCAGGCACGGGTAGATCAACAGAGTCAGGCTCGCCTGGCCTCCCACCTCCCCAGCTCAGAGAGTCAGCAAGGCCTGGGCCAGGAAGGGTGAGTGGCAGGGGTGGCTGGCTGGGCATTAATGTAACTACAGCCCAGTCTTGGGCCAAACCCAGACACTAGACAGACAGACGGACACGCATACACATGGACACACACACACTTCCCTGGTCACTTGGGCAGGGCAGGCGCCGGGCAGCTCACGCCACTCTGACCAGCCCAAGCCACGGCCCACACGTGCCCCCGCCAACCTTCCTTCTGGCACCTTCCATGGCTCCCTCCCTCAGCTCCTCCACCAGACTCACTTGCTTAGACCTTTTCAAAACTGGGGGATGAGGGGGTAGGGGTCATCTCTCCTTCCTTTTTATCCTCAATCAGATCCCAGCGCATCAGCAGCACCTGCAGCCCGGTGGGGGCGGGGGTGGCGTGAGAGGGGGATGGCAGGGAGATGAAGACGCCTCCCTCATTCCAGCCTGTCCCCGCATCTGGCCAAGCAGTCTGCGGATGGCTGAGATAAAGGCACTTTCTGCTCCAGGAGGGGCAGCTGCCAGGGGGCTTGGAGTGGCTGGGCAGTCGGTGGCAGGGGACCCTGGAGTTTTCTACCCTTAGGAGCAGGGCAGGGGTAGGGGCTGAGTGATGGCCACACCATGTGGCGGGCAGGGGGTCCAGGTGCTCCTGGTGGGCTGCATTCTCCCCTGGGCTCTGACACACTCCAGGGGACAGGGCCGATGGGGATGGAGGGGAGCGTGCAGCCCACTGGGCTCCTCTGCAAGTGCGAGGCCTGGCCCCCACCCCAAGGCCTCCGGCACTGAGAACCCCACACAGACGGATGATCTGCACACCGAAGCTGCTCTTCTGAGCCCTCGGGGAGCCAGGCCTGGGGACAGAGGGTCATGTCAATTCAGTGGGTGCTCTCACCCCTGCCTGTGGCTCCAGTGCAGCCTCCCCACAACCTCGGGGAGGCCGCGGCCTCATCACTGACTCACTCGGAGGGAGGCCCCTTCCCTTGTTTCCTGGCAGCATGTCGAAGGGGTGGGGAACGATGACAAATGGAGAAAATCATATAAAATAAAATGGGGTGGTGGGAGGGCCTGGGGGGGGACGGAAATGACTTGGGGGCAGGATCCCGGGGGTGGGCAGGGTGGCGTCTACATCTCCGGGGCTTCTGGCTCCTTCTCCTCCATGCCGTTGGCCATGGCGCTGCTGCCCTCGTTGAGGCGCTTCACACGGTACGCCTCGAAGTGGATGCTGCTGGTGATGTCCTTGATGTTCTGCATGTGCGTCCTGTGGGGGTGGGGGGCGGGCGGGTCAGTGAGGTGGGCGCAGCGGGGTGGGGGCAGCGGGGCAGGGGCCCTGCTCGGCCTGCCTCGGACTCAGGCCCGCCTGCCCCCACCCCCACTCCCCATCCCGACTGCTTGGCTCCCCATGGGGTCCCCCAGGCCCACCATGTTGGACCAGATCTGGTACACGTTTTGGGGGAAGGGTCAGTCCCCCTGGTAAGCCCAGACTCGGTCAGAACACACATATTCCAGTGCATGTGTCTCCCTCTGGGTCCACCCTATGGCCCTGGGTCCAGGGCCCAGGGACAGTGCATAGACTCAGAGGGACAGGGCTGGAGCATTGTTGCTCCAGGCCGGTGTCCAGGGTGCTGGCAGGGTGGAAGCAGTGGGTGACCACCGGCCTCCAGGACTATGGCCTGTGGCAGGCAGGTGGCCTGGGGCAAAGGGCTGGGTTGCCCTTGTCCCCAGGAAAAAAAAGTCCTGGGCTCGGATTTTCATTCCTCTGCAGCTCAGGAGGAATAATCTGGAGGGAGGTTGGAAAGCCCAGTATCCCCACAATGGCAGAACGGCTCCCGGAATCCCCCCACCCCTGCCCCCGCCAACCTGGAGGCCCCTCCTCTTGATAACATTCCCATCATCCATGCCAGCTGCTTGCTGAGGAAGAACCTGCCCAGGCCAGGGCCCACACTCCAGGGACCACCCACCCAGCACCCTCTCCATCAGGGCTTCCCCTCCTTGCCTGGACTCAAGGGAAACAAGGAGAAGCCTCAGCCAGGTGAAAGGGGTAGGGGTCAGAGGCCAGTGGGATCGGAGCTGGAGACGCCCCACGCTGCCGGCAGGGCCTGCACATGAGGCCTCACTGGGCCCTTAGTGGCCACCGGGCAGCTCTAACGGGCCAGACCACAGTGGATCAAAGCTCAGCCTTCCCATCCAGCCAACTTCGCAGGGGTTGAAAAGGATCTTCACTGCCTGCTTCATTTCCCAGTGGGTTTTCTTTTTCAGAAGATGGGCTTCCAAGATCTTCCCGAGGGCAGGGCAGGCAGGTGGCAGGGGGCACCCACTCTGCCCAGGGCTTCGGCCCCACACCCACTGCCCCCACCCGCTGTAGGGCCCTCTTAGGGGTGAAGCCGTCAGCCCCACCCAAGCACCCTGTCTCTCACCTGATGAGAAGGTCCCGCAGGTAGGCAAACTCACAGTGTGTGGTGTTTTCAACTAGGAGAGGAGACAGGAGGGGCTTTAATGTCCCAGTGGAGAAACTCTGCCCGGACCCCACCTCTCTCCCCCTGCCCAGAAATGCTGGTGCCAAAAGCAGAGTCTGAGGGCAGCCCCATGGGCAGGAGGGCAGGGGAACCACCTGCTCTGCAGCTGAGTATAGGACACCTGGCACTGCCCTCAGTCTGGGGGATACTGGAGTGACCAGCACCAGCTCCTGCTCCTGGACAGCTCAGCTCCTGCTCTCCAGAAAGTTCCTGGCTAATGGGAGATGGCACAGTGACCAGGCCAAATAGGAGCATGGAAGGAAGCCACAGTGGAGAAGCCAGGGCAGTGGGCCCCCGCACCACTGGGGTGACCAGGGAGAGCAGGACGTCCCAGCAGGGGCCTGAAGACAGGCAGGGGGCTGGGCTGCTGGGAATGGGATGAAGCAGGAATCGGAGCTGGGATTTTAAAGAAAACCTGTGGCCCACAGGGTGTTACCCCCACGGCCCCATCCACCTTGTGTGCGCTCAGAGCACACACACACAGGGACACACACAGGGGCTACGTACTGTGGACGACCATTCACAAGCTCAAGAATCAGCAATGCTAAACATTGCTCAGGGACATGTGCACTTCACACAATACATACAAGCCCAAGCTCGGGACAGTGGCCACTTCTCAGGGAGACTGGGCAGGAGACCACGGGCACCCACAAGTGCCCTCGGGCTCGAGCTGGTGGCCATCTCAGAGTGGTCATTTTATTGCTGTGCTTCGTAACTCCTATATGAACACGCGGTGCCTGGCATGTGTAACTGTTATATAACAGAAGGCCTTTTAACAAGGAGGGCAGTGAACGGCATCACTGGAGGTGGGGAGCCGGGCAGGGAAGGCAAATAAAGACACCCGGTGCCCTCCCATGTGATGAACTTCGTCTTCACACACCTGCAAGTGTCTCTTGTGATTCCTTTGTTATCCCCATTATCTTACGAAAATGGGGCGTAGACGCTGGGCACCACGGCTCACGTCTGCAATCCCAGCACTTTGGGAGGCTGAGGTGGGTGGATCACGAGGTCAGGAGTTCGAGACCAGCCTGGCCAACATGATGAAATCTCGTCTCTGTTAAAAATACAAAAATTAGCCAGGCCTGGTACCAGGCGCCTGTAATCCCAGCTACTCAGGAGGCTGAGGCAGGAGAATCACTGGAACCCAGGAGGTGGAGGTTGTGGTGAGCCAAGATCACGCCACGGCACTCCAGCCTGGGCAAAAGAGTGAAACTTCGTCTCAAAAAAAAAAAAAAAGAAAAAGAAAAAGAAAAGAAAAGAAAATGAGGCATAGAGAACGCAAGAACTGTGTCTGTCTCAGCTCCACAGTGCATAAGGCTGGAGCGGGATGCAGAACCCATACACCTGGCTCCAGGCTGCCCCATCGCAGAGCCACATGGCTTTTCCCCAAGTTAAAAATGTCTAGTTTTTACTTGGTAGGCCAGCAGGCAGGGCCGGGGCCTCCACCTTGCCCAGCCCTCAAGTGCTCTCAGTGCTATGCCGGTTGCCTTTGCCTAGGCCCTCCTGCCACGGCCCTGTGTAGGGCGGTGTCCACACTAGAACCTCCTGCAGACTGACCAGCAGCACTCTCATCTAACACTGACGGGCAGCGAGAGCCGGCAGGAAGAATGGGGCTCTCAGGCTGGAGTTGGAGTGTGTGATCGCCACTCCCTGGCTCGGGCAAGTTACTCTCATTCCCTCAGTTTCCTCATCCATAAAATGTGGATAATAACGTCACCCGCCTCTCAGGGACATGAGGATTAAATGAGTTCATGGCGTGATCAATTACACCCCACATTTCTATTGACAATACTTGGGGTGGTTTCTAAGGATGGGAAAGATACCTCAAGATGCTGTTCACCAAGTGGGAGGCAAGAACAAGGCACAGCCCTTACTAGTCCGGGTGTCAGGTCAGCTATGAACTCATGGGGCCCCTGATATAAAAACCCAGCAGTGCTGAAGGCACATTTCCAGGGTCCTCATATAAGACTGCTGGAAAGTGGGCCCCACCACCTCACAACTGTCCTGACAGGTTCCAGACTCTTCCTCAGCTGGAGCCAGTGGTGCTCAACAACGCACAGGTCAGAGAGGTGCGGGGACCTCTCTCTTGTGCATTTCCTGACAGTTTCTGTCACCGGCCACCTGCGGTACTCAAGGTTGGCCACCAGGGTGCAGCAGAGGCACGCCCATAGCAAAGCCGCCGGCCCGTCCCAGGCCCATCCATCCCTAACTCTCCCAAACCTGCCTTTCATAAAAAGTTTCCTAAACAGCAAGAACTCTTTGGGCAGAGAGGAAGAGAGGAACTGCAGGCAGAGGGGCCAAGGGGAGGCAAGCCAGCCTGACACCACAGGCGGATACTGGAAAACACCCAGGCTGCACCCAGCTGGGCAGCTCCCGCAGGGTGGGCCCGGCAGGGGTGGTGGTAGGGGAGGAGTGCAGACAGGGGAAAGGCCCGTGTGCCTCTCCACACCCTCCTCCAGGCATGAACTCCCATCTCGAGGGAGTCTGGTGCAGGGCTGGAGCTGTAGATTCTAGAGCCGCCTCCCGTTCTGGGTCCCTTGGCAGGTTTTCTGCTCACAGCACCTCTTCAACTCTGCAAGGAGGGTGGGTGCGGGGAGCTTCGGACATGAAACGAGATAACCCATGTCTAGCCAGTGGCACAGGAGTGTCTGATGCCTCCTGGTAATTGTCATTATGACCATTTTTTTAGAGCAACAGCTTCCCAAAAAGCTCTGTGGTCTTTGGGACAGTCTCTCAACTCACTAAAATCTTGGCACACTGCACCCACTTTGTGGATGATGAAAACTGAGGCCCTGGAAGATTAAGAGACTTGTGCTTCCTGCTCTACTGGGCCTTTCAGCCAAGTGCTCTCCCAGAACAAAGTGGCTTTTCCTGCTGCATTTCCCTCTGCACCTTCCCCTCTTCCATTCTAATGAGAAATGAAGGGACAGAGAGAGGAAGGGGAAGGAAACGTTCGGGCCCATCCCTCCCGGGGTGTCACCGCCAGGAGTGGGTTGAACTGTGGCCCCCCAGGGGCTCCCATCCATTCAAAGACATGGTCAAGGTCCAGGCCTTGGAACCCATGATTGTGACCTTACTTGGAAAACGTCTTTCTTTATAGATTCATTAAGGATCTCCAAATGGGATCATCCACTTAGGGTAGGCCCTAAGTCCAAAGACAGGCATCCTTGTCCAAAGACAAGAAGGAAAGAGGGCAGGCTCGGTGGCTCATTCCTGTAATCCCAGCACTTTGGGAGGCCAAGCAAGGTGGGCAGATCACCTGAGGTCAGGAGTTTAAGACCAGCCTGGCCAACATGGCGAAATCCTGTCTCTACTAAAAATACAAAAATTAAGTCAGGTGGGTGGTACGTGACTGTAATCCCAGATACTCGGGAGGCTGAGGCAGGAGAATTACTTGAACCCAGGAGGCAGAGGTTGCAGTGAGCTGAGATTGCAACACTGCACTCCAGCCTGGGTGACAGAACGAGACTCCGTCTCAAACAAAAAAAAAAAAAAAAAAAAAGGAAGAGGAGGGACGGGACAGAGACACAGGGAAGAAGGCCCTGTGACAATGGGGCAGAGATTAGAGCATGTGATGCCTTTACAATACAACTAGGAATGCCAGGCGCCACCAGAAGGAGGAAGGCATGGATGAGGCTGGTCCTCAGGGCCTCAGAAGGAAACAGCCCCTGATTTCGGACCTCTGGCCTCTGGAACTGTGAAAATACGTTTGTGTTGTTTTAAGTCCCCTCGTTTGTGCTAATTGGTTACAACAGCCACTCAAGAGACTAAGGTGTGAGGGTCCCAGGAACTTCAGCAGGGTAAGGGGCCGAGGGTCCATCTGGCTCACAGAGCTACAGCCCACCCCTTTTCTAGGCCCAGAGAGGTTGGGCGATTTGTCCAGGGCCACACAGGTGCCTATGAAAGAGCCTGCACCAGGATCCAGAACTTGGCGGCCCCCATCCCAGCTCCTGTCTCCCTGAATCTTTCCCTGCCCGGGGGGAGGTCTGGGGTGGAGGCATCTGCACAGGCCACTTGCCCTCTCACTTTCCCAAGGGTTGAATGGGGACAAGGAGACCCCTCCCTCTGGGTGGGGCAAGGCAGTGGATGAGGTTCCACGAGTCCCTGGCTCAGGCGTGGCCCACAGGCTCTGGGTCAGCAGAAGAGACTGTCTTCCCATCTGTCTGGAGCCCCGGCGCCTGCGGCGAGTACCTTCGATGGTACCCCACTTGGTCTTCCTCCCAAGGATCCTCTTGCCGTTGACCTGGTACTCGTGGTCACTGCCCACCACAGCAAATGGGATCATCTCCTGGGGAACGGGCAGACGGTATTGGTTACACATGTGCGGGAAGGCAATTCCCTCCCCTGGGCCCCCGGGAGGAGCTGCCCTGAGCCTGGGGTCCCCCAAAAACGAGAGCCTCAGCCTGACAGCACTGGGTACAGACACCTGGGCTCAGTGCCCTCTGGCCCCAAGAATATAATTTCATGGCTTAAGGTCCTCCAAACCCCCAACCCACCCTTCAGCAGGAACTGGGGGTCCCCTGGGAACAACATCCTAGTGGATCCACTCACCCGGAACTTCTCGTTCACCAGCCGGTCCTCCGAGTCCTCATCAAATTCCTTCTGGGGGTACACGTCGATGCCGTTGGACAGCAGGTCTGCGGTGATCTGGGATAAGGAGGGAGAGAGATGGGCCCATCCCTGTGGCAAGCTCTACCCACCCACTGGTGTTTGCCACATGACCTCCACACTGTGTGCTGCCCCAGGCTCGGGTTCAAGGGCAGGCTCTGGGGGGCTGTGACACCAATCACCTCCAACTCCTGTGCCTCCTGGAGGGAAGAGGGGCAGCTGCAGGTGCACCTGCTGTCCTGAGCGACGCTGCAACTCCCCAGGGGCTTAAGGTCATCGTCCTGAGCACCTCCCACCTCTCTTCTCCTGCTCATCACAGCCCCAAGAAAGTACTCAGGGTTACCGAGACCTCCCCTCCTGAAACCCTTCCTAAAAAACCCTCGTCACAGTCCCCAGTTCCAGCAGGGGCCCCGCCTGCAGTAACCTCTCAGCTCCCTGCCAGCAGCCCGACATGGGTACGTGCAACAGAAACATCCCAGTGAGCGGCTGCTCGCCTGCCCAGGCACAGACCACAGCCCGTGTGTAGCCTCCGGCAGACACACCCACTTTGTGTGGACTGTCTTCCCCTGCACATGCTGGGAAGGTCCCTGACACCTGGCCCCAGGACGGAGTAGGTTACAGGCCCCACCCACACCCACCGAGGCAGATGTGGTGCCGCAGCCCAGGCACCTCGGTTTCATTTTGAAAGGCACCCCATGTGGCTCTGATGTGCTGCCCTGTCAGGAGGAAGAGCCCAGGGCTGCCCTCTTGCTTGGATGCCCCTCCCTATCCCACAGCAGGGGCCTCAGACGGTGGCGGAGAAGAAGGTGGCAGAGACCATCCCTCCTGAAACTTTTTTTTTTTTTTTTTTTTTTGAGATGGAGTCTCGCTCTGTCACCCAGGCTGGAGTGCAGTGGCTCAATCTCGGCTCACTGAAGCCTCCGCCTCCCGGGTTCAAGAGATTCTCCTGCCTCAGCCTCCCAAGTAGCTGGGACTACAGGCGCCCGCCACCATGCCCGACTAATATTTTTGTATTTTTAGTAGAGATGGGGTTTCATCATGTTGGCCTCAAACTCCTGACCTCAAGTGATCTGCCCGCCTCGGCCTCCCAAAGTGCTGGGATTACAGGCGTGAGCCACCACACCTGGCCCAGCTTCTCTTCCATCTAATAAAAACCAGGCAGGGCGAGGTGAGGTGGCTCATGCCTGTAACCCCAGCACTTTGGGAGGCTGAGGCAGGAGGATCCCTTGAGCCCAAGGGTTAGAGACCAGCCTGGGCAACATGGCAAAACCTCGTCTCTACTAAAAATACAAAAATTAGCCAGACATGGTGGTGTGCGTCTGTAATTCCAGCTACTCGGGGACTGAGCCTGGGAGGTGGAGGCTGCAGTGAGCCATGATTGTGCCACTACATTGCAACCTTGGCAACTGAGCCAGACCCTTTCTCAAAAAAAAAAAGGGGGGGCATAAAACAAGGTGGGCCATGTCGCACGGCCCCTGCTCGGCCTCACTCCCTGGAAGAGAGATTCACCATCTGCCTGGTCCAGGTCTTCTCCAAAACCCCCCTCAGAGACTCTGCTGGAGAATTGGCACTCCCACAAAGCTGCTTTTGAGATATGGGGGAGCTGGAGAGGCCATCTCAGGGACGGCCCCCAGCAGCCACCTGGGCCAGGGACCACCAGGCCAGCCACCCGCTGGGGAGAGTGACCAGCGGTTCGGTCTCCCTGACAGTGTGACTCCTTTAGACGGGGTGGCCCCTGCCAGGCCTGCAGCGTCTCCAGGTTGCACAGAAGGGCTGGGGCAAGTAGAGATGGAACCCTACCCGCTGTTTGAAGTGGACCCTCTCCTCCAGGGTGAGTGTGTCCGCCTTGGCGATGACAGGGACGATGTTGACCACCTTGCTCAGGCGTTTCATAAACTCGATGTCCAGGGGCCTGAGGCTGAAGCAGAGGGATGTGCGTGAGGCTCATCTGGGGGAGCGGGGCAGTGGGGGGGCACCCACCCCCAAGCAGGTGTCGACACTCTCAGGTGCTGGCTCGGGGCTCACGGGGGTCCCTGCTGGCAAGGACAGGGCCCCGGGCCGAGTCGGCCACGCTGTGAGTGTGGGGCAGAGGAAGGACACGGGTGTGTCCCAGACACAGGTGACACCACTGCACAGGCCAGGCGGGCCAGGGCCAGCTCCAAGCACCCTCGTCCATGAGTTCTGGGGTCCCAACCACACCCCTACATGTCCACACAGAAGGGCTGTCGTTGGCTCAGCAGCCGTCTTGCTGTGGGGCTTTGGCTGGGAGGGGAGAGGCAAGAGAAATAGAAGCTAGCACCAGTGTGCGGTGCCCCTGCACCAGGCGGGCTGCTCCCCTGCACCAGGCGGGCTGCTCCCCTTGCCTGCTTGGCCCCAGTGAGCCTGGGGTCTGATGTGGGGAAAGCTGTGGGTGGCAGGGGCTGGCAGGGCCCTGGAACTGGGGCACCATCTTCCCCAGTTCTGGAGCCGAGCTTTTCCCACAGTGAGAATAAATCGGTCACACACATGGCTGGGGAGAAGCCCGCTCCGGGCAGAAGTTTAAGCAGAGATGGCCAAGGCCCGCCCCTGCCCCATGGGACTGGACGCCTTGGGCGGGACCAGGCAACATGCCTAGCTGGAGTCCCAGCCAAAGGGTCAGTGCTGGGGAGTGGCAGAAGTGCCACAGACCGCCCGCCCGCCCTCGGCTTGCCCAGCTGGCATCAGGAGAGGCTTCTGCCTCCTGCCATCAGCCTCAGCTGAGGCAAAGCTTGGAGCAGCTGGAACAGCTGCCACAGGACCGCAGGTGAGCCGTTCTGCCTGGGAGGGCAGATGTTCAGTTCAGGAGAGGCCCATGGACAGCGGGCTGGCCCCCTGCCCCTGACTCCTGCTGGCCCACAGAGGATGATGCCAGAGGGTGGGCTCGAAAACTCCGGCTTGGGTTTTCCCACAGACTCTGGGTGAGGCCCGCTGCCCACCAGCCAGGCTCCTTCCTGCACCTGGTGCCCACAGAGTATGGTTTCCCCAAACCCCTGGGCTTCCTCCGCCCAGGGAAGTACATCTGGGACAGCAGGTGCGAAGGACCTTCTCCACCCACCCATGCAGACAAGCCACCCACGGCTGCCTCCACCAGCCACTCCTGCTGGCCTCTGGTCCTCCTCCTCCCAGCCCTGGCTCAGGGTGAGCCACAGGTGTCTGGCAGGGGGTGCACAGGGAGCTGAGGACAGAGGGTCCGTGAGGCCATGAAGAGTCCACCTGCCAGGGTACATGCAGCCTCCCGCCCTTGCTGATCTCTAGGGGCGACGTCAGGTGCGGACAGAGCCGGCGGGAGGAAAGGGCTCTCACCAACACCAACAGCAGCCCCGTCCAGCCCTGGAAGGGGCCAGCACTGATCTCTGTGCTTCCCGTCTAAGAACGCACCAAACCCTCTAAGGGGTCCCATGAGGCAGGGCCCGGATGAGAAGGTCAGTCACCGCTACGGGTGCTTGGCTGGGGGCTCCCACTCCACCTGCCAGAGCCTGGCCTGAGAAGGCAGGACACAGACCACCAGGCTCCAGAACAGCCCAGGGCCTGCCTGACCCTCAGCTCCCCAAGACGCAGCTGAAGGATGGGGGCTGGGCAGGACACTTGCATAGGGGTCAGTGTGAGGCTTTGGAGGTGCAGACATGGCACACCCCCAACTTCATAGCTGGCGGCCATGGCCCCTGACTCAGCCCCTCTGCACCCAGCAGCAGGGCAGACAGCACCGTCTTGCAGTCCCAGGGGACAGAGGGAACCCAGGGCACCCGGCATGAGGACGCCGACACTGCAGGGACGTACGAGTGGCCGGTGGCGGGGATGAAGTAGAGGCAGCAGTGGACGCGGGTGTCCGGGATGCGCTTCTTGCGGTTGATGTTGACCTCCTCCTGCAGGTATTTCTCGTACTGGTCATTGATGAACTTCATGATGGGCTGCCAGCTGCGTGGGGGATGGGGACGAGTCAGCAGGCACATGAGATGCCCTCCCCAAGCAGGTCGTGCATTCCCAGGACTCAGAGCCCAACACCCCACCTTCCAATGAAATGCATGCCCTGGGAGGTCTGGCTTGCTGAGCGGAGATGCCACAGCCTTACCCTCGGCCTCCCAAACCAGCCTCCCCGGGCTGGCCTCAGGTGATGAGTTGGGGACAGCAAGATTCCCCAGGTAATTCTGCTTTGGTCCAGAATTTTCAGGCCCCTGAGACGTGCGGCTTTGGCAGCATGTCAGGTCCCAGGAGGTGGGCCCTGCACCCCCGCGGGCCGGGAAACCTCTAGGGCTGACTCTGGGTGGGGTCCAGGGAGCCCTGAAGCCCCCGCTAGTGCTCCTCCCCCTGGAGGGGCCTCACCAGTTCTCGTTGTTGATGTGGTCCCCGAACCCTGGTGTGTCAATCACTGTCAGCTTCATCCGGACGCCTTTCTCCTCAATATCTGCACAGAGCCACGGACGCAGAGTCAGAGGGGAGACGGAAGACCCTCACAGACACCCCACACCTGACTGACCCCGGGGCAACCCCAGGTAGGCAGCGATGACAACCAAGGAGACACCGGGAAATTAATGGCCTTCCTCAGCCAACTCCGGCACAGGCCGGTGACGGTTCCCCTGGGAGCCCCTTGCCTGTCAGACTTTTGGTGGAAAACTCAGTTGTCTGTGGGGAGCTCAGTGTGACGGGGCCCACAGGGGTCCGGGACACTGACCCATCACAGCCAGAGCCCCAACATGCTCAACATGCTGGGGATGGTGGGCACAGCGAGTCCCCGTCTTGGGGACCTGGGATTGCCTGACTCGGGCACCCTCACACCGCACCAGTGCTCCAGGAAGGCATGGGTATCCCACATCCCCAGCCCATCCCCAGCCACTGACCGTGTGTGATGGTCTTGACCCCCAACCCCTGTGCTCCAGGAAGGCAGGGGCGTCCTGCATCCCCAGCCCACTCCCGGCCACTGACTGTGTGTGATGGTCTTGACCCCCCACTCTGTGCTCCAGGAAGGCAGAGGAGTCCTGCACCCCCAGCCCGCCCCTGGCCACTGACTGTGTGTGATGGTCTTGACCCCCAACCCCTGTGCTCCAGGAAGGCAGGGGCGTCCTGCACCCCCAGCCCACTCCCGGCCACTGACCGTGCGTGATGGACTTGATCTCGATGGTCTTGGGGATGCGCTCCTCTGAGGTGGGCTGCACCGACTTCCGGCTGATTTTGGATTTGAAGAGGGTGTTGATTAAGGTGGATTTACCCAAGCCGCTCTGCCCTGGGGAGAGGATGGGAGGCCGGTCAGGGGTCTCTCCGGAGAGACCAGCAGGGTCTGCACATGGGGCCCCTCCCACCCAGGCACGAGGCTCTCCAGTCTGAGATTCAGCAGTGCCTGGGCTACCTCCCGGCAATATCCCTGCCAAGCAGCCCCCGAGGACTTCACCCTCGAGCCGGGTGTCCAGTGACTGTGTAAACCCACACAGCCGGGCTCTGATGCCAGCACAACCCAGGCCACAGTCCTCTCCTGAGAGGTGAGCCGGGCCTGGGAGAGTCGGCATCTCTTGTGCCCCTTGTGCTTTCTGGACAGGAGGTCTCCTGGTGGCTCAGATTTTGGACAGGACAGAGGCCGGGCTGGCGGAGGAGCCCAGGGCTGCCCAGGGTGCACCAGGTGGCCGGGATTCCTGCAGTTCACCAGGGTGGTTGCAACCAAAGCCCAGGTGTTCAAACTGCTCCTCCCTGACCGGCCAGGGCCTGGGCAAGTCACCTGACCTCACCGTGTCTCAGTTTCCTGATCTGCAAAATGGGATAAACAGTCCTTCCCCCGTGGAGCTGGTGTGAGCATCAGGCAGGCTCACGCATGTCCCATGGGGTCTGTGGGGCCATGTGCTAGGGGGCGCTGGCCTGCAGGGTGGTGCCACTCGAGGGACAGTGACCGTGTGTGCAGACAGCCAGTCCACAGGTGACTGAGACAAACGAGGATGAGGAAGTAGCATTCATATGCAACACAACACACACAACTCACATACACCTCATACACACACCTCACAACACACACACTTCACATGCACAACTCACAACACACACACAACTCACCTCAAACATACCTCTTACACATACCTCACACACAACTCTCACAACACACACAAACAAATCACATATAACACGCGCGCGCGTGCGCGCACACACACACACACACACACACACACACACACACCCCTCCAGACTCGGAGCCCCATTGCTTTACCCTGCACAGAGCTGCCTTGGGCTACGCTAGCAACACACCAAAAAAAATACCCTAGGCCAGGTGTGGTGGCTCATGCCTGTAGTCCCAGCACTTTGGGAGGCTGAGGCAGGAGGATTGCTTGAGCCCAGGAGTTCAAGACCAGCCTGGGCAACACAGAGAGACCCTGTCTCTACATCAAAATGTAAACATTGGCTAGGTGTAGTGGCGAGCACCTATAGTCCCAGCTACGCAGGAGGCTGAAGTAGGAGAATTGCTCAAGCCCAGGAGTGCGAGGCTGCAGTGAGCTAGGATCATTGCCACTCCAGAGTGACAGAGACCCTGTCTTTTAAAAAAACAAAAATCGGCCAGGCGAGATGGCTCACGCCTGTAATCCCAGCACTTTGGGAGGCTGAGGAGGGTGGATTACTTGAGGTCAGGAGTTCGAGACCAGCTTGGCCAACATGGTGAAACCCTGTCTCTACCAAAAAACACAAAAATTAGCCAGGTATGGTGGCACATGCCTGAGGCACGAGAATCACTTGAACCCAGGATGTGGAGGCTGCAGTGAGTCAAGACCATGCCACTGCACTCCAGCCTGGGCAACAATGAGACCCTGTCTCAAAAAAACACAACACAAAAAACACCCTAAATTACACTGATGTTCTGACTTTGATAACACCTTTCTAGGAAAAGTGTGGGCTCCTGGGAGGACAGAGGCTGGTGCTGGGAATCCCTGGCCTGAACTGTTTAGTAGCCCAAGGACGGACACTCCTCGTCCATCTCTCTCTGTCCACCAGGTCTGTGTCCTGGCCAACCTCAGGTCAGGAGTTATGTCAATGTTCCAGCCACGACACCTTAGATCTAGGAGATGCCAACTGGGATACTGCAAGGTGTATCCCTTTATTATTGTTACTTTTATTATTATCATCACCATCATCATCACCCTTATCATCACCACCATCCCCATCAGCACCATCATCACAATACCATCACTGCTATTACCATCATCCCATCACTCCCGCCATCATCACCACTTCCGTCACCCTCATCACCACCACCACTGTCATCACAATCATCAGCACCAGCACCATCATCAACCACATCACCACTACCATCCCACCACTATCACCATCAACACCACCATCATCCCCATCACTATCACCACCACTACTAACATCATCACCCCCATCAACACCACCATCACCCACATCACCATCACAATCACCACCATCACAATCACCACCATCACCCCCTTCACCACCATCACAATCATCACCATCACCACCACCACCACAATCACCATCACCCACATTACCATCATCACCCCCATCACAATCACCACCACCACCCACATCACCACCACCACCCACATCACCACAATCACCACCATCACCCCTTTACCACCATCACCATTACCACCACCACAATCACCACCATCACCCCCTTCACCACCATCACAATCACCACCATCACCCCCTTCACCACCATCACAATCACCACCATCACCCCCTTCACCACCACAATCACCAGCATCACTCCCATCACCACCATCACAATCACCACCATCATCACCATCACCACCACCACCATCACAATCACAACCATCACAATCACCACCACCCACATCACCACCATCACAACCACCATCGCCACCACCATCACAATCACCACCACCACCCACATCACCACCATCACAATCACCACCACCACCCACATCACCACCATCACAACCACCACCACCACCATCACAATCACCACCACCACCCACATCACCACCATCACAATCACCACCACCACCCACATCACCACCATCACAATCACCACCACCACCCCCATCACAATCACCATCATCATCCCCATCACCACCATCACCACCACCATCACAATTACCACCATCATAACCACCATCACCACAATCACCATCATCACCACCATCACCACCACCACCATCACAATTACCACCATCACCATCACCACAATCACCATCATCACCACCATCATCACCACCACCACCACAATCACCACCACCACCATCACCACCATCACCATCACCCACATCATCACTACCATCCCACCACTGTCACCATCACCACCACCACCATCCCCATCACCCTCATGATCACTATCACCATCACCTCCATCACCACCACCACCACCATCACAATCACCATCACCCACATCACCACTACCATCCCACCACTATCACCACCACCATCACCATCATCCCCATCATCTCCACTAGCACCATCACCCCATCATCATCACCGTCATTACCACCCCCATCATCCTCATCACCACAACCACCATCACCACTGCTGCAAATTCTCGAACAACCACAACCTGTTGGGGACCCTGCCCGGGGCCTAGCTCGCTTGATCTCACTTTATGGGATGATCCCATTTTATGGACGAGGAAGCTAAGGCTCACAGAGGAGGAGCCCAGGGGAAGACACACAAGCCTCACCCCGCTGAGTTAGGACAAAGCTGGGATTCTCCCCGGGGTCTGTGGACCTCCAAACAGGTGCCCCTCCACCTTGCCTGCACCTCTGCAGGTGGGCACAGCTGCCATGGGAGGGAGGAGGGAGGAGAGCAGAGCTGCCCCACGTCTTGTTCCTCACTCGGCATCCCTGGGAGGGAGTGATTTTGTGGGGAATCAGGACCACTGTTCTTCTCAGGGTTGAAAGGGCGAAGAGGCCCAGACAGGTGAAGTGGCCTCCTGCGCACCATTCCCAGAGGGCAAGGCTGTCACAGTGGCAGCCACGGAAGGCGAGGGCTGCTGGGCTGCCTCTCCCTCTCCTTGGGGCCAAAGCTCCGGAAGAAGGCCTGTGCCATGGCTGGGACGCAGAGGTTCCCAGGTCCTTCTCACCCTGTCCCTGGCTAGGGAGCAGGGCAGCCCCTCCGTAGCCCACAGAGATGAGTCCCAGCCTGGCCACTGCCTTTGGGCCTCTCCCCTCTCTTTCTCTCCAGCCATCTTCCCGGGAGGCAGCCCTGAATCCTCAGGGTACAAGCACGTCCCCCACAACAGGCAGAACAGGGTGGGGGCCGTAGGAGGGGACCCCACACCTCCGCCCTCCCTTGAAGCAGGCTGCCAGCTTCCAGGCAGCTGTGAGCACAGCAGGGCCATGAGCAGCCGGGTCCCATGAGGCTACAGGAAGCAGAGAGGACACCAAGACCCCAGGGGAGCCAGGGCCCAGATCAGTGCAGAAGAGGAAAGAAAGGTGTCGGGCTGGCAGGTGTGGGTTTGCGTCCACAGAGCTGGGCAGGAAGGACGTGCACGGCTGGCAAAGGTCAGAGAAACAGGCCCGGCCTGAGAGGTGCCCAGACACCTTGCAGAAACCCCGCAAGCTCACCTTTGTTTAGGGTGTGACCTGGCGGGGGCACTTCCCCAGACCCCTCCCTGGACCCCGTGGAGTGGGCAGAACACAGTTCTGGGAGTCAAAACGGTGGCTGCGGTTCTCTGCCCTGTGAGCTAAGGAACCTTGGCAGCCTTCCCTGAGCCTCGCTTCTGCCTGGAAAACGGGACGCCCCCTTCACAGGGTCCCTGTGAGGTTTGAATGGGACCTGGGGGGCTTTGGAAACAACAGGCGGCCCACTGTAGACTCCAGCCTGGCCCCCTCACCCTGCCCAGGTCGTGCTGATCGACGACCTCCCGTGGTGACCTCCAGCTCTCCGGGGCCACCAGGGGGTGTGGAAGCCACGAGGCCCCAATTCCAGGGCAGAGCTGAAGCTGAGCTGCTGGGAAGCCTCTGGCCGGGGTGCGGTGGGGTGCGGTGGGGAGCCTGGAGGGCCAGGCTGGAGCAACAGTGAGGGGACAGCTGCCACAGAACCCTCTGCACAAGCTGACGTCATTGCTCAGAGGCAGCGACCACTCATCAGGACCTGCTCCAGGCCGGCCTGGGCTCCCCAAAGTCATCTCAGGGGCCCTGGATGTGCAGGACAGGCCCCTCTGAGGAGCCGCTGGAGGCTGTGGGCTCCTCCCAGGCGCATGCATGCACACGCAATGTCACTGGCAATCCGTCCTTGAGGTCAGGGTTGCTGCCCCATTTTACAGAAGGGAAGACCAAGCCCAAAGGCTTGTGGGCCGCCCTGGGGGCTGAGGCTGGTTTCCGGCATTGGTTGAGTGGCATGCAAGGTGAGGACTCACCGACCACCATGATGTTGAACTCGAAGCCCTGCTTCATGGCCTTCCGGCGCATCTGCTCCAGGATGGAGTCAATCCCCACGTAGCCGAAGTCCACCGGGGCCTTCTCGTTCCGTGATGCAGGCGCCTGCTTGAGCCCGGCATCTCTGGGGGTGTCGGCCATGTCGCCAACGCAGCTGGGAGCCGCCTCAGTGGCTGGGGAAGGAACAGCAGAGGAGTTAGAGCGGAACAGGGGCTCACACACAGGCGCCTGCCAGGTGGTTGTCACACCCATCCTTGGATGGGGAAACTGAGGCACTGAGGCTCAGAAAGGCTAAGCGACTTGCCCAGGCGACCCCTGAGAATTCCCCCGGGTGGATGTCCCTGGCCGTGGTGTCCTCTAAAAAGCTGCCATCCTGCAGCCACGCTGCCTCCCCAGCAAAGCTCCATCCCCAGACTCCCAAGGCCAGGCTTTTTCATCTCCTCTTCTAGGAGCTGTGCCAAGCTGGGGGCCCCCTGCGCTCCAAGGCAGGGCTGACCCTGAACTCCTGTCTCCGTACCCTGGAGGGCTGCTCAGACAAGGGTGGAGGGTGCTCTCCTCTCCTGGCCCTCCACACTGCCTCGGGCCACCCAGGTGGACCTGGCCCTCTCCTTCACCTCTACTCAGATAAGCTGTACCGCCTGCTGCCACTCAAAGGCCTTAGAAGCCGATCCACGAGCCAAGACACAGGAGGGATGGTCTTGTAAGAAACGGGGATAGAACCAGCGTGTGTCCCCGCCTCCCACATCCCCATGGATGGTCTTGTAAGAAAGGGGGATAGAACCAGCGTCGGTCCCCATGGAGTTGTGTGTTCAATCCCATAGAACGAGCCAGCAGTCCTGGGAGAAGGAAAAGTGCTGGGTGCAGGGCGGGTGCCTGGATGCAGAGCTGTTCCTGGGCTCATGGAGGAGGGGGGCCCCTGCACCACATCTGCCTCCCCCTGGACTGACCCAGGCGGCCGTCTTGTGTGCCTGGCCAGCGCCCACGGGCTGCACACCCACAGGCCAAGACCAAGTTTTACTCTTGGGTATGTGGGGCACGTGGAGCTGAACTTCCCGAAATCACTAAAGCCTCTTCTGTCTGTAGGTCCCTTCGATGGCCCTGCTCCTGGCTGCTGTTAAGACACCACACACGGGTCAGAGGCCTGGGGCTGGGGGCGGACGCCCGGAAGACGCCTGCTGAGGACCCAGGTGCTCCCACACAGTGGGGTTCCAGGGGTACCCAGGATGGGGCTGGTTCCCATCAGGGCTGGCTGGTACACGGGCCAGGTCCCAGCACACCTCAGACTCGCCACACTCACTGGTGCATGCGCATGCAGGTGCAGACAACTCGCTGGTCACAGAGGTGGTGCCTCTGCTAGTCCCCACAGGCTGGAGCTGCCCTTGGTGGCCCTCAGCTCCCACGCAGGCTGGGCGGCTGCTGTTCTGTGCCCCCGTCCCTGCTTGGGCCCATCCAGGCCCTGCTCTGCCTGCGGGGAGACTTTTGCCCCATCCTGCCTCCCAGGGAGGATCTGGCCTCAGGCATCCTGCGCTAAGACAGGGACCACACGGCACGCTCCCAGGCAGGGCCCCTCCCGCCAGTCCTCCGGGAGGGGAGTGGCTTTTCCCTGGGACCGGTGGGCACCCAGCAGGGGCAGCCACAGGGGAGTGGAGCCGGCGTGGGAGCCAGGGCCACAGCACGGGAGGCTGCAGGGGGCTCATCCCCCGTGACAGGCAAGTGAGCAGCCCTCCCAGACAGGAGGCAGCCCTCCCGGCCCACGCCCACTCCTCACTCTGCCCAGAAGGTGGGAGGCAGGCTTCCAGGCCAGGAGGGGCAGTGGGAGACTTCAGTTCAACTGCCCTTCCACTTGCGGGGCAAGAACCGAACTCAGGAAATGCCCACTGAGCCCCCTGGCTGCAGCCTGCATCCCCAGCCGATTCAAGCCATCCCTCTCGGCCTATTTCACTGGAGCGGTCAGAGGGTGTCGGAGGGAGGCTCCCCAGGCCTGAGGCATCAGAGGTGAGAGAGGAAAAGACTCTGGAAGCCAGAAACTGGGGGCTGGTTTATCCTCACAGGCACCTCCCCGTCTTCTCAGCCTCCACAGGGCACAGGAATTCCTATCTTATGGAATTGGGGGAACAAAGGAACAATATAATTCCTTGTTGGGAAATGCCAAGGGGGGGTCCACACATCTCCACTGCTGAGAGCAATACCCACAGGCGGACCTGGAGGCCAGGGCTCCTCTCTCTGTGCCCCCACGTGGCCCCCACCCAGGCCACGCAGCCTGGAAGCCTTCAGGGCTTTGCTCCTGCTCCTGCTCCCCCTTCAGAAATACTCTCCCCTGGGCTTCCAGGACCTTTAAATAAACAAAGACACAGCCCTGCATCTGGCCATGGACCATGTGGCTTTGGGGCCGCTTCCTGAAGCCAGACATGGGGCCTTGCCTTGCGGGGCAGCAGTTCAGTCCCCACCCACGTGACCGAAAATCGCTTCCATCTGCCTGTGGGTCTGAGAGCCATTTTGCCTGGGACTGGGACCAGCCCCTACCCGCCCCCACCTCCCCCCAGCATCCCTCAACCCTCCCCAGCAGGACCTGGGGGGAGGCGCTGCCCCCTGAACTCTCCTTTCTCGCCCCCAACGCCCCTGGAGCCCAGAGCGAGGGAGGGGCCGGCTCAGCTGCAGCTGGGTCCCTCCACAGGCACCAGCACTCACTGCAGAAACTCAAATCAAACCAAACATCCTGCCCACCAGGGGCCCCGCTTGAGAAATAATAATACAACGCAGCCGAGCCCCATCTTTGCCATTGACGTAGGGCAGTGGCTTGCCTTCTGCACAGGTGAGAGCCATTCCTGCAACCCCTCCCTCGAGAGGCGGCCTTGCAGGCCCCGGCTGGCCCGCAGGCAGGCACGCACGCAGAGAGCAATGCAAGAGCCCGCCTCGCTCTCCTACCTGGCCAGGTGAGCTTTGGGGTCTGCCTTCAGGACTCCCAAGTGGGAAAAGCAGAGACCCCCATACCCAGAGACACTTTCATCCTGGCCCCAGGACACCATGGTGCTCAGACAGCTGGAAACAATGGTAAAGATCACCCACTCCATTGTCTGTGACCACGACACCGTCCGAGGCCTGCGCTGCTCAGCGTGGTAGCCACTGGCCACGTGACTTTTCCTTTTAATTGTCATAACGTTTGCCACGGTCACTATTTTGAAGTGTGCAGTCCAGTGGTGTTAAGTACATTCGCATTGTTGTGTAACAAATCTCCAGAACTTTTTCATCTTGTAAAACAAACTGTCCTCATTAAACAACTCCCCAGCCCCATCCCCCAAGCCTCTGGCAACCTCCATTCTGCTGTTTTTCTGAATCTGACTACTCTACGGACCTGGTATAAGTGGAATCCTACAGGATTGTCCTTTTGTGACCAAATTATTTCACTTAGCGTAATACCCGAAAGGTTCACCCTTGCTGTTGCAGGTATCCTAACTTCCTCTTTACGGCTGAGTCAAATTCCTTGTATGTTCCACCCTTTTTTTTTTTTTTTTTAGACAGAGTTTTGCTCTTGTTGCCCAGGCTGGAGTGCAATGGCGCGATCTCGGCTCACCGAAACCTCTGCCTCCCCAGGTTCAAGCAATTCTCCTGCCTCAGCCTCTCAAGTAGCTGGGATTACAGGCACCCGCCACCATGCCCGGCTAATTTTGTTTTAGTAGAGACGGGGTTTCTCCATGCTGGTCAGGCTGGTCTTGAACTTGTGACCTCAGATGATCCACCCGCCTCGGCCTCCCAAAGTGCTGAGATTACAGGCGTGAGCCACCACGCCCGGCCTGTCCCGCCTTTGATTTCTCCATTCATTTGACCGCGGGCATTCGGGTTGTTTCTACCCGCTGGCTACTGTGAACAGAGCCGCTATGAATGTGGGTGTACAAATATCTCTAGCTCTTTAAGATGCTGTGCATTCTTTTGAATCCACACCCAGAAGTGGAATTATGGGATGCTACGGTGGTTCTAGTTTTCGTTTTTTGAGGAATTGCCACAGTGTGTTCACAAGTGACTTCTGAGCACTTGACACTGAGCTAGTCCAACTGAGGAACGGAATTTCTATTTTTATTTAAATTTAAATAGCCACATTTCATAAATGGCAACTATACTGGATGGTACAGAATTCCAGTCCAACCTACTCTTTACTAATGGGGAAACTGAGGTCCATAGAGTGATTTTTTTTCCTGAAATGCCACTGTAAGTGGCCAGGCCAGCACAAGACCCTCACTGAATTTGGCAACCCTGAAATTTCACACTCCTGCTTGTATGATATGCGGTTAACACCTGTGACCCCCCCCAAAGACCGTGGGCTCCAGCAAGACGGCAGCTGCCCCGTTGAGATCCCCATCGCACCTCCAGGCCTCGCCCTGCTACGAACACGGTTGTGCAAGGATCTGTCTGGGTCCCTGCTTTCCATTCTTTCGGGTATCCAGACTAATTATCAGCAGTACCCACGTCGACTCTCAGAAAGGTTCTGATTTGGACAGTAACTGACACGTCACCCCACAGTCAAAGCAAAATGCAGAGCTTCCCTCCCGGCTCCGCAGCTGGGAGTCAGAGGCCTCAGGCTCTGGTTTCTGGCTCAAAGTGACTTTTTGCAAGTCTCTCCAGCCTGGCAAACAGGCCATGCACCTCCTGACCTCCCTCCCAGCTCCTGCTCTGCGAGCTCCTGGGTGCCCGAGGCTGTGGCTTACTCAGTGATATCCCCAGCTCCTAGTGCAGCCCGTGAGTAGCACAACACACCCGGCTCCAGAAATAACTAACACATCCGCCAACAGATGCGTGGAGAAACCCAACGTGCTGAGTCAACACAGCGGACTATTTCTCAGCCATAAAAAGGCACGAGCGTGCGCCAACACAGATGAACTCTGAAAACATTCCAACTGCAAGAAACCAAGCACAAAAAGTCACATCTTTTAGGGTTCTAGTCATATGTTCAGAATAAGTACATCTGTAGGGACAAAGCGCAGATTGGTGATTTCCAGGGGCTGGGGGAGGGGGAGTGACTGTGTACCGAGGATGGCGTTTCCTTTTGGGGTGAGGAAAACGTTCTGGAATTAGAGGTGATGCTTATAGAAGGTTGTGAAAAAATGCCACTCAACTGTGCTTTCTGAATCGGCGGATGGTGTAATATGGAAATTATATCCCCATGAGGACGGGAGAGGAAGGGAAAGAAGGGAAGGAGGGAGGGGGAAGGAAACAGGGAAGGAAGGAAAAAAGGGAGGGGAGGAGGGAGGGACGGAAGAAGGGAAAGAAGGCAGTCATTTCTAGTGGAGCTGGATTGAAGAGTCCAATGGGTGCAGCAAACCACTATGGCACTTGTATTCCTATGTAACAAACCTGCACGTTCTGCACATGTATCCCAGAATGTAAAGTAAAATAAAATAAAGAGTCCAGTGTTTTCCACAAGTGCCCAGGAGCCAGCTTTACAGCTCAGAGGACAGCTGAGGCCCAGAGGCCAACACTTAGGCCTGAGGTTCTCAAGTTGGTGTCGCCAGACCATGCCCCAGACAAACTCCCCCATCTTCTTGCAGCAAGGGTGTTTCTAGGGTGGCAGCCAGGCGGAGGTGTCAGGTGGCGGGAGACCTTGACAGTTTCTCTGCAGGTTCCCATTCTGAACCCAGGCCTTATGCCAGGGCCCCTCTGCCATTCACTGGCGCTGGTGGCAGTAGGTCACCGGTCCCGTGATGGGGACTGCCCCCAAATCTGCTCATCCTGGGGACCAGCTCCCTCCTCCCCGCAGGCGTCCACTGGGCCATCTTTTCTCCAGAGTTGCAGGTGGGTCTAAGGCAGGGATGAAAGGGCTGTAATCCACGCAGCCCTGAGCCAGCACCCTCTGGGAACATCTGCACTTAGTGACAAATTCTTACCCCAACCCCAGGACCTGCCGAGGATGAGGGAATCAGATTGCTGTCTGTGGCTGGGACGGGGGCTGTAGGATATCTGGCTGGGAGGCAGTGCCCAGAGAGGAGGCAGCTATTGGACATGACACACTTTAGGGGCACTCACACTCATCACAGCCCCAGGGCTGACCCTGGCCCACCTGGCCTGGTGCCGAGAGAGGGCTTGACACAGCAGGCTTGCAAAGCCTGACTTGGAAACCAAGACCCAGGGGCCGCCCTTCTCTGCCTACCCCTCCCTGTGTGTCATGCTGCCTGGTCTACGTCCCAGAAATGTCCACACAAGTCCCATCAGCCTTGCTGGCCAAATGCAGAGATGGTGCCGCTGGGGCAAGGGACCCTGAGCCACCGCCCAATGCCATTCCCAGCTCCAGGGGAGTGACAGCCGGGCCTGCACCCCAGGACAAAGTGCTCAGGGTCAAGTCAATGCCATTCCCCTGTCTTCCCCAAACCCAACCCACACCTGGCTCTCAGAGCACGGACCGAAATGGCCACATCCCCACACACCTTGTCTGTCACTGCCAATGGTGGCCAAGCAGAATGCAAGGTCATCCTCCTCCTGCCCACGGAGGCCTGTGAAGCCACTGACCAGGCCACGGCAGGGGAGCCGGTGGCACTCACCACACCCTGTCAGCCTTCCAGGCCCGTGTCCAGGAGAAAGCTGCCGGCATCTACAGCTGGTGCCCTTGCCCCGGCGAAGACTTCCTTGCCTCCATCCACCCCGGCCCAGCGTGGGCCCAGCAGTCTCCTTACTTTGCCTCGTAACAATGCACACTGGAGCAGCCTCCAGCTGCCCTCCCTCTGCAGGCTCCCCTGAATCCAGACCCTGGGGCCAGCACCCCTGCGGCAGCCCTACGGCCACCTGCAGGCCTTCCCAGAAACTTGAGCCCATGGGGGCACTTCAGGTCCTATAAACTAACAGATGCTCCCTGTCCCCCACAAAGGGGCTTCTTAAAGCTGAGTGAGTCCCTGATGCAGGCAATGCTAGGAGGACAGTGTCCGGCCAGGGCTGCTCCCTCCTCCTCTCCTATCTCCCTGGGTGCCTGCAAAGTCCTTCAGATCCCTGCTGAATCCTGGGGAAGCCCTGCCTCGCAACCAGGGCTTGCCCTCCCCGCTCCCACACAGAGCCTGCTCTCTGCGTCCAGACAGTCTCCCCACGATGGTAACTGAATAATGATGTGTGCGGTTTCCTCTCACCACAACCCCCCCACACAGGGTTTGTGAAGCCAGACACCTCATCCATCACGCTCACCCCAGCCCGGCTTTCTTCAGAGCAGCGTAGGGCTCACGGCAAGCCCCGGCAAAAAGTCTGGTGAATGAATGAACAAATGAAGAAACAAAGCTCATCACAGCAGCCGAGGTTTACTGGGGGCTCTCTGTGCCAGGCGTTACTCTAATTTTTTTTTTTAGAGAGTGGGTCTCACTAATGTTGGTCAGGCTGGTTTCAAACTCCTGGCCTCAAGCGATCCTCCCACCTTGGCCTCCCAAAGTGCTGGGATTATAGACATAAGCCACTGCACCGAGCCCCAGGTGTTACTCTAAACGCTGCTCAGGAGCTATTATAACTGATGGATCATCACACAATCCTATAAGGTAGCCACTGTTATTGTCCCATTTCACAGATAAGGAAACCGAGACCGAGAGGGCTTTTGTCAATTATGAGGGTCGCAAAGCGAGTAAGCGGTAGAGCCAGGATTTGAAGCCAGGTAGGTGAGCCCCAGGCTGCTGACCCCCTCCCCAGGCCAGGTCTTCGGGAACCATGGAAAGGCTGGAGAAGTATGGGGTTCCTGCAGCCAGGACCCAGAAGGTGCAGCTGCGGTGCAGGCAGCTCAGCACTGAGGCCTTGGCCTCCAGCTCCTCCCTCAGTTGCTCTCCCCCAGGGAGCTGGAGGCAGAGCCCTGAACTGCCAGGAGAAGATTCTACCCGCCAGCCAGGGAAAGTTGCCAGGGCTCTTCCCAGGGCTTAGAGCCACCCCAGGCCTATCAAAGCACATTAGCATCTTAGTTTCCATAACTTCCCTTGCAAGAAAGATGATGGTACCAGCTACTGGGCCGGGCTGGGGGTCCCAGATTCCAGGGGCCCTCTCAGGCCTGCCTATGGCTCTCCCAGGACACAGATGCTTACTTGAGAAACCCTAGTGCACCAGGGGTCCCACAGCCAAAATAAAGAGGCAGAGCTGCCCTGGGGCCCCTGCCAAAGCTCCCAGGTAGATCTACCCAGCAGACACCAAAATGTCCATCCCTCATCTGAAAACTCCACCTCCAGGAGGCCGCCCCAGGTTGGGCTGACAAAATCCACAGAGACCTCAATGATGACTTCTCACTTCAGGTATGAGTGAGTGGGTGGAGGGAGAAGCTATTGTTAACTATTAACAGTTCAGGAAATGCAGGTAAAGGAAAGAGAATGGTAAGGCGACAGGGCTGGAAACTAGACACACGTGCAGAGGTGAGCAGACCTCAGAGAAAGAACTGCTCTGGAACAAGATGGTAAAGAAACTATAGACAATAATGGTAGACGATGATCCTGGGGTCCTAGTGGACCAGGACCATAACATTGATTCATTTGACAAGTATTTATTGAGTGTCTACTTCACAGTAACAAAAAGATGACACTACAGGCTTGAGAGTAGTCAGAATGAAAACAGTGGTGGCACATGGGAATTTGAAGTTCATTTATTTAAATGTTTATTAGCCGAGACTTCCGGACAGATTTGAAGCAGTCTTTAACATGTAAGGAATTCACAATCTGATACAGTAGTACAGGACATGTGTGTGCCACAAACCTCTGGTGAAAAGTAAAGACTCTCCCTAGAAAAGTATACATTGAAGACAGACAGACAGACACACACGTATTTTGAACGGTTCATCAAAGAATCCCTAGGCCCGTGGATCCCAGTTAAAAAAATAACTTGGCACTCTGGGAGGCCGAGGCGGGAGGATCGTTTGAGCCCAGGAGTTCAAGACCAGCCTGGGCAACGTAGCGAGACCCCATCCCTATAAAATGAAATAAAATAAAATGAGAATTAAAAAAAACAAACAAACTTGGTGTGATGAGAACTTACAGAATTTAATAGGGTTATCTCAGCATTACCTGCAGCACTCTCTAAACTTTTGACCACACACACAAAGTTCTGGGTTCTACAGCTAGAGAAGAGGGAGAGCAGGTTAAAAACAATTATTCAAGGTGGAAGATGAGTCTGAGAAACAAAGAGGTAAGAGGAGAAGACTGAGGCCAGCTGCTCTCCATCCCTGAGCTCCGGCAGGAGGAAGCTCTCAAGTGAGAACAAGTTGCTGTTTGCGGAGTGGACTCCAGAGCGGGTGGACAGAGACGATAAGGAATGTCATCCCTGGGGGGCTCTGAAAACAGGATATTTTCCCATCTCAACTCTGCTTTTCACTGCATTGTGTTCCTACTGACCTACCCAAGCTACTACAAACACTCCATAAATGTCACTGGGGACTTCCTGTTCTCTTCTAAAGATGGAAACACTGAATATAAATGACCAAATTGTGCAAATGTGTGTGGGTGGGGGATCAAGGACTGAATTTTTAAAATGCACACAGCTCATCTAATTTGTTAACTAACTCCAAATCAAATTACACTTCACACTTTGTATGGGACAGGAAGCGTCTCCTCAAAGCCTGGTTAGGACCTGGGATGCCGGAAATCTGAGACTCTGCCTTCCCCTCCTGAGACACTCTGAAACCCTGCTTAGAAATCGAGCACAATGGCTCTGGCCTCCCAGAGAAAGACACGGATTTGCAAAGGCAAAGAGCTGCATTTTTCTCCGAGCTGGAGCTCTTTCCGGTTTCCACTATGGGGCTTAAACAAAACTGCAGCTTTACAGTTCCCCTGTTGGTGTTTTCTCCTTCTTGGTGACTAACAAGGTGGAAGAGCCAACAAGAACCCTGTGTGCTCCTTTGCAGGACCTGGAAGGGACAGGTGGTGTGAGTCTGTCTCCATCCAGCCTCCTCTTTCATTCATTCAGGGGCCGAGGCGCCCCCGAGGCAGGGGGCGGGGGTCCCCACTTTTACTGCCGGCCAAGGTTCCTCCAGCTTTTCCCTCGCCAAACCCTTTCAAGCAAACCTCTCCTCTATTGTGGAGGAAGGAATCTCAAGCAGTTTTGCCTTTCTGCCAGCACGGTTTCAATTGGCCCCAGTCGGTAAAGTCAAATTTGGACAAGGTCCAAGGGCTCCTCACACCACCCGCCGCTTTCTGGAAGAGGCCCTCCTCTGTTCTTTCATTTGCAACCCACCACCTCCCTAGCCTGAGTTTTTTCACCCAGGCTCCGCGGCCTATTGAGACATCAATCTTGGGCCAGAGCAAGCTCTGACCTGCAAACCATCACCATTCACTTCCTAAAGAGCCACTCTCAGAACTTAGGCTGCAGGGAGGGCAGGCCAAGGATGAATCCTCTGACTTCTGGTGCGGTGTGTGGTGGGGGGGGCTATTTTATATTCTGTTTTCTGCTGCCCCCTTGCCTTGTCTCAGGCTCTGAAGTGGATCCACTGCAGAGGGAGGGTCAGGGAATGGCCCTGATGCCTTCCCCACCCCAAGGAACCTTCCAGCAGGAGCGGCCCCTACCTCAAAGCAACCCCAAGATCCAGCCCGTGCCAGCCCTCCAGCCATGTCCACAGTGGCCTGTCAACCAGAGATTCCTTTAGTTCCTGGCAAATCTGCAAACTTACAAAGAGAAAGAAAAGTTCCCCCGTGGGTGGGTGGACACTGGCCATCTGTCACAGGCTGGAATTTCCTCTTATCAGGGATGTCCCCTAAGCAGGGGTTGGGGAGGGCAGGGCCCAGAGCTTCCCTCTCTCCAGCCCCTTCTGCTATCAGCAGACCTGTCAGCAGATACACAGCAGAGCTCAGCAGTGAGGCAACAACAGGGGCTGTGGGGGCTGGGGCTCCGCCTCCCCCAACTTATGAAATCATCTGAAATAACAAAACTTAGACAAGGGTCTCTGGGGTGCAACAGGGTGGCCCCCTGCCAGGTGCTGGGTAGAAAAAAAGCTTTCCCCCAATTCCCTTCTGCTGTGCAGATCAGCTCGGGCCCTGGGGATGCTGCAGAGGCTGCCCCATGCCCAGGCCCTTCAGAGACAGCAGGGGGCTGGAGGCACGGCCTGCTTGGGGGTAGGGGACAGGCAGGGAGGGGCACATTCCTGGGCCATGAGTAGGAGCCTGACTAAATGACCCCTTCAGGAGGGAGAAAGACATCGCACACAACTGTCTGATTATAGCCAGAGGGGCTGGAAAGGTGGGGGAAAGGGGTGAAGGGGCCAACTGTTCCAGGTGCCCCCAATCCATGCAGCACCCACCTGGACTGACAAGAGTTGAGAGACTGGAATTGTTTTCTCTTCCCGTCTCCAGGCCCTGCCCCAGGAGTCCTCCTGCTCAGGAGCCTGGGAGTTGAGGAGGTCTGGAAGCAGTGGGCCCACAGTGCCATCGCCTTGGGAACCCACAGTGCCTTGGATGTGGCTCCCTCGGTCCTAGCTTTGCAGGCAGCCTACCTGGACTGCACCCACCTCCCAGAAGAGCTGCTCAGAATCCTGCATGTCCGAAAGAAAGACCAATCAAAGAAGTGAGGAAGCCAAAGAGAGGCCTATGAAAGCTTATGACGCATTTTCCAAGTGCACACCCCAGCAACTTCAAATGCTTTCTGAAGTAAGGATGGGGATGGATGGTTGGATAAATGGATGGGTGTATGGGTGTGTGAATGGGTGAGTGGGTGGGTGGATGGATGGACAGATGGATGAATGGATGGGTAGGTGGATGAACAGGCAGGTGAATGGATGGGTTGGCGGATGAATGAGCAAATGGATGAATGACTGGATGGATGGGTGGATGAGTAGATAGGTGGATGAGTGAATTGGTGGATGAGTGGATAGATGGATGAGTGGATGAGTAGATGAGTGAATGGGTGGATGAGTGGATGGGTGGGTGAGTGGATGAGTAGACAAGTGGATGGGTGGATGAGTGGATGGGTAGATGGATGGGTGAGTGGATGCGTGGATGAGTGGATGGACGGATGAGTGGATGGATGGATAAGTGGATGGGTAGATGAGTGGATGGATAGATGAGAGGATGGGTAGATGGATGGGTGAGTGGATGGGTGGGTGAGTAGATGGGTGGATAAGTGGATGGACAGATGAGTGGATGGGTGGATGAGTGGATGGATACATGGGTGGATAGATGGGTGAGTGGACGGATGATGAGTGGATGGGTGGATGAGTGGATGGTTGAGTGGATGGATAAATGGGTGAATGAGTGGATGGGTAGATGAGTGGATGGACAGATGAGTGAATGAGTGGATGGGTGGATGAGTGGATGGATAGATGGGTGAATGAGTGGATGGGTGGATGAGTGAATGAGTGAATGAGTGGATAGGTGGATGAGTGGATGGGTGGATGAGTGCATAGATAGATGGGTGGATGGGTGGATGAGTGGATGGGTGGGTGAGTGGATGGGCAGGTGGATGAGTGGATGGATAGATGGGTAAATGAGTGGATGGGTGGATGAGTGAATGACTGTAGATAGGTGGATGAGTGGATGGGTGAATGAGTGGATAGATGGGTTGACAGGTGGATGAGTGGATGGGTGGATGGGTGGGTGCGTGGATGGGTGAGTGAGTGGATGGGTGGGTGGGTGGTAAGATGGGTGGATAGGTACATGGAGCCTATTCAAGGAGTCTCAGAAACACACACATACCCTTCCATCCCAGACTCTCCCCAGGAAAAAGCAGTGTGCATGGACCGCTACCTGGTCACACCTTGAGATAGCCACTTTCATCCTCTCTGGAACACCGCCTGGGGGGATGCAGCACAGGGCATCCAAGCAACCCCTGAGCTCAGGGTAGAGACACCAGGAAGCAGCAGGCAGGCCGTGACCCCGCAGGCCTGCTCCATGGCTCCTGCTGCCTGCACCATGGCATGAAGCTCAGATGCATCTCTGGACTTGGGGTTCTGACCAGATGGAGCCACCAATCCTCTGAAGAATGAAACACACAGGGGTCACCCTTGCCTCCTAGCTGCAGGGAATGACGACCACCCAGCCCTTCCTTTCCTCAAATCTTCTCCAGGCTTCTGTGCATGGCTCTGCTGACCTTCCTCCTGTCTCTGGCTATTCTCTCAGCCTCTGCCGTCTCCTCCTCCGCCCTCACCCACGGAGTCAGTCCTGGTGCCTTGAGAGCCCCTCTCCCTAGCTGACTTCACCCAGCCCCTGAGCATTCAATGCCAACAATGCCACCTTCTTTGTCCAGATTCACACTTGAGTGCCAGCCTGACTCACAGACGTGTCCCTGGGCCCCGCTGTGCCAGGCCCTCTGCTGGGTCCTGGGTATCTGCAGCCACTGTCACTGTCAAGCCCCAACATCTGAAGGCATCTTGAACCCAATGACCGTGCCCCAGGCTGAACTCTGGAGCTCTCATCTCACCTGCCTCCCACCCCATCCCCCATCTAAGTGAACAGCCTCTCCAGCCAACAGCTATTGCAGCTAGATCTCCAGGGGCCGGGCCTGGGCCCTCCATTTCCATTACTCCGAATCCACTCATCCATCCCAAACTCTCATCAATGTTAACCCAACACATCTCACAGCCACCACCATTAGCTGCCCCTGTCCGAATCCCTCCTCCTCAAAGCACCAGGGGGCGTGTGTAAAATTTACTAATCTGATGATTTCCCTCTATGAAGCCGTGACTGGTTTCCATTGCACCTGGGATATACCAGATTCCTGTGGCTCCAGAATCCTGCCTACCACCGACGTGCTGTGTGACCCTGAGCAAGTAACTTAACCACTCTGTGCCTCAATGTTCTTACATGTGAAATGGGATAATAACATCTGTCTCATAAGAATGCTGGGGATCAAATGAGATATTTATTTATGAAGCACATAGTGTTGTGCCTGGTCAGTAAATGCTTGAAGTCTTTGTTAACAAAACACACGCCCCTAACCTACTCTTCAGCTTCCATCCACGCACAGCCTCTCTGGCTGCCTTTCAGCTCTTCCAACAAGGCTACCCACAGAGGTCCTCCCTGCCGGGACCATCCCTTCCCCATGCTGTTCCTAGAACTCCCACTTGTTTTCCCGGGATAGCTCATCTACACTGGGTTCCTCAGTTTTTGTTTTGTTTTGTTTTGTTTTGTTTTTTTTGAGATGGAGTCTCACTCTGTCGCCCAGGCTGGAGTGCAGTGGCACTATCTGGGCTCACTGCAAGCTCTGCCTCCCGGGTTCACGCCATTCTCCTGCCTCAGCCTCCTGAGTAGCTGGGATTACAGGCGCCCGCCACCACGCCCGGCTAATTTTTTATATTTTTAGTAGAAACGGGGTTTCACCGTGTTAGCCAGGATGGTCTCGATCTCCTGACCTCGTAATCCGCCCGCCTCTGCCTCCCAAAGTGCTGAGATTACAGGCTTGAGACACCACGCCCAGCCTAGGTCCCTCAGTTCTTACACACGTGGCCCTCCGATTGCTGTCTGGGGTCTGTCGCATTCACTACCCACAAAACCTTACACGTCCGAAGCACCCAGTAAGACGCTGTGAATGAGTGAATGAATAAATGAATGAATGGCCAGTCTGCTGTCCTTTCGTCCGGCCCCTCGTCTCTCCCAGACCAGCATGGGGGCAGCCACGGTTCCCGTCTACCCCGGTAACACCGCTCCCTCTGTGCCGGCCGCGCTGGCCAGAGTCCTTTCCCACGGCGTCTCCGCGGCTTCGGTGTGTGGCCGCCTGTGAATGAGACTCATGATTTCCGGCTTCCACCATCCTTCTGGAGCCACAAAGCATTAAGGCGGAAGGATGGATGGGCTTCCTGGGACAGCCGGGGTGGGAGGCCGGTTCAGGAAATTTTCTTCAGGAAATGGTCAGTGTGGGATGAGGCGCCCGGTGGGAGGGGAGTGGAGTGGGGACTTGGGGCCTGGCTGTTCTGCAGCCAGGGACCCTAATCCCCACCCTCTTCCCCGCCCACTCCCCAACCCCAGTGCTGGGCTCAGGGCCCCTGGGGTCTCTCCCAGGAACACAGAAGACACAGTAAGGACCAGGGACACAGGACAGGCAGAGCCCATGGGCAGGAGGCCTCCAGCCAGTACACCTGAGCCTATGCCTGGCTCCAACCAGACACTGAGACCTTGGCCAGGCCACTCCCCACGCTGAGGCAGGGGGGCCCCTTAGAGGCCACTGGTCCCCAAGCACCGCGTGGAAGACATGCCACGGAGAGCTAGCATCTTCTGAGACACCAGCAGAAGGTCAGACGTCTCGCGGCCCAAGGATGACTTGGTCCCAGCGTCTATCCATCTGCCGTCCTGCATGAAAAGCCTGACGTGACATGGCCGGCCCCAGCGGAAGAGTGATTCGGGAACCGGCAGAGCGGATTTAGTAACTGGCAAACTGGATTTAGTAACTGAGACACTGCCAGGGGCTTGGTAGAAGTCCTCTAATGTACCAGACCCAGCCCTGACCCCCACAGAGCCCAGCCGAGCACTAAAAGGTGCAGAGGCCGAGCTGAGCACCAGGGGAACACTGACCCCAGGGCTGACCGGTGCTGTGCGTGCACTCTACAGTTTACAGACGGCTCACATTTACTCGATCGCATCTGACCCTCTCCTGCGAGGCCTTCCTCAGATTCTCCGTTCCCTAAAGTCATCAGTTGTGCCTTCTGAAATCAGAGCAAAGTAATAAAACTGCAGTAATAGCGTGTTCTTATGAACGCTGTGATGTTAGCTGGTTAAATGAGGGAGCCCCCAGGGTCTCCCACACTGCCCCGACCCTGTGTGCCTTCTGGTCCTGGCCTACCCTCCACACCTCCTGCTTCTCTTCTTTCTCCTCCTCCCGAGGACCCAGGGCCTGGGGTTGACCTACTGTGGGACTCCAACGGTGACCTCCTGGAAGAAATGCCCGCTTCTTCCTTCCACCCAGTAGTGACCCCTGGCTCGCTCACGCTCACGCAGCTAACACAGGCAGCAGCCGGAACCTGGAAGCTCCTGGGGTGGGAGCCTGTCCCCTCCCAGGCCCTTCCAGCCCGAACTCCGGGAAGGAGCTACATTCATATGGTAATTTCTCCCAAGGCTGGGAGGGGGAAGGGGCCTGGCCCGGGCCTGACCACTTTCCTGAGGCTGCGCCCACTGGGCCCTCCAAGCCAGCTGGGCTCCTCGGCTGCATCTCTGAGGGATGGTAACAGACTACAGTGCAAACTGCCTACCGGCTGGCTGGGCAGTGGGTGCCCAGATGCGGGCCAGGGCCTTCGCTTTACAGGCTGTGTGGTGGTTTAAAGTGGGCACTTTCATGGGCACACATTTGTGTTACAGTTTACTCGTGTGTGTGTGTGTGTGTGTGTGTGTGTGTGTGTGTGTGTGTGTGTGTGTGTGACAGTCCAGAAACATGGTAACTTATAGCTTCCCCAAGACGTTGGCCCTGGGAGACCTGCCCACCTGGGGGCCCCAGCACTTCCAGCCTCCCCCAGGAAGGTCTTGTCTCCCTTGGTTTGAAGTTGGCCCCAGGGAAGAATCCTCTCAGAAAAATAAAAGTCACTTCCCCCAGCCTCAGCCCAGCCTCCTTCCAGGGGTGAGTTACACCAAACTCACCCTCTCCCTCCCCTCCCACTTCCTCTCTCACGCTGCAACTAGCTGCAAGTGGCTCACCCACCCAGGCCTGCCAGTCTACCACAGAAAAGACACTCGAACTTTGCATTTCCCCTTTCTGACTTGTTCTGGGCTCCAACAGGCAAAGGAAACTGGAAGTCAGCAGCCAGGACCCAGCTGCAGGCCCCCGGGGTCACTCTGCGTCCCCACCCCAGCCCCACCCATCCCTGCGTTGATTCAATGTCCATTCATCCTAGTTCATGGAGCGAGGCCTGGACTCAAGATAAAACAAAGGGGGCTTTGGCCTCCTGGGGCTCACAGTGCCCGGTGCCGGCGAGACAACCTCAGAGCACAGCACAGAGAAATGGCTGCGACACGGACTCGCAGCACCTGGCTGGCCAAGCACAGCAATGCACCCCCACCAGGCCTGGGTCCCTCAGCAGACACATGGCTTAAAGGCTGGTTGGCTAAACCACATGATCTTGCAATTACCCAAGAGAAATGAAAACATGTTCACACAAAAACCTGTAGACCAGCACTCACTGCAGAATTCTTCACAACAGAATTATGCCAAAAAGCAGAAACAACCCAAATGTCCATCAGCAGATGAAGAGATACACAGTGTGGTCTATCCACGATGGAATATTATTCGGCCATGAAAAAGAATGAAGCACCAGCACCTGCTACAATGTGGATGAGCCTTGAAAATATTCTACCAAGTGAAAGGAGCCAGACACCAAGGCCACATACTGTACGATTCCACTTATACAAACTATCTAGAACAGGTGAATTCATAGAGACGAAGGCAGATGAGCGGTGGCTAGGGGCTGAGAGCCCGGAGTTGGGAATGGGGATTGGCTAATGGGGGCAGGGTCTCTTTTGGGGATGATGAAATGTGCTGGGATTAATGGCGATGGCTGTGTAACTGTGATGGTTAATTTCCTGTGTCAGCCGGGCGCAGTGGCTCATGCCTGTAATCCCAGCACTTTGGGAGGCTGAGGCGGGTGGATCACGAGGTCAGGAGATTGAGACCACGGTGAAACCCCATCTCTACTAAAAATACAAAAAAAAAAATTAGCCGGGTGTGGTGGTGGGCACCTGTAGTCCCAGCTACTCGGGAGGCTGAGGCAGGAGAATGGCGTGAACCTGGGAGGCGAAGCTTGCAGTGAGCCAAGATCGCGCCACTGCACTCCAGCCTGGGCGACAGAGCGAGACTCCGTCTCAAAAAAAAAAAAAAAAATTTCTGTGTCAACTGGACTGGGCTATGGGGCACCTAGGTAACCGGTCAAACATTATTCTGAGTGTGTCTGTGAAGGTGTTTTTGGATGAGTTTAATATTTAACCCTTTTACCTTTTAGAAAGTTCAGCTCACTGCCAGCACTCACTTAATTTTACATAAACACGCTCTTTGAGGCTGAAGCAAATCTGACTGGATGCTCTGTGTGAAAATTAAATATAAAAACTGGCCAGGCGTGGTGGCTCACGCCTGTAATCCCAGCGCTTTGGGAAGCCGACATGGGCCAATTATTTGAGGTCAGGGGTTCGAGACTAGCCTGGTCAACCTGGTGAAACACCGTCTCTACTAAAAATACAAAAAATTAGCCACGTGTGGTGGCAGGCACCTTGTAATCCCAGCTAAACTCAGGAGGCTAAGACTGGAGAATCACTTGAACCCAGGAGGCAGAGGTTGCAGTAAGCCGAGATCGTGCCACTGCACTCCAGCCTGGGCAACAGAGAGAGTCCGTCTCAAAAAACAAAAAAATTAAAAAGAAAAAAAATTTTTTAAATTGTTCCTGCAGTTATTTCTAAGCAAAACAACAGAGTCATCTGAGTCGTCTATTCTGGAAAAATCAGATTCATCAAATGAATCTTCAGCCAACAACTGATCAAGAACAATGTTAACATCACTTGTAGGAATGCTGTGTTCTCTAGGATTTGACATTTTCAGCGATCGAGAATTACTATTTTTTTTTAAATTTTATTTATTTATTTATTTTTTGAGATGGAATCTTGCTCTGTCGTCCAGGCTGGAATGCAATGGCGCGATCTCGGCTCACTGCAACCTCTGCCTCCCGGGTTCAAGCAATTCTCCGGCCTCGGCCTCCCAAGTAGCTGGGATTACAGGTGCCTACCACCACGCCTGGCTAATTTTTGTATTTTTAGTAGAGATGGGATTTCACCATGTTGGCCAGGCTGGTCTCCAACTCCTGGCCTCAGGTGATCAGCCTGCCTCAGCTTTCCCAAGTGCTAGGATTACAGGCATGAGCCACCACACCCAGCTGAGAATTACCATTTTTTTTTAAAGGAAATACCACTACTAAAAATGGAATGCTATAAACAGAATGATGTCTTTTGTTTCCAAAGTCGATATACTAGAGTGATGTGAAAATAATAATAAAAGCAAGATACTTCCCGGCAAATTTATCTTGGGGTGAACGCTGCAGCCACAAGCACTGCTGGTGAGTATTCTCGGGGCAAACAGGAAAAGGGTGCAATCAGGAGCCTGGGTAAAGCAGACTGTGTGCTCTGATGGGGGTGGGCCTCACCCGATCAGTTGAAGGCAACAGGGCTTGGAACGCACACTCCAAGATACAGTGCCTTGGCATAGTAAATATTTTCAGCTGAAGGAATTTAAGAAATGGCAGGTCCAAGAAGAACTCACTGACCTGCCCCTTCTCTGAAGTAGATCATAAGCCCCTCACGTAAGAGGTGCCCTCCCTACACCCAGCGGAAAGGAACAGCCTCATCTCCAGAGACAGAGGATCTGAGAGGGGCCCCAGTACACAGGTCTTGCCGAGACCCCCACGGGCTCACTGTTCAGCTCATCTTTTGTTGCTCTGTCACAGTTTCCCACGACTTTCCACTCTTCATCAAACCCAGCATAAAAACGCTCAGGCCTAGGCTAGGCACAGCAGCTCACACCTACAATCCCAGCACTTTGGAAGGCCAAGGTGGCCAGATCACTTGAGGTCAGGAGTTGAAGAACAGCCTGGCCAACATGGTAAAACCCCATCCCTACTAAAAATACAAAAATCAGCCGGGTGTGGTGGCACACGCCTGTAGTCGCAGCTACTTGGGAGGCTGAGGCATGAGAATGGCTTGAACCCAGGAGACAGAGGTTGCAGTGAGCAGAGATCATGCCACTGCACTCCAGCCTGGGCAAAAGACAAGCAAAAGAAATAAACAAAAAAACTGCTCAAAACAAGCAACAAACAAATTTAAAAAACAAGCAAAACAAATAAAAACTGTTCAGGCCTAGGCCGGGCACAGTGGCTCACACCTGTAACCCCAGCACTTTGGGAGGCCAAGGCAGGAGGATTGCTCGAGCCCAGGAGTTTGAGACCAGCCCGGGCAACATAGTGGGACCCTGTCTCTACAAAAAATAAAAAATTAGCCAGGCGGGGTGGCACATGCCTGTAGTCCCAGCTACTTGGGAGTCTGAGCTGGGACTTAAGAGTGGGTTCAGAGCAGCTCCCGGGGCCGGCAGCTGGGCCCCAGCTTGAGCCCAGGAAGTCAAGGCTGCAGTGAGCCGTGATCGGGCCACTGCTCTCCAGCCTGGACGTGCGACAGAGTGAGACTTTGTCTCAAAACAAAACAAAAACCGCTCAGGCTAACGGTTTCTCTGGGTCTTCATTTCCTTATGAAGGCTCGGTGTCAAGTAAAACTTACTTGAATTGTTATGCTTGTTTCCTGTTAATCTCTGTCAGTCTAATTTCCAGGGTCCCAGCCAATGAATCCAAAACCGATAGAAGGAAAGGGTTTTTTCTCAGATTTTGTTCTGATCAGGTCTTTGTAATTTTGTGACAAAGGCCTGAAGGTCTGAATAGGAGGACACAAGGCCTGAGTGAGAGAGAATTCTTCCCGCTTAACCGCCTTCAACCTGGAACATCAGATTTTTCCTGCTTCAGACTCAAACTGACACATGCGCTTTTCCTGGGTCTCGGGACTGGAACGACGCCATTGGCTCTCCTGGGTCTTGGGCCTTCAGGTGGACACCAGAGCCGCAACATGGGCTCTCCCGTGTCTCCAGCCTGCTGATTTACTCTGCCAATCTTGGCACTTGCCAACCTCTGTAATGAGGTGAGCCAACTCCTCATAATAATAAATCTCTTTATCTAAACACACGTACACACCTTCTATTGGTTCTGTTTCTCTGGATGACCCTAATACAATCACTTTGTGAATACAGCAAAACCATTGAACTGTAGATTTTAAAAAGGTCAACGTCACAGTATGTGAATTCTATCTCCATAAAGCTATCACTTAAACAGCAACAAGAAGCTGGTGAGCCCTGTGCACTCCTCTGCAAACAAGAGCAGGGACAGCGTCGTCCTTGCCCTCGGATGTCCCCAGCCTCCAGCCCGAGTCTAGGAACATCTTTCATGTGTCCCCTCCTTCAATTCTGTAGCCCAAGGGTGGGGGCGGTCCTCAGCCTGGTACCTTCTCTGCAGCTCCTCACCCTCTCCTCACACCAGCCAATGGACACAGAGGTCCCCCCATGGATTTTTATTTTTATTTATTTATTTTTATTTTTTTGAGACAGAGTCTCACTCTGTCGTCCAGGCTGGAGTGCAGTGGTGTGATCTCGGCTCACTGCAACCTCCGCCTCCTGGATTTGAGTGATTCTCCTGCCTCAGCCTCCCGAGTAACTGGGATTACAGGCACGTGCCACCACACCCAGCCAATTTTTTGTATTTTTACTAGAGGTAGGGTTTCTCCATGTTGGCCAGGCTGGTCTCGAACTCCTGACTTCAGGTGATCCACCCGCCTCAGCCTCCCAAAGTGCTGGGATTAGAGGTGTGAGCCACCAAGCCCAGCCTCCCCACAGATTTTTAAAAGGGCCCTGGGTAACACAGACTGGGATCTGCTAAGTCACTAAATGACCCTTTTAAATAAAGAAGGAAGTCATAAACCTCCACTTAAAAGGAGTGGGGGATGGCAACAGAAACACAGCCAGTCAGAAGCCGGAAGGGTCTCACTCAACTCATCCCCAAGGTCTCTGGGCAGAAGGGACAAGGGAAAACCTGCCTCCCAAACACCCCACTCGGCACCCCACTCCCCGGATGCAAGATGCAGCTGTGCATAGCGGCAGCAGTGAGGACCCTGGCCTGGCAGGCCCCCACATCCCTTGCTGAGGGCTCCAGGGGCCAGGGCTGCTCAACAGGACCAAGAGGAAATGACCACAGGAGCCCCCAGCTGCTGGGGGTGGCCCCCGCGGTTTCCTGGGCCATTTCTGGTGAACCCACTCCAAATCTGGAAGAGGCCCAAGCCCTCTCGCTCCCCGTATCCCAAACCCCAGCCACGCCAGCCAGGAGCCTTGGGGGATGAGAAAAAATTCAATTAAGCCCCACTGTGCTGGGTGACATAGGACCCAGAAGGAGAGGGGCCCCTGGACTGCTCAAGTTTAATGATAACTTCAGCAGCTGGGTCCCCAAGTTAATTAGCTCTTTCCTCCCCAGCAGTCCTCGGGGAGCACCACGGTGAGCTGTGAGGAGCCAGCCCAGCACGGCACACACAACGTAGGGGCCTTCCCGCACTCCCACTCCACAAACACCAGGGCCCCTCGGGGGACCAGCCTCCCATCCCTGAGTCATTTCTCCCCCACCGCTCTCTCAACAAGGAACAGAGAAGGAGCTTCTACTGCTTAACCAGATGTAGAAACTGACGCACGCACAGAGAGGTCACGTGTGATATGGTTTGGACGTTGTCCCCTCCAAATCTCATGCTGAAATGTGATCCCTGATGTTGGAGGTAAGGCCTGGGGGGGGTGGGGCTTGGGTCATGGGGGTGGATCCCTCATGGATGGTTTGGTGCCCTCCCCACGGTCACAAAGTCCGGGAGATCTGATTGCTATAGAGTCTGGGAGGGCTGGGTGAGGTGGCTCACACCTGTAATCCCAGCACTTTGGGAGGCCAAGGTGGGTGGATCACAAGGTTAGGAGTTTGGGACCAGCCCGACCAACATGGTGAAACCCCATCTCTAGTAAAAATACAAAAAAATTAGCCGGGCGCGGTGGCATGCGCCTGTAATCCCAGCTACTCAGGAGGCTGAGGTTGCAGTGAGCCGAGGATTGTGCCACTGCACTCCAGCCTGGCTGACACAGCGAGACTCCATTTCAAAAAAAAAAAGAGTCTGGGAGTTCTCTCTCTCGCCATGTGACGTGCCAGCTCCCCCTTCACCTTCTACCATGAGGAAAAGCTTCCTGGGGCCTCCCCAGAAGCCAAGCAGATGCTGGCACCACTTGTACAGCCTGCAGAACCGTGAGTCAAATAACCCCCCAGCCTCGGCTATTCCTTATAGCAACTCAAAATGGACGAACACAATGTATTAGTTTCTCTTTCTGGACCCCACAGTGTGCCTGGCTGGGGCTGTGCTCTGGGGAAATGGCAACTGCGAGGTCCTCACAGACCGGGCCCGGGTCTTAACCACAGCCGCATCTCAGCGCCTTGATATTGCTGAGTGGATGCCCAAAAAGCACTGCTGGGTGAATGTGCGAGTGAATGATGAAGATGGAGGTGGCTGTTGGTGCCAGGGCAAGGCCCCAGGAGTCTGGGGAGGTGGCACCAGGCAGTTCAGGTCAACGGCTAACCCTGGACAGGGCCAGGAGGCAGCCAGAATGGTTAAGGACAGCTAAGGGACTTTAGGCAAGTGGTCTCACTCTTCCCAGGCGGGCAGGAAGCAGGAATCAGACCAAGGGGTGCCAGGTGGTAGTGGCACTCAGGGGGCCTGAGGAGCAGGTGCAGGCTCAGCAGGGCTGGTGGTGCCACGTGTGGGGCCGACCGTGGCCCCGTTCACTGCCTCCACCTCCTGGACGCATGGGCCCATGGCCCCCAAGGCCCTCCTCTGTCCCCACGCCCACCTTTCCAGGCTCCACTTCCAGACGCCAAGCCATTTTCTCACTCCCATCTCTCCCGTTGCCCCTATATCTGAGCTGACCTCCTCCCTGAGCTCTGGTGAAATTCTAGAGAGCCCAGAGGTGCAGCTCACACTCCTGCGCCACAAGGCCTTTGCAGTCTCCACCTTCCTGGGACACTCCATCTTAGAGCTGGGTGTGTACTTATCTCACTGGATCAGAAACTTCAGGAATGCCCATCTTGCATGCTCCTGCTCCCCACTTCCCGCCCGCCACTCAGCCCGTGGCTGCCATGTGGTTGGGCCTTGGCAGCCACCGCAGCTGGTAACACACAATTAGCACTTCTGTGTCCAGGTTCCGTGCTGAGCCTCTTCAGTTTCATCCCCGTTTGTCCTCAAAATGGTCCCTGACATGGTAACCATCATTATCCATTTTTCAGACAAAAGACCATAGCTCTAGGAGAGGAGGAATGGCAGGTCTGAGGCCACGTGGTTCGTAACAGGCAAATGGACCCGGCAGTCACTCTACCCTCGAGTGGGGCTCCTCCCTGTCTGCAGACCTCGCTGAGGTTTTAGAGCCTGGAGCCAGTGAGTCTCCACTGAGCACAAGGACAGCGGCGGTGCCGGGGCTGGAACAAGGCAGGGAGGGGCCTCCCAAATCACAGTCCTGGCTGTGGACCCACCTTGGGACCCCGCCCTGGCTGGGAACCTTGCTCCAGCCCACCCGGGACACCTTCCCACCCTGAGTCCTGCACTGGGCTGTGCACGGGGTCTGCTGAATGAGTGAGGGCAGGAGGGATGGTGAGCAGGGTGGAAAGCGACTATGGTGGGTAGGCTTCTGCTGGAAGCTTGAAACATTCCTGGCGAGCAGGAAAATACCAGGGGAAGAGGTTACAGCCCTCAGAAGGGCTCGCTGGGGACTGTCCTGCAGCCCTCTCATCGGGACAGGCAGAAAATCCAGCCCCCCTTCAGGGTGAGTCCAGGAAGCCTGTGGGGGCACAGGCTCTAGCTAGGGTGGCGCGTGGGTTTACCCAGGGGACGCTGCCGTGGCCCAGAGTTAGGTTAAACCTCATGTATTCTGTAAATAATTATTTATAATAAACAAGGCTTATTCACCCTCTAAGAAGAGTAAAACATTACAGGAGGCACTTTCTCACCAACTAAACACGTCATAGTGACTTCACTGCGTCACTGAGGGAGGGCACCAGGGTGCCCGGTCCAGAGTAAACTGTGGCCAGGGGGACGGGCACACTGCCAAATCGGCCAGACCTCCACCCCTGAAAATGTGGGCTAAATTCTCTTCAACAAGTTACAAGGAAATTCAGTGTGAACCCCATGTTTCCACCACTATCGGCTGTTCTGGAAGACTGGGAGGAGGGGTCTTGCCTTTTCTCCACTCTTGGTCACAGGGTTTGAGGCCACAACTTGGACTGGGACCCCAATCTCCTTCCTGGGGAAGAGGCTCATTCAGGGTGTCTGCCAAGGCCCAGCGCATAAACACGGAACTCGCTTAACGTCTGCTCCGGCACCTCTGGGCCTCCCACACTGGGTTCCCCTATCTGACCCCTCAAGCAGTGAGAGTGATGGGACATGGGGCGCCTCTAGGGGAGACTTGGGGAGATGGAGCAAGCTTCCCAGCCCAAGGTGAGGTCCCGAGGCATGGTCCATGCAGTGATGCTTCTCACGGGAGGCCTGAGGCATGACCAGGAGCTTGGAGACTCAGCAGAGGTCTGGGCATGGGACTCTCGGTACGCAGCCAGAGCGAGGGCCGAGGCTGTATGGATGCAAGCAGGTGACCCTGTGCCATCGGGTGCCATCTGTGCCGGGCCCTGTGCAGCCGTCCCCATCTCACTGAGCTTCAGGGAGGTGAGGCAACCATCCCAGGCACACAGCCCCGGGGGCAAAGGCTGGACCCAGGTGTGTCTGATTCCAGAATTCAAGAAGACAAGTAGAGGAGTCTGAGTCCCCTGAGACCGCAGTGATGGCTTAGTGCCTCAGGATGGCCAGGCTGGCTCCTGCAGCTTTAGTCAACCGTGCCCTCCTTCAGTCATCCAGGGTCCCAGCGCTGGTCCCTGAGACCTGGTACTGGCCATAGGGGCCCATCTCTGGCTGTGGACATCTAGTGCTGGTCACTGGGATCTGGTATTGGCCGTGGGGACTTGTCCTTGGCTGTGGGGACCCAGCGCTGGTCCCTGAGACCTGGTACTGGCCATGGGGACCCGTCCCTGGCTGTGGGTACCCGGTGCTGGTCCCTGAGATCTGGTACTGGCCATGGGGGCCCGTCCCTGGCTGTGGGTACCCGGTGCTGGTCCCTGAGACCTGGTACTGGCCATGGAGGCCTGTCCCTGGCTGTGGGTACCCGGTGCTGGTCCCTGAGATCTGGTACTGGCCGTGGGGGCCCATCCCTGGCTGCAGGGACTCAGTATTGTCTATGGGGTCTGTCCCTGGCTTCGGGGAGCCAGTAGTGCCTGTGGGGCCCATACCTGGTGGTGGGGACCTGGTGCTGGAGGATCCTGACAGCAAAACCACAGAGGCGACAGGTAACAGCAATCCATTAGCACAGCGTGTGGCCTGCCCTAGCCACGGCACCTTCCTCCACTCTGTGCCCTCTCACCACAAAGCCTAGTGCAGGTAACGAAGCCAAGAGGTGGAGAACCCGCAGGAGGACGCACACCACACCTGCTCCTCGTGTGGCGTCCCTGCACCCTGGGTGGCTGAGACCCCCTGCTCCTCCTCCAGGCCTCTCCGTGCCAGGTCTGCGCTGTTCTCCCTGGCCTCGGCTCCCACCCACCCGGCCCCCCAGCTACAGACAGCAGCGATTCTCCCTCCCACTCAATGGGGCCACTGTCCAGCCCATCATTAGTCTTCAGGGCTGGCAGATGACACCGGCCACGGGCAGTGTTTCCTCCGGCCCCAGCACACAAGGCACAAAAGACACCATCCTGCCCCAAGACCCTCCTAGTCACGTGGCGCATGGGAAGCGGTGCCGGGAATCTTCCAGGGCAGTCCCCTGCCCCGGGGGAGATCGTGTTCAAATCCCCGAGGAAATGCTGCTCTTTGGCCCTTTTTCTGAAAAACCCCCCAAGGAGACCTTGTGCGGAGCGTGCAGGGAGAATGGAGATTCTTGTGAGACTGTCTCGGGATAGCCTCACAGAAACCACAAACTATTTGGATAAAAGTTGAAAATCTGCGGTCACACAATGCTGACCATTCATTCAAACACTCGTTGAGCAAGCACCTATGACGTCTGGGAACTCAGGACGTGGATCGACAAGACACAATCCTCATGTCCGTTCTAGTGACAGAGAGAGAGACGGCACCATCAACCCCGCCCGCTGGGGGCCCCCTTGGAGGGGGCGTGCAGGTTCAGGGCTGAATCTGCCCAGTGGATGTGCCACCCACGTCTGCGTACCTCCTGGTCCTGTGGTGGCCCCTGGAACAAAGGCTGAGAGATAAAAGACAAGGATCTGGGGGAGGGAGGACGTCCATGCACATTCCACTGGGGACACCAGCAAGGATGACTGTTCAGTGACCATTCAGTGACCGAGTCACCTGGTGCTTGGAGCCTGGCACCCACAGAGCAGGGCGGGGGCAGCAGGCCCTGCCGGGGGCACAGGCCTGAGAAGGGAGTGCTGCCAGCCAGGCTCGACGGGACAGAGAGCGAAGGGCCCCCTTCCTGAAGGCCATGCAGAGGCCGGAGGTCAATGTCAGCAACTCCATCAACGTCAGTCCCCTGAGACCGACCCAGAGTTGGGGTTCCAAGAGCAGTCTTGGGCGCTCAGGAGCCAAGATCTCACAGAGGGTGTTCCCCACCCTTAGCTTAGGGAAAGTGACAAATCTGGAGTGCTTCTGCCCATGGTCCAACTACTGAACCCAAATGAATGCATTGACAAATCGCATTTAGTGTTATTTATAGGGAAAAGGGAGGGAAAAAAAAAAAAGAAAGAGAGCCAATCGCGTTTAGGCCGGCCGGCCAGGGGGAGGACAGATGGGCCATCACCTCTGCCACTTTTCAGGCCCTTTGCACTGACCCCCCACCCCCAGCAAAACCAAGGCCCAGCCCCTTCCCGCAGCCCCGGAGTCGGCTGGGATGAAGCAACTCCTGCAGGCAGATCATTAGGTCTACTGTGATGGTTCCAGCAGGGAACCCAGCTCAGGCCACAGCAGCTCAGGCGCCTGCAGAAGGCCCAGACCTCTGGGTGTTAAGCTCTCTCTTCCTGCACCCGCTCCGGGGCCCGGTGGGGTGGGCAGTGTGCGATTCCCAGGGTTGATGAAAGAGAGGAGGAAGAGGCTGAGCGGCGGCGAGTTTGAACAGCCAACTCTGGGAGGGGCTGAGGTGGGGAAGGTTCCCACTGCTGCTCTACAGGCCCCGGAGCAAGGCTCCCATGATTCCACCAGCAGCTGGGCAGGCACAGGCCCAGGTGCTGAGTGTGCCAGGATCTCCGCTGCTTCCTGGGTGGGGGCGAGAGGGACCCTCATGGGCCTGTAATTAGACCCGCGCCTTCCCAGCCAATTCCTCATCAAACAAACTCACACGTACAGCGGACTGGGCATGGCCGCCACCCTCGGGAGCCCTCCTGGGAAAGCTTCCCAAGGCTCTGCTGAGCTCCGGGAACAGGTCCCTACCTGTCCGGGAACCGGGCTGGCACTCAATAAACAAATCAAAGCTCGGCGCCGGAAGGCAGAACTCTGGGACTAGAGTCCCAGCCAAGGGCCACAAGTCCCTCAGGAAGCCTCTTCCCCAAAGAGTGGCTGTGGGACGCTGGGAGCCTCCAGGGTGGTCAGCCTCCAGGTCTTCCCAAAGCCCAGGTGGTATCGATGCTCTGTGTTAAGGTGAGGGCTGCAGAGAGGGGCCGGCGGGGAGGAGCCCCCACAGCTTACCCTGGCCATTGACCCTACTCTCAAGCATTGAAATAAAGCCCTCTTCCCACACTCCCGGCCAGGGAGAGAGGGCGGAAGCCCTAAACATCCGGGGTGTATGGGAAAGGCTTACATGTACAGAAGAACCAGATAACGGAAGCTGCTGGTGGTGGTGACAGGCTTCTTAAAGGGGCCTTGAGACCTTTGACACCGGCAGGGAAGCCACACACTGCACCAGGCCTGGGGGCAGGGAGAAGGGGCTCCTAAGGACGGGGTTGTCCCCTCCTGTGGAAGTGCCTCGCATTGTCTGATAAGAGCAGCTTGGACCAGCCGTGGCACAACAGGAAGTTGGGAGAATACGGTGGCCCAGGAGGCTGGCCAGGGCTGGGGAGTGGTCAACCCAGAGACTCTGGTTGCCCAAGTGGGTCTAGGGCTTCCGGGGTGAAAGTCCTTGTGGAGCACAGTGGACCCAGTGTTCGGAGGACAGATCCCAGGCCCAGATAAGGCTTTTTTTTTTTTTTTTTGAGACAGAGTTTCACTCTTGTTGCCCAGACTGGAGTGCAGTAGCACAATCTCAGCTCACTGCAACCTCCACCTCCCAGGTTCAAGTGATTCTCCTGTCTCAGCCTCCCGAGTAGCTGCCATTACAGGCACGCGCCACCATGCCCGGATTAGCCAGTATTTTTAGTAGAGACAGGGTTTCACCATGTTGGCCAGGCTGGTCTCGAACTCTTGACCTCAGGTGATCTGCCTGCCTTGGCCTCCTGAAGTGTTGGGATTACAGGCATGAGCCACTGCGCCCGGCCAACAAGGCCATTTTTGACATGGAATGCTGGTCTGACCACAGTGCTTGATGGCTTCTGCCTGCAACTATGCCCCCGCCTTCCATTAAAGCAGGGCTCTCAGGGCAGAAGTCGCATCTTCTCATCCCAGAGTGCCCCACGCCACCCCCCAGGCGCACACAGTGGGTCCTCCCCACCGCAGCTGAATTGGCCCCATCACCATCACAATGACAGCCTACAGGGGCGGGGGCTAGTGGGAACACAAAGTGGCCAATGCAATAGTGTCTCAGCCACCCCGACACAGAAATGGCCAGGGGACAGAAGGGGCAAGCTGGGAGTCAGCAGCAACTCAGGTCTCCAGAGACGAGCATTAAAAAAGGCGAGCCACACCACAGGCCTTCCTTGACCACATCTCAGCCTAAAAGAGACCCAAGGAGAAACAAGAATCCCACCTTTCCAACAAGGACTCGTATACTAGATGCTAAGCAAACACCTTCTTCCTTTTCCTGAAAAGGAGCTCCTGGGGCTGCCGGGGGAGTTGGCCAAAGAGAATGACATTCATGGAAACACACGTGGCCCCATTAAGTTTCAAGGCAAGGTGGCAATGAATGGAGGAGGAAAACCCACAGCATTATTAGGGAATGGGGCCTTTTTCTGCTTCCTCCTCTTCCAACGGGTTTTCTCATGTGGGATCCAAACCAAATTCCAACTCCATCCTGATCCAGCAGGTGCTGTCTCCACAGCCCCGAACAGACCTGCCAGAAAACCACTGCTCAACCTGCTTCCGGGTGGCATATTTTTCTCCAGGAAAGGAATTACAAACTTATCTTAGATGAGCAGAGAGCTGTTCCCCAAACCTCTGACCAAAACACAGCAGATTTCACATGAAAAAGCAAAGAGAGAGGGGCCAGGGATGAAGTGCAGCAGGCTGGAGGCTGAGTCAGTCCCCAGAGTCACTGGGACGGCGTTTCAGGAGCAGATGGCATTGCCTACAAAGCTCCTCGCCCCTCCCTGCTTTGAGGCCGGGGACCACCCCGTTGGCTGCATGATTTAGTCTCTGGGGTTCTCCCAGCATGAAAAGACCCTCTGAAAGCAGGTCCGTTAGGGAGATCCCTCAGCCCCTGCTCACTGACATGCCTCTGCATGGCCGACACGCAGCATGCCATTGTAGAGAAGCAAAGCACACGCAGACCAGCCCCGCCAGCAGCACCCTCCCTCCCCGCTCCTCCCAGGAACGCCCTGCACATATCCAACACATCCAGGAATCCAGAGCTGCGCTGTAGCAGCAGCTCCCTGGATCCCAGTGCCGGCGCCGCGGGGAGCTTCGGTTACGGCATTTCGAGCATTGAGACTATCTCCAGCCTCCAGCCAGCCGGTCTTCGGGAGCCCAGAGGGGTGATAACTTGAGCGGAGTGATTTTAGAGAAAGCGGTGGCCAATTCGAATTTCTTCCTGGCCCTCCTGGAAGCCAGGGAAACCCCTTGCGAAAAGGAAACATGTTCCAAGAAGCTCCGGGCAGCAGGAGAACTTAGCCACTCAGCTTAGTTGGCCAAATATTTACAAAGAGATAGCTGTGACCACACAAAGCCCTATTCTTCTATTTTGAGGCCGAAAATCTGGTCCCCGCGTGGAGATCGAGCTCCCCGCCACCCCTCTCCTGGGGACCCCGCTCGGTCCTGCCGGCCTCGGGCCGGGGCCCAGGGACAGCGTGGCTCCCGGCACCGCCACCATGGCCATCAGGGTCCGCCTCGCGGCCGCGCCACCTGAGAGCCCCCGAGCCAGTGGTGCAAGGCTGGGAAGAACAAAGGAGCAGGACTCACCCCAGCAGCGGAACGTCGGGCTGCGCTGGACGCGCCGAGAGCCGCGGCCCGCCCACCGGGTCACATGGCTCAGAGCCGAGCAGAGGATCAAAGGGGCTTTGTGGTCGCGGAACAAGGAGCCTCCCAGAGCGCGGGGCAGAGGTAGGGAGGGACCTCGACTGCCTGGGAAGGGAGGCTCGGTGGGGAATTGCTCCAAGGGGGCAGGGCGAGGGGAGCAGGAGGAGGGGGCAGGCAGAGATAGGGGCGCCCAGCGGCAGGCCCGGCGCAGAAGCAACCTGAAGGCACGGGAGGGACGCCAAGGAGCTGCCACACGCTAAAGGAAAGTGACAGGGTCCCTGGGAAGAGTGAGGGGGAGCTGCTAGGAAGAAGAGAGGGGAAGAGGCTCCCAGGGACCTCTGGCCATGCCGTCCTTGCCCTTGTCCCTGTGCTTGCCAGAGGCGGTGCCCGTGAGGAGCCCCCTCCTCTCAGCCAGGTCCTGAAACTGACCTGGACACCCTCTCTCCTTGTGCTCTGCCTGACACCCCTGCTTCCTAGGTGCTCCCCCACCTACCTGCTCAGACATCGCCACAGCTGGGCTCTCAGGGAGCATGGCCAGCCACCCCAGAAAGCCATTCAGACCTGCAGCCAGGGCTGGAACACAGCCACCTGGGTTTGTCCCCTCTACCCCAGGTGCTTGCTGGCTGGGACCATGGAAGGGAGAAGGAGCAGGAGAGGAGGGGCAGGGGATGGGGGCGCAGCTCACCCTGAGCTCTTCCTCCGAGAGCCTCTGGATTCAGATCTGATCCAGCTCCTGCCTCTCCAGCCTCTCCAGCCCCTGGGGGACCTGGCCAGTGAGTCAGTCTCTTCCTCTCCCCCTCCCTGCAGGCCTGGGATGTGCTGGGACCCAGAGGGGCACAAGCAAGGGGGTCCCCAGAGGAGGGAGCTGACACTATAGGGGCTGGGCCTGGACGCTGGGATCTGCCAGACCCATCTCAGTGCCACGACCTCTGAACCCAAGTGAGTCACTCCCAGCAGGGGCGTGGCCACTCCCACACTAGGAGAGAGCGCCTGGGAGTGGGCTCGTTCCGAGGGCTTGCTGGGGGCTGGGAGGGATTCACTCAAATGGAAAGAAGCCTTTGGTGACACCTTCTGAGGGCCAGGGGCTGAATTCTGGAAGCTACGCCCTCAGGCAGCCCCCACGGGACCTCATGTTGAGTGCTGACTGGGCTCCACACACTCTTACCTTTCCCATCCCGCACCCCCACACGTGGCTGGGGGTGACTGAAGCCCCGGGGCACCCGCCACACTGGCCAAACAGGCCAGCCACGTCCAGCGGCTCCCCAGCCAGCAGTCACTGGCATCTGACCCGTCGCTTCCCACTCCTCATGGCCAACTTTCCCCCTAAGGCCTCCTGGTCCCACGGCCCTCCCCACCCTCACAGTGAACGGCCGTGGGGAGCTGCTGCTACTGGTCTCCGGGCGCCAGGCCAGAGCCGGGGGAGTGTCTGGGAGAAGACTGCATGCCCGGAGTCCCTGTTCCCATCTGAATGGGAGGGAGGCTGGTGGCAGATCAGAGACCTGGGTTCTGAGTCAAACACTGAAATCCAAGGCCCTGGGCCTGTCACTCAATATCTGTGGAATTTGACCTTCCCCATCCATAAAATGGGCACCACCAACACCAGTCGCCAAAATTACAGCAAGACACACACGTCTAGGCCAGGAAGTGCGGCCACTCAGAAAATACAGCTCCCCCTTCCTCCAAGAAGCTAATTTCCCCAGCACTGGGAGTGAGAAGAGCCTGTCTTTTCCACTGTCTGCAGCCCAGCCCAGGGCACCCTCATCACTGGCCCCTAAAGGGCAGCTCCAGAAACCGCTGACAAAGGATGCCAGAAGGAACTCCTTTCTGGCCAGGTGTCAGGGTCAACAGAAAGCCTCGAGGATGCAGCTCCCACCACGCCCCTGCCCCGTGGGCCTCTCCCTCCCCGTGGGCAGAACCCTTCTTCCTTGGCCCTCCTCTCCGAACCTTCTTCTCTTTGCCTCTGGCCTCAATCTGTCCCCCAGCTTTCTGGCCCCCCAGGCTTTTCCCAGGGCCCAAGACCCTGCTCTCCTCCAAGCCCAGCCTCCTCCCCTCCTCTGCCTCTGGATTCCTGAGCTGGGAGGCCAGCATCCTGGGTGCTTTGCTGAGGTGGCCGCCCCTCTTGCAGTGGTTCCTCTTGCTGTCACCAAATGAGGGTCTCCAGAGCACAGAGAAGGCATCTCCGGCCTGGGGCTGCATCCCCCACACAAAGCCTCTGTCCTTCAGCACTTCTCAAAGTTCTCTACCGCTCAGCACACACTCAGCATTCAGGTAGAGCAGCCCCAGAGCCTTCTCGGCTGGCCCTCGGTCCAACCCTCCAGCAGAAACGGCACATGGGCCACAGACGCAACCTTACATTTTCCAGCACCTACAATAAAAAATGTAAGAACAAGCCAGGCACAGTGGCTCACGCCTGTCATACCAGCACTTTGGGAGGCTGAGGTGGGCAGATCACCTGAGGTCAGGAGTTCAAAACCAGCCTGGCCAACATGGCAAAACCCTGTCTCTACTAAAAATACAAAAATTAGCCAGGCATGGTAGCAGCCACCTGTAATCCCAGCTACTTGGGAGGCTGAGGCAGGAGAATCGCTCAAACCTGGGAGGCAAAGGTTGCAGTGAGCCGAGATCGTGCCACTGCACTCCAGCCTGGGCAACAGTGTGAGACCCCATATTTAAAAAAAAAAAGAAAAGAAAAGAAAAAGGAAATCATTAAAAAATGTAAGAACAGGTGATATTAATTTTAATATCATTCACTTAACAGAGCCCAAAATATTATCAATTCAACATGTAATCAATGTAAAAATGACAGATATTTGATATTCTTTTCTTTCCCCCTTGCTAGGACTCTGAAACCCAGAGTGCACTTCACACACACGGCACCTCTCCACTTGGAATCACCACATTTCAGGTGTTCAAATGGCCCCGTGCAGCCAGTGGCTATCATGCTGGACAGTGCAGCTCGGAGAGTCTCAATTTTTTTTTTTTTTTTTGGTTGCCGGGGAACAGAGTCTTGCTCTGTCACCCAGGCTGGAGCGCAATGGCGTGATCTTGGCTCACTGCAACCTCCGTCTCCTGAGTTCAAGCAATTCTCCCGCCTCAGCCTCCCAAGTAGCTGGGACTACAGGCGTACACCACCATGTCCGGCGGCTACTTTTTGTATTTTTAGTAGAGATGGGGTTTCACCATGTTGGCCAGGCTGGTCTCAAACTACAGACCTCAATTGATCCGCCCGCCTCAGCCTCCTGAAGTGCTGAGATTACACGCGTGAGCCACCACGCCCATCCTCGGATAGTCTCAATTTGATCCTAGGATAATACCAGGTCATCAGAGAGCTGTTGATTTGGACCATATTATGATTTGAACCTCCCAGATCATTCTCGGCACCATGTCTACAAGCCACATTTAGAGGACAATAGGATACAGCTTGGTGAAACACACAGCGGCATCTCTCATAAGACACTGGTGAGGCCACAGATCCCACCATCAGTGTCACCCGCCTGGGGACATTTCACTTTCAGAAAATGCAGAGCTTCTCCTAAGAAATGAATGTGGCCAGGTGTGTTGGCTCACACCTGTCATCCCAGCACTTTGGGAGGCCAAGGCGAGCACATTGCCTGAGGTCAGGAGTTCAAGACCAGCCTGACCAACATGGTGAAACCCAGTCACTACTAAAAATACAAAAATTCGCCAGGCGTGGTAGTGTGTGCCTGTAGTCCCAGCCACTCAGGAGGTTGAGGCAGGAGAATCGCTTGAACCCGGGAGGAGGAGGTTGCGGTGAGCTGAGATCACGCCACTGCACTCCAGCCTGGGCGACAGAGCGAGACTTCGTCTCAAAAAACAAACAAAAAAAGAAATGAATGTTTTAGGCACACGCTAAGTATCTCTTAGACGATTCCAAAGATATCAATTACTGTGACTGACGACGACTCTTCCCCTTCCCTGGGTGTGCCTGTCCTGCTTCCCTAGCTCACAGGTGCTCAGGACTCAAAGGCAGCCCGCCACAGGCCATGGGATCTGGCTGGCTCAAAAGGGAGAGTGAGGCCATTGGAATTTTCCCAGGAGTGAGTCTGAAGCTTGGAATGTTTTTTGGTGGAGGGTCCTGAAGCTAGGAGGCGATGCAGACGTGGGGGCTGAGACATTATTTGGGGCCATTTGCAAAGAGGGATACTCAGGCAGTGACCCCAAGGAAAGAGCAAGGGGAGGAGAGGGCGGCACATCCACGCCCCTTCAACTCCTGCCCGTCCGGAGGCCTACGCACTCCACACGCCGGCCTCCCCGCATGGATATCCTTCCAATAAGCAACTCATCGTGCTCATGTTTATTTATTTTAAAGTCACACAGAATTGCACTTATTAAAAATGAATTTATGGAGACAGAAAGCATTCTGGTGGCTGCCAAGGGCTGGAGAGGGCGAATGGGGAGTGAGTCCTTCATGGATACGGGGTTTCCCTTTGGGGTGATGAAAAAGTTCTGGCGCTAGACAGTGCTGATGGTTGCACGACACTGTGAATGTACTCAGTGTTACTAATGGCAAATTTTATGTTCTGTGCATTTTAGCACAATAAAAAAATATACATTTAAAGCAACAGAATTCAACGTGTCCTTTTTTCCCCTTGAGCCAGTTTGTTTTCTTGCTTTATATCTTAAAATCAGAAGGGCCCTGAGATACACCACAGGCCCCTAGGGTAGGCTGAATAACTCTCCCTTCCCAAACTGTGTTACCTCATGTGGCAACAGGGACTCTGTAGATGTAACTGAAGATGTTGAGATGAAGAGATTACCCAGGTGGGCCCCAAATCACAAGCGTCCTTTAAGAGGGAGGCAGGCCAGGTGTGATGGCTCATGGCTGCAATCCCAGCACTTTGGGAGGCTGAGGCAGGCAGATCACCTGAGGTCAGGAGTTCAAGACCAGCCTGGCCAACATGGCAAAACCCTGTCTCTACTAAAAATACAAAAATTAGCCAGGTGTAGTAGCACATGCCTGTAATCCCAGCTACTCGGGAAGCTGAGGCAGGAGAATCGCTTGAACCCAGGAGGCGGAGGCTGCAGTGAGCCAAGATTGTGCCACTGCACTCCAGCCTGGGTGACTCCGTCTCAAAAAAAAAAAAGAGGAAGGCAGAGGGAGATCTGACTGCAGAGAAGGAGGAGGCTGTAGGAGGATGGAGGCAGAGGCTGGAGGGATGCAGCCGCAAGCCAAGGAACTCCAGCAGAGCCTCCCACCCAAAGCTGGAAGAGGCAGGAATGGATTCTGCCAACACCTTGACTTTAGTCCGGTGAGACTGATCGGCTTCTGACCCTTAGCACTGTAAAGGAAGGAGCCTCTGTTGCTTTAAGCCACTGAGTTTGTGATAAGCAGTTACAGCGGCAACAGGAAGCGAATGTAGCCCTCAGTCCATTCCTCCGCCCACAGCAACACAGGCGCTTCCTTGTGCAGAACTCTGCCAGGCAGCCAGTGAGCGGGACAGGACCCCTTCCCGCCCCTACTCGGGGTTCTGTGTTGGATTTTCCAAGGCTGCTGCTCTTGAGATAGTGAACTTCCCACATCCACAGAGACTCATCTCAAAGCTGAGAAAGTGCCCCCTTCAAGGGGCGTCAGAAAGAAGGTCCCAAGGTGTCCTTGCCACATGTCCACCTGTCTGTGGGCAACACCCACAGTCCTTCCTCGTGACCCACCCAACAGAAGGGTCACAGGGGAGGGAGCACCATTGGCCAGCCTATCCCACAGCAAGGTCCCACTCTGGAAGCCACAGGGGACAGTTGGGACTCCCACCTCCAACTCAGCCAACTGGGAGAAGAGCCCAGAACAGTCTTGGAGGTTGACACCTGCTAGGAAGTGTGGTGACACCCACGTGCTGCTGAAACACACAGCAACACAGCAGCAGAGAGGAGGGGATGTGGTTTCACAGCTTCCTCCCTACCCACCCAGCACGCACGCACACACACACACACGTGCGTGCACACATGCACCAACCCCCAGTTCCCAGGTCCTGCACTCTGCTCCTGCCAAGCTCCTCGGCCACCACCAAGCCAGGTTGTGAGCACAGAGCTCAGCCTTCCTGCCAACTCTTTTCCAATCCATCCTGGGCAACACCCCAATGGGATGCAGCAGATGCTTCCCATCAAATGCCAAGAGCAATATCCCTCCCTATCCTTTGTGAGCTGGCGGCCGCGCTTCTGCATGGGGGTGCGGAGGAAAGGGCTGGGGAGCAGGAATGTGGTTCTGAGGGCTGGTATGCATTTGTAGCTGTGACGCCCCGAGGCAGCCCACATTTCTACCCACAGACCAACCTTGAGAAGGGGCTGGGAGCACCCACAGCTCCTGCCACCCTTGGGTTGGCAGGCTGGGGAAACCCTGAGTAGCCCGAGTGAAGGCCGTCCCCAGGCAGGCATGGTGGGACAGAGGGGCCTCTGCACATTTTCTGTGAGGCAGCGCAGCTGCTGGGCTGTTTCAGCACATTTGGGTGACATGTTCCTCTTCTGGTTTCTTCTCACTTGGCCTGGGAGAACGTTCAGGATGCCCCAATCTCAAAAACAAGCAAACCCTCTTCCTTTGACCTATCTACCTCCTCAAACTGTGAACTTTCTCCCTGTCTGAACAGCCCAACCTCTCAAAGTAGGTCTACACCACGGCTTCTAGCTTCCCACCGCCCACTTACTTCTTAGCCCGAGCCATCTGGTGTCCGCCCGTCTCACTATTAACCCAGCTCTTGAAAAAATCCTCATGGCCAGTATCCAGCCCCACCCCATCTGACCTCGAGGGCAGTGCCTGACACGCACCAGCTGGTTCTTCTCCCCTCCTTCTCCCCTCCGTATTCCCTAGTGCTGGGGTCTAGATAGCTCCCAAGGGTCCCCTCGCCCCCTGACTTAGTCTCCTGGAGTGACCACACCTCCGTTCCAGCTTCCCAGCTCAGCTGCCTCTCCACATCTTGCCTCAGGTCTCCCCCTTGGAACACTGTCTGTTTTCAGAGACTCAAGCTCCCACTCTCCACACCCCCCTCCCCGACCCCCAGCCCTCTCACCAAAGTCCTACTGGCTGTTTCTTCCCGGTGTCTCAAATCAGTCCCTTCCTGCCCAGACCCCACAAGGTTAGTTTCCACCCTATGACTGCTCCCCTGGACCACTGGGATCATCCCTTACCAACACCCACCTCCCATCTCGCTCCCTCCTGCCCATGCAGGGCTCTGCTGGAGGACCCCTCCCGCTTTATCACTCCTTTTCCCAAACAGCTTCCCAGGCTCCTCTGTTAAAGTTGAAATTCTTCCCTTGCATTCGAGGACCCCTGCAATCTGGCCAACTCATTTTCAAGCCTGAATTCCCACTCCTGTCTAAGGAGCCTACGCTCTTCAGCCAGGTCCTACTGTCTCGCAAACCCCACCTAAAATCCCCCCTGGTAAATGTCACCACCTCCAGGAAGCCCTCCTGACATCCTCCATCATATGTGACCCCCACCCCCAGAGTCAGACCCTGACTTGGAGACCTTGACTCTTATTCACCTTTGCCTCTTTTGAGTCTCCTAGGCTGCAGGCCTCAGTCTATGTTTGTGGGTCTCTGTAGCAGGAGGGCCCATTTCCACCTTTCTAAGAAGTGCTCGCCCTACCTCCCGTCAAGTTGCAACTTTCCACAAGCAGGTACCTTCAACATGCCTTTTTACTTTTTTTCTTTTTTTTCTTTTTTTTTGAGACGGAGTCTGGCTCTGTTGCCCAGGCTGGAGTGTAGTGGCGCGATCTCAGCTCACTGCAACCTCCACCTCCCAGGTTTTAAGTGATTCTTCTGCCACAGCCTCCCCCGTAGCTGGGATTACAAGCATGCGCCGCCACGCCAAGCTAATTTTTTTTTGTATTTTTAGCAGAGACAGGGTTTCACCATGTTGGCCAGGCTGGTCTCAAACTCCTGGCTTGAAGTGATCCGCCGACCTCAGCCTCTCAAAGTGCTGGGATTATAGGCGTGAGTCACTGCACCCAGCCCAACATGCCTTTTTATATCCTTCTTGAAAAGCTATCATTATACCAACAGTGTGTTTTATAAATTGATAATAACTTAAAATGTGACTTATTATTAAAAGTGTGACCTTACTTTTAAATAATATTGCTGGTTGTGGTCTGTAGCCAGCTCTATTATTCCCGTGTGATGACCACTTTGTAGATCAGCAATGGCCCCAGGCCCACATCCAATCCAACCACCCTGCCCCTCCAACCTCATTTCCCCTTGAGCCAACATCAAGTGTGTCCCAGAGCTGCAAACTCATGGCTGATACAAAACCAGGATCCTCAACACTCAATACAAAGCAATCGGGCCCTGCACTGGTTTCAACAGCAACCATAAACCACGTCTGCCTCCTGCACTGGGCACATTGCACCCAGCCCATAATATGTGCTTTTGCCCCTTCCATTTCCCCTATTAAGATGGTATACAGGCCCAAATCTGCTCCCTGGGAGCAACTGACTCTTCCCTGGAAGATGTGAGTAGTTTCCACACCACACCTAAGAAGACATTGTCACAAGACTTCACATCTCCCATCTCAGCTCCTAAGGGCCTATTTATCTTTCCAAAAACTCATTTGTTTTGCCATAATATGTGCTTTTTTTTTTTTATTTGTTTTTTTAAGACACAGTCTCACTCTGTTGCCCAGACTGGAATGCAATGGTATGATCTCAGCTCACTGCAACCTCCGCCTCGTGGGTTCAAGCAATTCTCCTGCCTCAGCTTCCCAAGTAGCTGGGATTACAGGTGTGCACCACCATACCCGGCTAATTTTTGTATTTTTAGTAGAGACGGGGTTTCACCATGTTGGCCAGGCTGGTCTTGAATTCCCGACCTCAGGTGATCCACCTGCCTCGGCCTCCCGAAGTGCCGGGATTACAGGCGTGAGCCATCGCACCCGGCCCATAATATGTGCTTTCACCCCTTCCTTTTTTCCTATTAAGATAGTATACGGGCCCTAAGTTCTTTTTTTTTTTTTTTTTTTTTTAAGACTAGTTGGCTGGGTGCAGTGGCTCATGCCTGTAATCCCACCACTTTGGGAGGCCGAGGTAGGCAGATCACGAGGTCAGGAGTTTGAGACCAGCCTGGCCAACATAGTGAAACCCTGTCTCTACTAAAAATACAAAAAATTAGCCAGGCGTGGTGGTGGGTGCCTGTAATCCTAGCTACTCGGGAGGCTGAGGCAGGGGAATCGCTTGAACCCGGGAGGCGGAGGTTAGAGTGAGCCGAGATCGTGCCATTGCACTCCAGCCCAGGCAACAGTGCAAGACTCTGACTCAAAAAAAACAAAACAAGTGGGAAGAGGGGAGACAGTGGAACAAGGAGTCTAATCTGTAACTGACTGTGAACAATCAACTGAGATAACTCACTACCTTCGGACCAGTCACGGGCCCCACCTTCTACCTGCTCTTTTGAGTCACGTTTTTCAGTGAAATCCCATACGTATGTGATTAAATCTGTCTTTTCTCTCATTAATTTATCTTGAGTGAGTTTAATTCACAGACCCCCAAACACTGAACCTAAGAGGGTAGAGGAAATGTATTTCTTCCCCGCTACAAAAATACTCCACCTCTTCACTGCAGTGTCGCCTGTCCCACCCACAGCCGGCAATTTGGACCCCGTTTCTCAAAGTCTATGAAAGCAGGACAGACTGCCTGCAGGATGTTCCCGTCACAAAAGGAGGGTCAGGTCTGGTAGGAGGAAAGAAACGGAAGTGGCAAACGTTCACCTCTTGCGCTAGACAGAGGCACCAGGTGTTCACTGCCCTGGGGAGTAAACATTTTTAAAAACGGAAAGAAAAATCTTCAGCTTCACTGGGGTGTAAAAAGTCATGACCTCTTCCGTGGCTAAATGGCTGGGTGGCTTGGGAGACAAGCGGTAGCCACCCTGAAGCTCAGTTTACTTGTCTGTAAATGGAGGGCAATGAAACCACCTGCTGTATGGGTGCTTGACAGGCTGTTGCTCAAACTTCCTGCCCTCCCTTATGGGGTTTTGGGGAAGATCATATGAGCTAGCAACATAAAAGCACTTTGAAAACCACACGAAGTGTCTAAGCATGGGGGCGCTGGCTGACTCCAGGCCTGTTTTCACAAGCTGGCAGAAAATCCCCCAGAGAGGGCCTTGTTTTTCCCTCCGGGGCAGGGGCCGCAGTGTCAGACCTGATGGCACTGGTGGCTGCTCAGGCTATCTGGCATGAGACTGTTGTCAGCCCCAGACCCACTCCAAGTCTGGGAGGGAAGCAGGCCGGGGTGGGGGTTCTGAAACCCTTCATATTTTTGGCAGAGACACCAGGGCAGGCAAAAGTGTCACTCATGGCAAACTAAGAAGCTTGTCTGAATTGGGCCCAAACCAGCCCAGCCCAGAATGGAGGCCAGCTCCATTCTCTCCTCCCAGAACCAGGAGCCCAGCACACCAGAGGCTGAGAAAACGCTGGAATAGCCCCTCCATCTGTTTGTTCAGAGACAGGGACCCTAAGCCACCTTCTCCCCCAGCTCACTCCACAAACCCTTTGTGCCAGACTCTCCCTGTCCAGGAGCTACAGGCCCTATTTGGGAGCCATCCAGGGTCTCAAGGTCTCCACCACCCAGCTGTCCATCTCATCAGGCCAGGCCTGCAGGCATGGAGATCAGCAGGATGTGGTTCAAATCTGGCTGCACGCTGATCAGCTGAGTGACTCTGGGCCCATTTCTTAACCTCTGGGAGGCAATGCTCTCTCATCTGCAAAAAGGGGAAAGGGCTCAGCGAGGAGAGTGACAAGTAAAGGAGATGGCACCTGTGCAGACGGCACTGTGCGGGCGCCCAGCGGATGATCACGCGTCACCTTCCTGCCTCTTCTCCCTGCTTCTGTGGGAGCGTGGGCAGCAGGGAGCCAAGAGGAAGGGAGCAGCTGTCCGCTTGGGACGCAGGCCGCTCTGAATTGGAAGAGAAAAAGGAATAAGCAGCAGCTGCTCACTGACAAGCTTCATGTATCTGTGCCTTAAAACCCTAAAGGTGCATCTGAAAGATTTTCTGGGCAAATTCTCTTTTATAGATATACGAAAGCCAGGTGCAGTGGCTCACGCCTGTAATCCCAACACTTTGGGAGGCGAAGGCAGGCGGATCACCTGAAGTCGGGAGTTCGAGACCAGCCTGGCCAACTTGGTGAAACCCCATCTCTACTAAAAATACAAAAATTCGCCGGGCGTGGTGGTGGGCGCCTATAATCCCAGCTACTTAGGAGGCTGAGGCAGGAGACTCGCTTGAACCCGAGAGGTGGAGGTTGCAGTGAGCCAAGATTGTGCTACTGCACTCCAGCCTAGGTGACGGAGCGAGACTCCATCTCAAATAAAAATAAATTTAAAAAAAAGGTATATGAAAAAGGTAAAATGCCATGAGTGTTTTGTCGCAATGTGCCAGTTACAAATGGGAACTGGAGGACTCCCCAAGTCATCTCTTCCTTCATTCCTTCCCTCCCTGCATATGTACTAACAGTCCCCTGGGTGCTGGCAGCATCAGGGGACCTGGGGTGCCTCACAGGCCCTGCCTGCTCAGATCTTAGAGCCAAGGAGGAGACATAAAAGTTAAAATAGGGTGGTAAGTGGAACAAATGGGGACCAGATGGGGCAATTTGGCAGCACTCGGCAAGGCCCTTCTTAATGAGTCCCCAAAGAGGCCCAGCTTCCAGGGGAAGGAGGCGCCCCAGGCAGCGGGGGCCTGCAGAGGCGAAGGCCCAGGGCGGGGCTCTCAGGGAAGCCGTTCAGGATGCCCGAAAGGAGGGGAGCAACTCACGAGCCTGGTGACAGGGCCGGTCATAAAGTGCCATGAAGCACCAACCAGGCTGCCCACCAGCCTCCAGGACAGAAAGATCACAGCAGTTAAGGTGTGGGGATCTGCTCACCTGATCCCCACTCAGCTCAGAAAATGACTGTTTCAGGGCCACAGGCAACAGCCCAAGTCCTGCAAGCTGCTGGCCACAGGGTGCAGCTGCGGCAAGGTGGGGACGCCCACCAGCCAAGTTCTCTAGGACCCCTGGGCTGCCGGATATGCCTGCAGGACGCCACGGGGGCAGGCCAGACTAGGGGTACTTCCATCTCTTCTCTCAGGCCCCAGCCCTCAGGCCAGAGTGTCCTCTGGTCCCTGGGGCCCCCAGGGCTGCAGATAGACAGGGAGAGGCCTGTGCCATGGTGGGTCACCTGGTTCCTGCAGGAAGTGGCCAGAGGCTCCAGCACCTGGATACAGTAGCTACTCTTCCAACCCCTGCCAATGCTGCTGTTGCTCGGGGTCCACTCCCTCCAACCCTCCTCCCCAACCAGGGAGGAAAGCACTTTGGAGCAGGAACTGGGCTATCTAGCTTGATATTCCAGCATGACTCTGCATGACCCTGGGCCAGTCACTTAACTTCCCTGGGCCTCCATTTCTTCACTTGCAAATCAGGCAGACAACCCCCCAAAGTCTCCTTCAGCTACAGAATTCTAAGTGTTAAAACAAAAAAAATCCACAAAAAGGAAACATGTGTCCAGCCCACACCCTCGCCTTCATTTGTCAAAAGGGGAAATGGATTTGCTACGGGGTTTTCTTCTCCCAAACAGACATGGGAGACCTTTCCTATGATTGCAGAACTGGAGCAGTCCAGAGGAGCCCAGAATCTCCCAGAGCTTGAGATCCACAGGGGAATTTATCCTAATTCTTCCGGGATAGAAGCACTGCTGCCTAATGGCATTCAATTCCCATCACTGCTGTAGCAAATGACCACACACTTGTGATGTCAAACAACACAGATTAGTCCCACACTCCACCTCACTAGGCTACAGGGAAGGTGTCCACAGGGCTGCGCACCCTCCCGAGGCTGCAGGGGAGACTGCGTTTTCCTGCATTTTCTGTTCACCTGCATTTCTTGGCTTGTGGCCTCCTTCCTCCTTCCAAGCCTCTCCCACTGCACCCCTCAGATGGTCTATTGCGCTTTTAAAAACTCTTGTGATGACAGCGGGCCCGTGTGGATCATCCAGGATCATCTCCCTATTTTAAGACCAGCTGATTAGTGACCTTAGCTGGCCCTGCCATGTCACCTAACGTAGTCCCAGGTGCTGGGGATTAGGATGTGCTCAACTCTGGGAGTCATTATCCTGCCAACCCCAAGACATAGGTCCTGGAGGGAGATGAAGGGTAGGACTACAGGCCCAGGAGGCTGCCTGCGTGGGTTCGAATCCTGGCTCCACCACTAAGGAACTGGGGGAGCACATTATCTGTAAAATGGGGGTCGGCGGGGAACCAGCCTCTTGGCTGTCAGCGCAGAGTGAGGCAGTGTGTGCAGTGCCTGGAGCAGCTCCGTGAGCATCTGTTCCCTCCTCGCCAAATCTATAAGAACTGACCTCGGCCCAACGGCTTCTCCAAACCTTCAGCTCCTTTCGGTCACAAGGCCAGGAGCACCCCCCTGCAGGGCCATCCAAGCCCTCAGCCCCTCTGAAAGCCCCGGCCCACACGATGCTGGAAGCAGATGTGTCGTGGGCTGCTCACCCATGCATGGCCACCGGAGAGGCCCGGATGATGCCGCCTTCAATGGGTGCACAGTGCAGGGCAGGGCCAGGCACCAACAACCAGCCACAGTCACCAGCGCAAGCAAGGGGCCCCCACTGTCACCTCTGGCCTGGGGCCAGGGAGAAGCTTCGGGAGGCACCTGACTTTCTTACAGGGAGTGGGGCTACAGGAGAATGTACCCGAAAGGGGTTGGGGGGCAGCAGAAAGTCCTCCCCAGAAACTCCATCCTTGGCTCGTGACAGATGATTCTCCCAGGCCACTACTGGGGTTCACTTGGGCTTTTGCAGCATGGAGTTTGGCCACCCCAGAAGGATGACTGGGCAGGCCAGGGCCACTGGCGATGGTGACGGCAGGCCCCTCTGAGGTCTCCCCACCAGAAGCATCAGGAGGTCAGAGCAGTCGACAAGCCCTCACCTGGTCCCTGAGGGGCAGAAGGTCTTGAGCAGCCTCCTGACCTCTCGAGGTCCTCCCACCTCACTGAGAGACCCCCGAGAGTACTGAGAGCCATCCCCTGGCTTCTCCGTGAGAGAGTTGGTTACATAAAGGCAGCCACACATCCAGCAAGATGAATTTACAATCTCTGAGCCCAGGTCCATTCCGGCTTCCCCATAGGGAGCTCCTGGGGGCGTGGGGTGGGGGTGTAGAAGGGAGGGGTCGGTGCTCCATCCCTGGGAACCAGGCCATGAGTCCTGGACTCAGGCCAAACCACAGAGGCCTCACTTCTCTCCAGGCTTCTTGCTTTCCAACCACTTCTGCATAGGGCATTCTTCTTTCCCTCGCAGGGCCCCACTGGGGTGGGGTGAGGAGGAGTCACAGAATCACAGCAGCTGCCACACGGGGGTGTCAAGGCAGGGATGCTGATGCCAACCGAATGGGCACGGGAAGGCAGAGCAGGAGGTCGGCGCCCTGGGCCTGGCTAGGCTGTGTGACCCCAGGGAACTCACTTCACCTCTCTCGGCCTCTAGTTTCCTCCACTGTAAACCGAGGGAGTGAGGCCAGGTGATCTGCACAATCGCGTGAATCTGTGTCCTGCATCTTCCACTCACCACCCCAAACAATGCTTCTAAATCCCAGCTTCCCAATGCTTCGGCACCCTCCTGCCTGAGAAACACTTACGGCTGTTCTTTATGCTGTGCCCCAAATACAGGCACCCTGGCCCTCTCCTGGGTGTCCTTACCAGGGCCAGAATGGGCAGCTCACCCTGCAGGAACCCCCAAGGACTTTCAGTCACTCCCAGGATGGGGGCTGGCTGCCCGGAAGCGGCTTTTGCCCACCTCCGCCGCAGCCCCTACCACGAGGCTAGTGCAGCAAAACAGGAGGTGTAGGTGGCCGGGGCCAGGGGCCAGGTCACTCCCTCCAGCGGGGCAGGAGAGGGGCGAGAAAAGCTGGACACTGATCATTCCAGGCTGAGGGTCTGCGTGGAGGAGGGGGCCCATGGCAAAGGAAGTGGGAGGATGGGAAGGAGCTCTTGCTGGATACCCCCACCCCGCTGGCTCCAGCCCCGCCCCCGTCCCATCTGCGGGGAGAAAGTGAGGCTCTTTGCTTTGCCAAATCCCAGTAATGAATCTCACATTCACTCCATCCTCTGCTTATTGGAAACCCTCTCTCCACCTTCTGGATCCGCTCTGAACAGCTGGGCTGCAGAAGTCGGTGGAATGAAACATGCAGGGTGGCTCAGAGGGGACTGTGCCGAACAGCGCTGTGTCCCCGCCCACCCCTTCCTCTGAAGATAAGGCCTCTCTGTTCCTGCCCTTTCCCTGGGAAAGCTGGAGAGGGGGCTGAGGAAATGGGATCCACCATTAACTCTTTCGTGCACGTTGGCTTCCAGCAGGCATCCTCACACTCCCCAACCAGGCCCGCAGGGTGGAAAGGCAGCCGCCGAGCTCAACTCAACTCCCACCCAGCCGTGGAAGCCAGTGTGGATGGCAAAGTACCCATGCATAAACACACACACGAGGCTGAGGCCAAGAGAACACGCGCTCAGTTCTCCCTTGGTCCTCCAGCAACGTCTCCATGCTCTAGCCCTGCCTCAAGCCCTAAACGGTGTAAGGTTTTTCCAGGTGGAGGAATGGAAGCCCCTAAGAAGTCCGTGCTTTAGGGATTACACAGAGGCAGGGCTCAGGAGCAAAGGCCTCCAGATCCCGCAGTGCGGCGCTGGCAAGCTTGCGCTGCTGCATTCACACTGTCCTGGGATGAAGGCGACATGCTGACCTCCCTCAGGTGGCTGCAGGACAGCCAGGAGGAGGTGAGATGCCAGCCAAAGGCAGCCACAGACAACAGCACTACGGATTACCAGAAACGCCACCCTCGTGCCAAAGCGTCCGCCTCCCCTAGCTGCTTCATTCTGTGTCAACATCCTTTGGGAGTGACATGTGTGAGACTGGGCTGTGCTGATGAGTGACCACTGGCACCTCCAGACCACACCAAGGAGGGGCCACTCTGCTGCCAATCAGGTGTAGGGCAGGCGGCACTGGGGCACGACGACCCGCCCGGCATGGTTGCTCTACTTCTCCCCCTGCCTGAGCACAGGCTGGCAGGTTCAGAGGAGAGGAGGAAACAGAGCCACCATGGGGGGCGTGTTTAGGGGTGAGCCACCTCAAGAAGCCACAGAATCAGGGCATGGGAGACACTGCTCAGCTCTGCCACTAACCTGCCGTGCGAAGCTGGCCAAGTCACTGCACTCCTCTGGGCCTCAGGTTTTGCAATCAGAGGGCTGGCCGAAGAGGTAAATGACAGTGGTTAGGGATGGGGGCACTGAAGCCAGACTTTCCGCATTCGGACCCTCCCTCTGCCATGCTCAGAGGGAGGCTTGGGCAGGTTACTTAACATCTCTGGGCTGTGGGTTCCTCATCGGTGAAATGGGAATAACAACAGAATCAATTTCACAGTGTTGTTGGGAGGATTAAAGGGGATACTTACTCCAGGTAAAGAGCCCTTAAGACAGCTCGGGGTCCTCAGGAAGCCCTTGTTACCATCATCGGACATCACCACTCCTGCCACGGTTGCCAGGGCCCCGTCCAGCACCGGCAGCCTGATGTCGGCAGAGGAAGGGTGAGGTCTCTGCTCCCCTGCAGCGCCTCCTTTCCCCTCTTCCCTCCAGCTATGGCAACAACAGCTGAAGTTCACTCTTAGTTCCAGCGACTGGCTACCCTCCTGAATTAAGGACTGAAGGCCCCAGGCCTGCCACCCAAGGTCCAGGTGCAAGAGGGGTGAGCCACCGGTCCTTGCCTTCATCACACCCAGGCTTCCACACGCTCCTTCAAACAGGCCTTTGCTTCACGTGCAAGAGAAGATGCCAACCCTCACGTCTGGGGCGGGGGTGCCCACAAATGCCTTGGACGTGAGCTTTGACGGGGGTCATGGTGCAGGTCCTGCCAGGGCACCTTCAACCACAGGGGACTACCTGCAGCCCACAGAGGGTCCCCTGCAGGCCAATGGGACTCTGCCACCCTGGCTGCCACCCTGCTTAGCCACCTGGTAAGGAAAACAGGCTGCAGACTCAGAGGCAGTACGGGCTCATATGCTAGCGAGACAACACAACAAGGGAAGGATGTGCAGGACGAGGGAGCCATGGAGACCTCACCGCAGCCTCAGCCACCCACCAGCAGACCCTGTGCGGACGCCGGGCAGGCCACCCTACCAACTCTCAGGATGCTCCTGCAGGCCCTGCGGGTGGACAGGGTGAACGGAGGCACAAGGAGGGTAAGTCTGACAGGGGCTGGGGCTGGGCCTGGAGCCAGAACCCCAGCCAGTCCTGCCACCGTATCCTAGGGCACTTTCCGCAGACAGCAGGCCAAAGCAAGGTTGCCCAGATTAAAGGGGAAGGGGCCCTGCCTCTCCCACCAAGGGCCTCCTGGAGACCCCAACACAGATCCCCAGCCCACAGACACCAAACCCAGGGCCTTTGAGAAGTGAGAAATGTGAAAAACGCACAGAACAGCTGCAGCTTAGCGCTTCTAACACGCCAGACTCACACAGGCACACACAGCGTCCCTGCAGAGGCCAGAAAGCTCTGTGCTGGGAAGTCCCCCGATCGGGGGAGGCCCCACAGCAAGCTCCCCTCTCTGCCCATCCACCAACGGGCGGAAGGTCCTAATTAGGACCATATGGGAAGGGCCAGCGGGAGGGGCAGAGAGGGAAAATGAACAGGCAACATCAAGTGCCTGGGGCGGGGGGCGCAGGGGATACCCAGGAGGGGAGGGCAGGGGTGCACTCCCCATCTAACTCACAGGGAACGGGGGTTCGGGAGGTGCAGGAGAAGGTCCCGGCATTCCCATCTCCCTTCCTCTGCAGATTCACTCACAGCCTGTCCACGGGCAGCTAGATCCAGCCACAGGTCAGACGCCCGCTCCAGCCCCACCCCTCTGGCCTATTGAAAGCAAGCCAGGACAGTGAGGGGGACGATGCTGCTATTTCCGGCATGGCCATGCTGGGCCTCGGGGTGGGTGGGAACGTGGCTGGGGCGCCATCCCTTTTGGCCGTCACAGGCACAAAAGCCTCTCCGTGTCCCAGTGCCACATGTGGGTCCCTTCCCTGCTGCCCCAACAGGACGGACACCTAAGCAGACCCTGTTGGCCGGGGGGGGTCCTCGCACCCAGCCCCACCCTGACCTAGCGAACCCCCTTTCTGCTCCTTGGGGCAGGAGCCACCAGGTCGGGTCTCAGGCAATGGCCAGTGAAGGGGCTGCATGGAGGGGCTCCCTAGGCTCACAGGAAGGGAGGCTCTCCTTCCCTGCAACGTGGCTGCAGCATCCTGTGACCGAGAGGGACACCACGGCTGGAGATGGTGGGATGGAGGATCCCCCACAGCATCCTCGATGCTCAGAACATCTCATTTTGCACAAAAAAGCTCCAAATTCTCTTGAGGGCTGAAGCCATTCAGAGTTGGGGTTTCTGTCTCTCAGGCCAAAAGCATCCTGTCGGAGCAGCTGAGAGCACAGCGGGAGGGGAGGGGCAGGAGGGAACAGCCCCGCCACGGCGACAGGGGATTCTCTGACTCCAAGAGGGCCTGCAGACACCACTACCCACCCCCAGCCCTGAACTGTCCCCTGCCAAGGGGCCAGAAATTCCTGGGAGGGGGACCACAGGGGGCCTCGCTCATGAGAACAGTGACTGTGGTCAGGCCACAGCTCACAAGTCAGCAACTCTGCTCAGCCGCCGCGGTGGTCCCCTCTTGATGGCTTCCAGAAAAAGCGTTCCACCTTCTGTCATCAGTGTCCTGAAATCCAAGAATATTCTCCAAACAGCAACTGCAGCAAAAGCTAATGCTGCGTGAGTGCCGCAGGCACCATTTCCAGGGCCTCACACACCCCCCGCTCAGTCCCCACAAAAACCCCACTCCATCCTTCCTCCCGCTCTCTTCCTCTAACAGCTCAGAAAACGAGCACGGAAGGGTTAAGCTGGCCTGAGGAGGGGCTGGTGGAACAGCCTGAGGGTCCAGTCTCCAAGAACTTCACATTGCAAAGGGAACCCTTGGGTCAGGGAGCAGGGCACAGCCCCCATCTCTCTACCCCCGTTCTCAGCACCAGGCCTGACACAGACGGGGCCTCGGCCATGAATAAATGAACAAGTGAATGAGAGCCTGCTGAGGGAAGAAGGTGACAGGGACAAGGGAGAAACAAAGCAGCCAATGCCGCCGTGATGATGACGATGCCAACGGCAGCACTGACATGTGGGCTCCTGTCATGCCAGGACCGTTCTAAGCACTTTGCTCTATGAACACCTTTGTTTCTCATCATGTCTCGAGTGGACATTTCTATTAGCCCATTTTACAGAGGGGAACATAGTTGAGCGTATTGGCTAAGGTCATGCTGCCAGGAAAGGTCAGAGTCCAGGTAGCATGTGGCTTCCCAGCCGGGCTCTGGTTCACACGGCCTCACAGGCAGCCCCATGAAACACGCAGAGAGAGCATGTGAGGGGCCCCCCTGCTGCCCCCCACCCCCAGCTGGGGTCCACCCTCTGCTGAAACCTCCCCAACCTGTTTCTAAGTCCCGCCAGCCACGAAACATTTTTTTGAACATCCAGTACCACCCTCCCATGGCTATTTGGCCTCATCCTTTTACAGGGCAAGTCTTGGGCGAAAAGTAGAAAGGATGAAAATCCCTGAGAGAGGTGACAACGTGGCAACTTTTTTTTTTTTTTTTTTTTTTTTGAGACAGCATTTCACTCCCGTTGCCTAGGCTGGAATGCAGTGGCACGATCTTGGCTCACTGCAACCTCTACCTCCCGGGCTCAAGCTATTCTCCTGCCTCAGCCTCCTGAGGAGCTGGGAGCACAGGCATGTGCCACCACACCAGGCTAATTTTTGTGTTTTTTTGTAGAGATGGAGTTTCGCCATGTTGCCCAGGCTGGTCTCAAACTCGTGGGCTCAAGCAATCTGCCTGCCTCAGCTTTCTGGGATTATAGACGTGAACCACCGTGCCTGGCTGAGGTGGTTCTCATACAAAGCAGAGAAAACCATCTTTAGTTCAAAACAAATTAATAAGTATTGAGTGTCTATGTAGAAAAAGACTAGAAGGAAACGTGAACATGTTAACAGTGTTTGTCTGGAGGACGCAATTATTATTGATCATTTCCTTTACATTTTCTAATTTAATTATTTTGTCACAAGTAGGTGTGATTTTTAAAATCACAAAAGATAAACGTTGGTTTTTTGTTTGTGTTTTGTTTTTTGAGACAGGGTCTCATCCTGTCACCCAGGAGCTGGAGTACAGTGGTGTGGTCATAGCTCACTGCAGCCTCAAACTCCTAACTCAAGCAATCCTCCTACCTGAGCCTCCTGAGGAGCTGGGACTACAGGCAAGCGCCACTACCCCTAGCACCTCTGTTGCCCAGACTGGTCTCGAACGCCTGGCCTCAAGCGACTCTCCCACCGCAGCCTCCCAAAGCTGGGATTACAGGCGTGAGCCACCACGCCCAGCAAAGATTGCTTTTCAATCAGGAAGACAGATGCTTCTTAGCACTTCTTGTTCTTCTTCTTTTTTTTTTTTTTGATACGGAGTATTGCTCTGTTGCCCAGGCTGGAGTGCAGTAGCACAGTCTCGGCTCACTGCAACCTCTGCCTCCCGGGTTCAAGAGATTCTCCTGCCTCAGCCTCCAGAGTAGCTGGGATTACAAGCGTGCACCACCATACCTGGCTAATTTTTGTATTTTCAGTAGAGATGGGGTTTCGCCATGTTGACCAGCCTGGTCTTGAACTCCTGACCTTAAGGGATTCACCCGCCTTGGCCTCCCAAAGTGTTGGGATTACATGCGTGAGCCACCACCCTCGGCCTGCTTCTTAGCACTTCTAACCTCTGCCCCTTGGCATCACCTGGCCAAGCAGATGAAAAGTTCCAGTGAGCTGTCAGCCGGCACCAGGCTGGGGTCTTCCCTAGGCAGCTCCAAGTGGCTAGGATCTGGCTTCTTTTCCAGAGCTGGGTCCAGAAACCAAGATCGGGAATGCGTGATGGCTGCTCTGCGGGCCCTTGCTATGAGGTCACTTCCCTGGTTCCAGTGATCGGCCGCTGGCTGTAGGGAGCATGTGGGTTCAGCCAGGGTTTGTGTCAACATGGCTCTGCTCTATCCACGGCCTAGTGGGTTCCTCCACCCCCCGCTGCATGACAACCCCAGGAAAAATGTTAGGAGGGAGGGAGCCGCTGGGGGTGTGACAGGAGAGACTTTCCAGGGACAGATTTGTAAAAACTGCTTCAAAGTCCTCTCCAAGGACTTTCAAGGCCTCCACTGCCCCCTACTGACAGGTCACGGCTCGGGCAGAGAAAGCTGGGGATGGAGCTGGCGGGGGGAGGGTGGCCAGCACCCGCAAGGCAAGGAGATGAGCTGGGAGAACAGGGGCTGGGAGGGCAGCCCCAGGCCAGCTCCTGTCTCCAGAACCACTGTCTCCCTCCTCTGGCCACAAAGTGAGGCTGGCCAGACACAGGCCTACTCCACAGGCTGGGAGGCTGGGCGTGAAAGCACTGTGCTTGCATGGGGTACCCCATGGTGAATACCATCAGAGCCAACCCCCAGGGTCTGCTGTCCTACAGGGAAGCCAGTGTAAGGCGCCCATGGAACCCAGAAGCATCTAAAGGATTTGACAGCCATGAGCTGGGAGGATCCAGTTCTGTAGCAGGAGAAAGAGAGGCAGAGAGACAGGTTTCGCAACATCTGCCCCATCCGCTGTGTTGCCCTGAGCACAGCCCACCCCTCTGTGGTCCCGAGTCTCAGCTCTGAGGTCTCTAAGACCCCCTGGGTCCCCGCAGCTCAGGATGCTCACTTGAAAACCAGGCCCAGCCAGCAGGGCCTCCCTCGTCAGCCTATTACTGGCCAGCTCCTGCCCAGCACCCTCCAGCTCATTATCCCCATCTGTGCAAACTCCACACCAGCACCCTAAGCCCTTCTTCCTCCAGGAAGGAGACTGTCCCCAGATGTGTCCCCTGTTCCCTTTCGATCAAAGCCCAGAAAACAGGAACCAGCCTTGCGCCTCCTCTCCCCACCGAACTGTTGGCCTTTTTGGATGCCCTCTCTGATTCTCTGCCAACATCCCCACAACACAATCAGCCCTCAGTCCCTCCCCAAATGCAATCGGCGAGCACGCTGTAGCCCAGGCGGACGGTGATGTCCCCATTTTGCAACCTGCGAGAGCCAGCACACCTCTCAGCCAGGTGGGCTGCAGGAGCCAGTCGTGGCGAGGGCAGGAGGCCTGCGTGCTGACGGCATCGGCACCATCAAAATTACGGTCAGATCAAGGTCACGGTCAACGAGCTTCTCCACCTGCAATTTCCTCCTCACCAAGGTGGCCTCAGCCTCAGCCTCGGCCTCAGCCTTGGTCTTGGCCTCAGGAGCTGCAGACACACCCCCAAGTCCCCACCCCAGGAGCTTGGCCTCACACACACCGGAGGACACGGAGCTGGGGCACAAATAGCCAAGAACAGGTACATCTGCAACCAGGAGCAGGGGGCGGAGGGCTGCTGAGATGCTCCCATTCTCACCGGCTGCCTCCTCTGACGGCTTACCACTTATTATACACTGACTGTATAACCAGGGCTGTGACATGTCTGCTTCTTACATTATATCATTAAATCCCCAAATTTGTCCCCAATTTACATACGATGAGGCAAATTCAGAGTCAATAACCTGCTTATCAGCTTCTGAACCCATGGGTGGCTCTAACCTCCCTCCTTCCAGCTCCTTTGGGCCCACATGAGTACTGAGGCACAAGGGAACCCCACCAGCTGGGAAGTGTGCCCTCCCTCTGCTGACCCCACAGCCCTCCCAGCCTGTGCCTGAAGCTGCCAACACCCTCCCATCCAGCACTGCTCTCTGTAGCCTGAGCTGTCGCTGTGTGACCCAGGGTTAGTGCCCTAACCTCTCTGGACTACATCTGCAAGATGAGGATGCCGCCGCACAGCCTACTTCAAATGGTCACTAAGTTGCCTGCACAGCTAACATCTGCCGAGCCTGTGACACGACCAGCTTTGCTTCAATTTCGAATGTGGTACTCCCACCCAGTTTGGGGGTGGAACTGTTAGTTCCTCTTTTTCTGGATAAGGAAGTTGAAAGGCTCCAGAAGGCACCAAGGTCAGCTGATCTGCCAGTAGGTACAGTGTCCACCTGTCACTCACAGCCCTCCCTTGACCGCTTCGCCTGTCTCCCCAGTTGAGATTCTGTGTGTACTTGAACACTTTGCCAATGGTTGAACCTGCACCAGGGTCACTGTGTCAGCTGGGCCTGCCAGGCCACCGTCCCCGAGCTCTGTCCAAGGCAGGGCCAGTGTTCATACCTTGCTTCCTTGCCAGTGTCCCACCCAAGGCCCTGGAAAGGCCCTGGAGTCAGAGATCCGGCTAAATCCTGGCAATGCCCCATACCTGCTGTGTGACTATGGGCCAGCGACTCAGCCTCTCTGTGCCTCCCGGGTTGCTGTGAGGGTTACAGGAGATGCACAGAGGGCCCTGAGCTTGGTGGCTGGCATGCTGCAAAGGCTAGTTACGTGGTGCAAGGATGGCACTGATGACAATAAATGAATCGAACGAAAACCAGGCTAACTGGGCCTGGGGAGGGGCGCTGGTTAAACAGACCCGAGTGGATCAGGACCTTGCACATGATGAGCAAGCGGGAACAGCTCCAAATAGCAAGTCGGGCAGGCCCAGGATGACTCAGCCCTGGGTGCTGTCCAGGGCCCCCTCTCGGCTCCCCTGCCGGCCTGGTCTCCTCCTGTTCCAGCCTGACTGCCCCTATGGGCTCCAACAAGTTCCTGACCAGGACTGAGGCAGAACAGACAGGGCTCAAGACCCTGCAGGCAGGCACAGAGTGTGGATGGCAAAAGGAGATGCTCCAGGCCCCCTGCCGTCCTTCCCTCCCCGAAGGCTGACAATGTCAACCTACAGAAGAAGCTGTTCTTCCCGGCCTCGGATCCCATCTCAATACAGTGTATGAGGCAGCTGTGCCCAAGGGGTGTGACCACTCCTGCAGATGGAACCCATTCACTGTGCCCAGCCCATTGCCAGAGCCCGGAGGACGGGGGAAGTGAGGTGGGGCATCTCCCACAGTGAAGGGAAAACCCAGTCTAGCTATTTTTTCTTGTGTTGCTTCTGGAACTCACCCTGTCATGGCTCTACCCTAACTCAGCTTCCCAAAGCCTCAGAGAGCTTTGTCCTTTCCCCTGCATCCCATCTCGTCCACTTGTGCTGGGTTAGTCCCCCAGAAGCCCCGTCTCCTGTCACTCCCAGGGCACCAAGGCTGGTTGGTGGGTTTAGGGATTCCCATCTTCTGATCCAGCCCCAGTGGCTCACCCCACACTCACCGGCACTCACAGGTGTGTCTCCCACCTCCGGCCTCTGCACAGGCGGCCCCACATTCTGGGAGCTCAGCCTCCCCCAAGGACTCACGCCAGAGCACAGGGACCTCTGTCTCTGACTCCTTCTTAGCTCCAATCACGAGCAGTCCATGTCATAGCAATTCCTTAGCTGCTTGTAGCTGTCTGCTAAGTTATGATAATGGCCTTTGCCCTCTAATCTAATGTCTGCATACAGACAAATCGCCACATTCTAAGCAGACCAGATACCACTTCCTCCAGGAAGTCTTCCCTGACTGCTCCAGTTGGACAGAGGCTTCCCTCCTTTGTGCTCCCCTAATGCTTAACAGGCATTCACTGAGCACCCGTGACATGCAAGGCACCCACAACACAAGTCAGTGTCCCCTGCCCTCCCAGAGGGCATATGAACAAATAAACGGCAAGACTCTCCAATACTCATCCATGCCCCATAGAAAGCCACCCACAGGCATGGGAGGGCTGTTTTAACTGCGGGTGACAGGGAGGCCTCTCCAAGATGGCAGCGCTTCAGCAAGACCTGAATGAGGCGGCCAGGAGGTCTAGGGAGGGACTTTCCAGGAGGGAACAAGTGAATATTCTTCCGTGAGGATGAGCCCTCATGTTCCAGGAGCAGCCAGGCCAGGGGACCGGTGCAGTGAACAGGGGCTGAGGGGAGTGGCCAGGTGACGTAGGGTCTCACAGGCCGCCCCACGATGAGTCAGCGCCCCAAGCACAGCAGACACCCAGGGAAGGTTTAGGCTGGGGAGTGATCTGAACAGATTCTCCATCCAGGAGCTCACCGGGGCTCCTGGGCTCACGCTGTTGCGCCACTGCATGCCTCCGGGGGCTCGGGGGGGCACCCTTTACACCATCATCACAGGCAGCACTCCTGGGGGAGGTGTGCTGTGCAGGGGACTCGCTGGCCACCCTGTCGGGCAAACCACAGGGGACTGTGTAGGACAGGCGGTCAGTTCAGGAGGGACAACTACCCAAGCAGGGGTCAGAGGGCACTCGGATTCGGGAGGAGTGCTCAACTTCTCAGGCCCAGGCAACCAGAGGTGGGGGGCGGGGTGCTGCTTCCTGACATGGGAGGCCTGGGGGCCTGGCTGCATTTCCTGGTGTGGAGGTGCTGGGAGGTGTGGAGGCCTCCTCCTGAGGCTGGGACCCTCTGGCCATCCTGACCCACTGTTCCGATCCTATCCTCCAGTCTGAGGGCATGGCCTGAACTCACAGCCGCACACACTCCCCTCTGCACAGGGCCCTGCGGGGCCGGCACAGCAGCCTCTCCTCTACAGATCAGGATGCTCAGCTCCAGGAGGGCTGGGACTGTCCAAGACCGCACAACCAGGGTCAGACACAGCTGGGCCAACCTTGTGACTTCTGGCTCCACGCACAGATTCTAAGCACACAGGTAAAACTCTGCTGGCTGGGAGGGTTGGGGGGTAGATGAGCGGGGGGCAGCTTCCTCTTAGCCTCCCAACATGCCAGGTCCCTGGGTGGGAGGGGGCACAAAGACCCTACCTTTCCCAAGAGACAGAGAAAGAGGCAGTGGAGGGTCCCTCTCTGGCTGAGGCTCCAGGTCCTGAGTGGTGAATGCAACCCCACTTGGAGGCTGGAAGTCAGGCGGCCTTGGGGGTGTGCGAGGCCCGCCAGCTCAGCTGCAGCTCCTTCCATGTAAGGGAACCCCCCCCAGGCAGCGTCCCCATGACCAGAGAGGGGGCCAGGAAGAGGTGAGGGCTGTATCCAGAGTGACACTCGGGTGGGCTTCACCCTGGGGACACGGTCACATCCCCCTCCCGGACCTCTGAAGCCCTCAGGTGCGGGTCAAGGGCTCTCAGCTGCAGGCAGGAGAGGGCCCCACAGCCACAGATCTGGGGAGTCCAGCTTGCAAAGCCCAGAGGCTTCCGGAGGCCGCTGGCCCGGCTTCCTGTGCAGCTGGGTTTTCCTGGGAGGCCCTCCTCCGGCACTCTCAGTCCCCAGCCCGCACGACCTCCCACAGCTGGGCCCATCTTCCCAGGCCCGGGTCACATGGTGCAGGTCAGTGGGGCTCTGGGGGAGGGCAGGGCGCCAGGAACAGCCCCGGGGGTGGGGGGACTGGAGCAGAGCTCACTTTGGCCGCCTGCCCACTTTGCATGAAGGACGCTAGACTTCCACATGTGGTCACTCGACTTCGCCCAACTATGCGTAAGTCCTGGTTACCCTCACCCTACTGATGGGAATTAAACTGGCCAAGGAGAAGCTCAGAATCTGAGCAGAGCAGGGGTCCAAGCCTCCCAGGAGTTCTAGGTACCCCCCAGCCCCTCCTTCCGAGTACTGAGTCCACACACTCAGTGCCCGGATGCCCATTCACTTGGGGGCCCGGCGACCGCCAGTCAGCATGGCTTACAAAGGGCTTCTGTGCAACAGGTCTCATTTGATCCTCCCAAAAACCCTCCGAGGCAGGACAATGTTATTCAACCCATTTTACAGACAAAGCAACTGAGTCATAAAATGGCTTGCCAAAAGATACAGAGGCAGAAAGATCAACAGCAAAGAGCTTCTCTGTGATCCTGACCAGCAAGGCCCCCAGAAAAAAGCAAGGGACCCCGAGGCCCTCACAGGAACAGAGTCCTGGAGGAGAACAAGAGCTTAGCCTCATGCTACCCTCAAGGGGTACCTTGAAGGTCAAGGTATTGGGCCCAAGCAGGCTGGACTGTGTTCCCTGTACCCCTCCCACCTCCTGAAGCCCCTTCCCTCCCACCCAGGTGGGCCGTGGAGGTGTCCACAACATATAATGGAACAGCTGGTAGGTCACTGGGCCCCCCACTGAGCCAAGGGGCTCGACCAGAGGCTCAAACAGTGGCACAGAAACCATGAGCCTCGCTGCAAACCAGCTCAGGCTTTGGAGTCAAGCAGCCCTGTGTTCACAGCCAGGGTCAGCCGCTTCTAGCTGTGTGGCCTGAGGCCAGTTCCTCAACCTCTCTGTGCCTCGGTGCCTTCTCTGCAGTAGTAACAGGAACCGTTTTCTACGGCGATAGTGCAGATACATCCCATGAAGCGCATAAAGCTTCGAGCCCAGCGCCTGGAGTACGTCAGGACGCAGTAAGTGGTCACTTATGATTCATGAAATATTAATAAGGTGAGGGGTGGAATGACAGCCTCCTTGCGTTGTCCCTAAAATGGAAACAAATCTGCTCAGCGCTCAAAGCAGCAGAAAGTGAGCCAAGGACAGGCTCCCAGCGACATGCCCTGGCAGAGTGTTCCCTGCTGGCCCCAGGCAGGGCTCAGGGCGGGCGGCCACCCTCCAGATGAGCTCATCGCTGGCACCTGCTTCCAGAGCACATGCCTGGACTTTCCAGATCTTTCCTCCCCTCTCTCTGACCTTCCCCTACTCTGCAACCCCCACCTCCTGCCACTTTCTTACTCACTCTCTCCTTTCATTCCTGTTCAAAAACAAATAATGGAGGCCAAATGTGTCAGCTGGCTCCCTGGAAAGGCTTCCCTGCAGCAGGAACGCGACGGGGGCAGTGGAGGATTGCTCAGCGCAAGCCACGTGATCTCCGCGCGGAGCCGGGGAAGGGGAGGCGCTGAGATCGAGGGTGCTAGGATCGAGGCACTGAGATGGGGTCACTGGACAATGGCCAGGGCCAGCTCCCGTTCCCACCCCAACAGGGGCCCCCACATTCAGGGGCCACATCTCTAAAGTCTCTTGGACAAGAGAGACAAATCCCATCACAGGGTCAGAAACGCTGCCTCCAGGCCGCCATCTGGGTGGGGGTGAGAGATGCCTCGCCGGTTCCTAAACATTCACTCTGTGGACAAAACTATCAAGGGGAACTCAATGTTTCCACAGCAGCTTGGTCAAGATATAGGTATCAGGCCGGGCGCAGTGGCTCACGCCTGTAGTCCCAGCACTTTGGGAGGCTGAGGCGGGCGGATCGCTTGAGGCCAGGAGTTCGAGACCAGCCTGGCCAACATGGTGAAACTCCATCTCTACTAAAAATACAAAAATTAGCCAGGTGTGGTGGTGTGAGCCTGTAGTCCCAGCTACTCAGGAGGCTGAGACAGGAGAATTGCTTGAACCCTGGAGGTGGAGGTTGCCATGAGTGGATATCACACCATTGTACTTCAGCCTGGATGACAGAGCGAGCAAGACAGCCTCAAGAAAAAAAAAGATGCAGGTATTGTCTCAGGGTTCACAAGTATAACCTGATCCCTGATGTTGGCATTTAATCCTGATGCAGATCCCAGCAGGAAAAGGGAGACGAACCAGAAGGCTGTGGGGACGAGGGGTTTACAGCAGTGCTTATTAGACTTGCTCTGGCAGGCACAAGTGTCCCCTGGAGGCTGCTAGACAAGCAGAGGGCCCACCCCAGAGACTCTGGTTCTGGAGGGCTGGGTTAGGGCCCAGGAAGCTGCATTTCGGCAGGGAATTCAGAGCTATCCTGAGTCCTACTTTGGAAGCAAGAGCCAGGGGGCAGAACAGAACCGGAACCAAAAGCTTCTGTGGGCCCAGTTTCATGGGGATGGGCCCGGTTTCATGGGGATGGACCCCTGCACCATCCGAGGTGACCATTAGCCCGGCTCCCCGGGACCAGCCCTGAGTGCTCCCTGGGGAAAGCGGGACCTGCAGAGGATGGTTTTCCAGGATCCGCCTGACCACCCACCCCCAGCCCGCTCTTACCCCAGCTTCCCTGACCTCCATCCTCCACCTAGAACTCTGGAGACCTGGCCCTGGAGGCCCAGAGACCAGAAATGAGGGGAGACAAGGGGAGAAGCTCCCCTCCCCATTCGCTGGCCACGCCAATGGGCTGACCTCCCAGGAAGCCACACCAGCCACTGCTACTGTCCTGGCCGCCCCGCCTGGCCCCGAGGCTGGGTGAGCAAGCATTCCGTTCTGCCTGCTTCTTCACCTGAGTCTCCTGCTGATGTCACGAGAGGCCTGACCACGCGCCCAGGAGGTACAGGACAGAGCCCAGAGCTGTTCAAGAACACATAAGGCTGAGGCCCGGGTCCTGCACCTGGGAAGGGCCAGGAAGGGTTAAAGGAAAACCCCAGCTGAGCACAATGGCTCATGCCTGGAATCCCAGCACTTTGGCAGGCCAAGGCAGGAGGATCATTTAAGCCCAGGAGTTGGAGTTCAGCCTGGGAAATATAGTAAGACTCCATTTCTACAAAAAAAAATTAAAATTAAAAAATTAACCAGGCATGGTGGCACACACCTGTAGTCCCAGCTACTTGGTAGGCTGAGATGGGAGGACTGCTGAGCCTAGGAGGTCGAGATCACAGTGAGCGGGACATTGGGCCATTGAACTCCAGCCTGGGCGACAGAGAGAGACCGTCTCAAAAAAAATCCCTACACTCCATGGAGCTTAGCAGAACCTTCGGCCAGGGTGTCTCGACTGTGAAATGAGCGTGGCAGCTGCCAATCCCCGAGGGTGAAGACCCATCCACTAGCAACCTGCACCCTGGCACGGTGAGAGGAAGTGCCTGGGGAAAGACGTCGGCCGAGGCAGAGAGCTCAGCCCAATCCACCGTGGAGGAGCCACTCCAGTTCCAAAGAGAAAGATCAATAAACCTCAGGTGAATGGCCCAAAAGCCATCCCTGTACACGCAGAGGGTGCATTCTGGGACATGTGGATACCTTCTCCCAGGACAGGAAGCAAAACCAGCAGGCAGAGACGTGAGCCTCCCTGCTCTTGCCGGAGCCAACCTGGAGCCCTCATCTCGGTCCCCAGGGAAGCACAGACCCCCACCTCCACCGCAGCCAAAAGACTTCCTGTTGACTTTCCCAGCAGCATCCAGCCCAGTCTTGTGGGGAGAGGCGGCAGGGGGAGGAGACAGAGAAAGATGAGCTCCTGGCAGCTGTGACTGGGGGGAGAGAAATGCGGTTCCAATCTGTTCCTGCTCACCCCACAGACGGGCGGTGTCTTATTTCAAAATCCAGGGCAGCTGAGGGACTGAAGGAAGAGGGGGACACCTTCTAACTGGGGTTTTCTTTCATTTCACCCCATGGCGCCTTACACAGGAAAGAGCTGGAAGGTCTCGGGCTCCTGGCATCCAGCCAAAGTCTCAGGCAGGGGCCCAGACACTGGGCTGTGTTATCACTCCAGGTAGCCCGGGAGTCAGCGACGGCAGAGCTCCACCCCTACCCCGACCACTGCACAGTACCCCGTCTCCAGGACAGCTCAGCAGCCAGGCTGCTCCAGGGTTCAAATCCAGACACTTAACTGTGGGGGCCTCAGGCAAGTGGCTGAAGCTCTCTGCGCCTTGATTTCCTAATCTGGAAAATGGGATGATGAAAGTAACTGTTGGGCAGGGCAAGGGGTAAGTGAAAGCCAGCGTTTGAGAGTGATGTGGTTAGGACCGTTGTTGTGACCACATACTGAGCCTTCTCCTCCCACCTGAGACAAGGGTTTCACTGACTGTTGCCAGAAAGATCTAGACCCAGAAGGACCAGGAAAGTCGTCTCATTCACAATCCCAGAGGGAAGGGGAGGTCCCCGTGCCAGCTGGCTGCTGCAGGGGAGAGGGTGGGAGACAGATGGGGGACAGAGGAGCAGGGGCAGCAGGAGGAACGGCCGGCAGGGAAGTCCGCCTGAGATCTAAAGGACTGTCCACCAGGAGGACAGCTCAGGCTCTCCCCACTGAGAAAGACTCCTCTGGACAGTTGGGCTGAGGATTCCCAGGTCCTCTGGGTGGAGCAGAATCAGCCATCACTGAAGCCACACAGGCTTGCAAGCACAAGTGGGGGACTGCCCAGGTATCTCTGTTTCACAGGGGCCAGGCACCAAGGCCAGGGTGGCCAGAGGACATGACGCAGCCCAGTAGGGGCCTCGCAGAACCACCAGCCAAGAAGACACATGCAGAAGCACGCAAGTGTTCCGAGGAGGCAAACTTCCTGCTGGACTGAACATGGGGAGCTGAGCTTCCAATCACTGAGCCGGGCTGTCCGGCCCGCTTCTCTCTTCCTGAACAGAAGGTCCCCAGACAGAGCAGCCAGGCAACAGCATGGCCAAGCAGGGGTCTGCATTCCAGTCCTGCCCTGCAGCCTGACCAGGCTGTCGCCCTCCCAGGAGACACGGGACTGGCCAGGGCTCCCCTAGGCTGCCACAGGAATAAGGCAGGGCTGTGACCTCTTCCATGGCCCAGGCACCTGGGGGAGGGACCATGAGCTCCAGTTCAGGGGACAGACAGGAAACGGATAGTCCGCCCTCCCCCCAACCACGGAGCTGGCTTCTCCTCCACCGCATCCTCCCCAGCCATGCCCCCCACCAGAAGACCACCGCACCCAATGGGTGGTTTTGCAGCGACACCCAGCCCAATGAAGTTACCTGGTGGGGGCCTTGGGGGATGCAGCCTCCTGAAATACACACGGGCAGTGGGTGAGTCGGAGGCTGCGTGGGGCCTTGCTTCCTGGGGATGGCCAGGAGGTGCCTCAACCATCTGTAACCCGAGCCCACAGTGACCGGGACTTGCTGCTTCCCCATCCCAGCCCTCTCCTATCAGCATCCGCTAAGCGTCAGTCAGCAGGTGCCGGCACGGCCTAAGGCAGGCCTGCAGTTAGACCAGCACCGGGGGAGGGACCGGGAGAGAGACCTCTAGAGTGGAAGCCACAGCCCCTCTTCCTCCTAGGCTGGGCAACAGACCACCATTCCCAGCCAGCCCTGGGGAAGGGGGAGGGGTCAGCTGGGTCGCAGGTACAGCGCTGGGGTCCCCTGAGGTGGCTGCTGCTGATTACGGCCCCTCTTCTTCCTGGGCTGGGCAACAGACCACCATCCCCGGCCCACCCTAGGGAAGCGGGAGGGGTCAGCTGGGGCACAGGTACAGCGCCGGGGTCCCTGCGGCGGCTGCTGCTGACCACGGGCCTGTTACTCCTCCTCCAGCTGGGTTGCCACTCCGGTCCTGAAAGCGCCTCCCTCAGCTCCCAACTCGTGCCCAGGAGGCAGCCGACACCCCAAGCGCTGCCACAGCAGGAGGCTGGGCCTGCAAGTGTGACCCGCCTGGGGAGGGGCAGAGGGAAAGACCACCTCCGTTCAAACAGCGGCCTTCTCCCTCCCCTCGGGGGTTCCCACAGGGTCTCCAGTCTCTCTCTGGCCAAGAGGTAAGGAGAGGCAGGAAAGTTTCAGGAACATCGGCAGAGAAGAGACAGGGCAGGCTGCTAGAGGAAGCAGGTTGTAGGGTGCCTAAGGCTTCAGGCTGGGCTTTGGGAGGCCAGGGTATGGGCAACCAGGAGGCTCAGGCAGGGAAATCTGTCCCGCAGGGACCCTGGGAGACAGGGGAGAGGGGACATGACAGCCGTCCCTTGCTGCCTCCTGGCTGTGGCTTCCAGGGGCCTCAGCTCAGACCAGAAGCACCCCATGCACCGGGTCTCGGTCCAGCCTGGAAGCACGGCCCACAGACCTACATGACTACCTGGGCAGTGATCCCCAAAAGGTCCCCCGTCACCAGCTGGGGAGCTCCCGAGGGGAGGGTGGCTTTGCAGAGCATCTGGAGACATCAATGGGCCGTGAGGAAAGGAGGAGGCGTGGACATCCTCACGGCCTTAAGAGAAAATCAAGGCAGAGCTGGAGGCTGGGCGTGGCGGCTCACACCTGTAATCCCAGCACTTTGGGAAGCCGAGGTGGGCAGATCACTTGAGGTCAGGAGTTCAAGACCAGCCTGGCCAACATGGTGAAAACCGGTCCCTGCTAAAAATACAAAAACTAGCCTGCCATGGTGACACGCGCCTGTAGTCCCAGCTACTCAGGAGGCTGAGGCAGGAGAATTGCTTGAACCCAGGAGGTGGAGATTGCAGTGAGCCAAGATGGCACCACTGCACTCCAGCCTGGGCAACAGAGTAAAACTCCATCTTAAGAAAAAAAAAGAGCAGAGCTGGAGGCCAGGCGGCTCTCAGAGCCTGACAAGGAGGCCGTGGGGCTGGGCTGCCTTTCCGGCCATCTGAGGGGCAGGGACTGGCCCAGCCTGAGCTTCAGACCCACAAGAGGCTGAACCGGAGCGGGACTCCGAGATGAGGCAGGGCTATCCTGTCCACACCTGTGTCCAGGCCTCAACAGCCACCCTCTCCAGGAACTCAGTTTGATGGTCTCTCAGGCTGAGAGGCTGTCAAGGGGCTGTAAGGTGCCGCAACGTGTGAGTCGGTGGGTTCTGATGTGTGACAGCTCGGGGCACTCCCCCCACCGCCAGGGAACAGGAATGAGGAGCCCCCCACTCCCAGTGTCTGGCAGGTAGGAGGCCGCCACTGGACTGTGTGCCCAGGTGCCACCAGACCCCGAGGGCCCACGGATACGGCACATGACCTTTAATGACCAACGCCTGTGCAGCAGGTGCTGAGGTGCCCCAACCCCGAGCAAGGCTGGGTTCCTGGAACCCCCCCTCCGGTAGGAGGATTTGCAGCTGAGGAATTCTTAAGAAATTTTTTGGTAGCAAACAAAGCATGGGGCTGGACGGTGGACCTATGAGTGCCCTCACATGAATGCGGATATAGACAGAAAAGACGGCAAACATTTGTGAACAAAAGGAATGGCTCCTGCGTATTGAACTTCCACTTACCGGCCCTTGTCTGGTATAAAGTCCTCAGGAACTCTCCAACAGCTTCAGTTAGAAACGTGCTTTTGTTTGGCTATGTGGAAAATTCTATACACACTAAGATATATGATGTTTCTGGTCCTCTCTACGAATGTTCTATGCTTTCTGGGTTTATGATTTGGAATTTGCAGACCTCTGCTGCCTCTGTTCCAGAGTCACAAGGATCTTGGATGCAGGAAACATTTTCTATGTGCAAGGGCCCCCTTCCCCTCTGCCAGGGTCCATCGGCCTCTCTCTGTCCACAGGTGTCACCCAAACCCTTGCACCTGTGGCCTCCTCTTTCTAATTACCTCGTGCAACTCGTCAACAGCTTCCCCACCTCCAGAGCTTGGCTGCTGGAGACACACAAGGCACACAGAATCCGTGAAATGACACTGAGCATCTATTAGGCACTTATTGTGTGCCTCGTTTGGTAATAATAAGTAAAATCACAATGCTCTGGGCACATGAGTACACTTCCTTATGTTCATCCTCCCAGCAACTCAATGAGATGGCTCTATAAATGGGGAAACTGAGGACAGGGAGGCCAGATTGGCCCAAAGCCACAGGTTAGGAGGGGTAGGGCCAAAATTCAAATCCAGATAGTCTGGTACCAAATCCCAGTTTTTCACACGAAAGGCATCTTGTAACTCCTCGAGAAGGCTGGGACTATTATTTTCATTGTACAGATGAGGAAACCAAGATGCCAAATGGCCAGACAGCCCTGGAGCCAGGAGGTGGGCCCAGTGGCTTATGGGAGCACATGGAATGGAGCCCATGGGAGGCTCGAGGTTGGGATCCCGCATCTTATCCTGGTCTAAGGGATGAGGTGACTGGGAGTGTCAGAGACACTCTGGGACTGGCCATCCAGGTGCTCTGCATCCAGTTCCAGCGTTGAGTGGGCGAGGGTGGACAACCTGCCACCCAGCAGGGCTGCTGTCCGTATCCCGGTGGCTCTTCAAAGCCTGGCTAAGCAAAGCAAGACTGTCCTCGGACCAGAGTGACCCCCAAGCCACACAAGCACTCAGTTATGCTTCGGAGGATGCAGGACTGGGAAGGTCTTCCTCCCACCGCATCCTCACCCAGCTCCTCCATGGGGCAGCTGGCTCCAGGCACAGACCAGACGTCCCTCTCCCTGCCTGCTGCCGGCATGTCCCTGGCTTCACTGCTGCTTCAGGGAGGGGCCCAAGAGCTCCCCGGCCCCGTTATTCATCACACTCCGTTCAGAGGGCCGGGGGCTCAGCACCAACGCCAAGCATCCAGCAGCAAAACCACGGGTTGGAAAGAGCCACAGTGCTGCTCTGATCTGGCCCCATCCCATACCGGGTGCCGTTCTCACCAGCTCCTTCCTGTTCCTGGCCCCACCTCTCAGGTACCACAAGCTCTGCAGGTCCAAAGCCAAATTCACCAGCCCTTGACCCTCTCCAGCTGGGATTAGGGTGAGGCCTTCGTCCAGGTGCAAAAGTTAAGGCAGTGCCAAAAAATCCAGGAATCAAACAATATTTTGAAGCAACATTTTAAACAAATCAAATTCCACGCTGAACAAACTCTGACAGGGCTGTGCACGTGCAGGGCTGGGCCTGTCTTAATTTAAAATTCCAACATTTGTTCATCATAGAGATTACTATGCATCATTTCGATATTGAAAAATACTGCATTAAATACTATCTGTGTTGATTCCTGAGCTCTTTGGTGTCCCCTTACATTTTGCTCCTGACAAGTGCCTGACACACCTTGCCCCAGCCGGCCCTGCTCTCCAGGTGCCCTCCTGGGGCTGTCCTGCCCACGCTCCTCGCAGCCACCAGGAGCCACTGAGCCACTGCATCTGCCTTATTTTGCTCCTTATGCCTCCGCACCGTCCACCTCGCCATGCTTCCCTCGTGTGCCTTGGTCGCACGTCAGCTCCAGACAGGAGCCCGGTGGGCTGGGAGCTCATACTAATGCTGCCTTCCCTCGGCTTCGGTGCCGGGCACAGGGCAGCACTGGAGATTTCTTTTTTTTTCTTTTTTTTTTTTTTTTTGAGACATAGTCTCACTCTGTCACCCAGGCTGGAGTGCAGTGGCGCAATTTTGGCTCACTGCAACCTCCACCTCCTAGGTTCAAGCTCTGCCTCCTGGAATCAAGCAGATTCTCCTGCCTCAGCCTACCGAGTAGCTGGGACTACAGGTACACGCCACCACACCCAGCTAATTTTTATATTTTTAGTAGAGACGGGGTTTTGCCATGTTGGCCAGGCTGGTCTCGAACTCCTGACCTCAGGTGATCTGCCTGCCTCAACTTCCCAAAGTGCTGGGATTACAGGTGTGAGGCACCACGCCTGGCCGAGACTTCTTGAATAAACAAACATTACCGGCATGGAGATCCGCCCAGGGAACCTGCTCAGACTCTGCCATTGCACCTCTGCCTGCTGCGCCCAGAGGCAACCCAGGGCCGCTCCAGCCGCCTCCACCTGGCCACCTCCTGGCCCTCACCCAGGCCGGCTTGTCCCACCCTGTGGGCCAAGAAAACGATCTAGTGGGTGGTGACCAGCATTTTTTTTTTAATTTGAAAAGAATACACTCACCAGCGGTGGCAGCAACCCAATGTCCCTCAGCTGATGAAGGCAACATGTCTGTCCACAATGGAATGGTCCATGCCATGGTGGAATATTACTCAGGGACGCACTGGCACCTGCCACAATGTGGATGGACCTTGGAAACATGACACCAAGTGGAGAAGCCAGACACAAAGGCCAAACGTGCAATTCTCTGTACAAGAAATGTCTAGAATCGGCCAGGCGCAGTAGCTCACGCCTGTAATTCCAGAACTTTGGGAGGCCAAGGCAGGAGGATCATTTGAGCCCAGGAGTTCAAGACCAGCCTGGGCAACATGGTGAAACCCCATCTCTACAAAAAATACAAAAATTAGCCGGGCATGGTGGCACAGGCCTGTAGTCTCAGCTACTCGGGAGGCCATGGTGGGAGGATGGCTTGAGCCTGGGAGGTGGAGGTTGCAGTGAGCAGAGATTGAGCCATTGCACCCCAGCCTGGGTGACAGAGTGAGACCCTATCTCAAAAAAAAAAAAAAAAAAAAAAAGAATCCACACAGATAGGAAGGAAATATGGAGGAGGAGGGCAGGATTGATAGCTAAAGGCTACGGGGTTTCTTCTTAAGAAAAAAATTTTCTAAATTTCTCAAATTTTCAATTTTCTAAAATTGGTTGTGGTGACGATGGTTGCACTACTCTCTGAATAGACTGAAAACCATGGAATTATGCACTTTAAATGGGTGGATTGGGCCACGCGGTGACTCATGCCTGTAATCCCAGCACTTTGGGAGGCTGAGGCGGGTGGATCACCTGAGGTCAGGAGTTCGAGACCAGCCTCAACATGGAGAAACCCCGTCTCTACTAAAAATACAAAATTAGCCGGGCGTAGTGGTACATGTCTGTAATCTCAGCTACTCGGGAGGCTGAGGCAGGAGAATTGGTTGAACCCAGGAGGCGGAGGTTGCAGTCAGCCGAGATGGCGCCACTGCACTCCAGCCTAGGCGACAAGAGTGAAACTCCGTCTCAAAAAAATAAATAAATAAATAAATTGGTGGATTGTATAGTAGCTTACTTGGATCTCAATAAAGCTGTTTAAAAAAAAATGAAAAAAAGCCTTCCCTCTCTCCAAAACAAACAAACAAAAAGAAAAAAAGAGAGAGGGGAAAAAAAAAAAAAAAAAGAAAATACTGAGTGTAGCACACGCATGGTAAAGGTAAGAATTCCATCACGGAAATTTGGTTTCATTAATACATCCCATCCCCACCCCCACCCCATATATAGGTGTGTCCTGGTTCGTGGTGTCAATCGCATGTCTTTCTGGAGGCTGCAGTCCAGACTGGTTTTGAAAGCTGCTCTCTGGGCAACTCCAAACTTCTCATAATTCCTGAAGCCCTTGGCCTGCTGGGACCACTCAGCCCCCTAGACCCAGTCCCGTCACTACCTACTCAAGACTGCAGCCTTGGGGAGGGGGGCTCTCTCCTAAGGGTGCAGGGGTCCTGTGGCTTCATCCCCTCTCAGAATACACATCACCCTGCACTGCACACATGTGCCTCAACATGGAGCATCCCAGGACGCTGGCCACAGTCAGTCATGTTTGCACACCGACTGATCGATCGTGCTCTGCTGATCAATCATGTCAATCACCGCGCTGCACACTGTCCTCACTAAGCGAGCTAAAGCAACCCCCTCGGAATAAGCTGACGGATTTTAAATAAGCTAAAAGACACTTTTCTAGGAAAAAAATAGTAATGAATTTTAAGAAGAAAGAAAAACTCCCAAACTCACAGACCCATGGAAAAAGTTTAAGTTTTTAAAGTGCTAGACTCCCCCAAAAGTATCAGGCTCAGATGGTTTCACGAGTGAATTCTTGAAAAGTTTTAACAGAGAGATTATTATGTTGCTGCTTAAAATGTTCCAGAAGGCAGAGGGTAAAAGAAATGCATCCAAATTGTTTTTGCTAAGCCAGCACAATGCAGACACCAAAACTGATAAAAATAGCACACACACACACACACACACACACACACACACACGCCCCACCCGCTCCAGACCAAGCTCGCTGCTGTGTATCCAAGCAATACCATCTACCCCTACCTCGCTGCTGAAACCAAAATACATTCCAATGGATTCATGATTTCAACATGTAAAAATGAAACCACAGAAGTACTAGAAGAAAACGTGGGTGAAATTCTTTCCTATAATTTCAGAACGCAGGAGACCTCTAAACAGGATGTGAATTCCAAAAGCTAAAAGGGAAAGCAGAGACTTGACAATATCAGGATTAAAATGTTCTGTGTAGAAGAACATCCCAGAAACAAAATCAAAAGTAGGCAGCTGGGGACAAGATACTCGTACCTGCTGTGATAAAGATGTACAAATAACTCTTTTTTTTTTTTAGACAGGATCTCACTCTGTCACCCAGGCTGGAGTGCAGTGGTATGACCACAGCTCACAGCAGCCTCAAACTCCCAGACTCAAATGATCCTCCCACATCAGCCTCCCGAGTAGCCGGGACTACAGGCGCACCACCTCACCCAGCTAATTTTTGCAGAGATGCGGTTTTGCCATGTTGCCTAGGCTGGTCTCGAACTCCTAAGCTCAAGCAATCCGCCCACTTCAGCCTCCCAAAGTGCTGGGATTATAGGTGTTAGCCATCACGCCTGGCTTACAAAGAACTCTTTTTAAAAAATTTCAACAAGAAAAGGATACACCTTCCAAATGAAAAGAGAACACAGGGCCCTGGCCTATAACATACGAAGAGATAATCCCTCTCGCTTGACCGAGATGCACAAAATAAAACACCAATTGGAGAGCATTTGGCCCTCAGCCAGGGGTAAGGGGCATAGGACCTCCCTGCTGGACCATCACTGCACAGGGCCCAGCAGACAGCTGAGCAGGTCGACGAGGGGAGGGGTCCTAAAAAATTCTAGTAACCACTTTAGAGGCCAATTCAGGAACAAGGATCAATTTTTTTTTTTTTTTTTTTTTTTTGATAGGGAGTCTCGCTCTGTCACCCAGGCTGGAGTGCAATGGCACGATCTTGGCTCACTGCAACCTCTGCCTGCTGGGTTCAAGCAAGTCTCCTGCCTTAGCCTCCTGAGTAACTGGGACTACAGGCACAAGCCACCATGCCCAGCTAATTTTTGTATTTTTAGTAGAGATGGGGTTTCACCATGTTGGCCAGGCTGGTCTTGAACTCCTGACCTCAAGTGATCAGCCCGCCTTGGCCTCCCAAAGTGCTGGGATTACAGGTGTGAGCCACTGTGCCCAGCAGATCAAAACTTAAATGCACACATCCTTGACACAGAAATTCACTAAGAGCTCATCCTTCAGTCATGTGTGCACATGTACAAGTGCGAGAACATCTGTTGCAGCCTCTCAATCACAGTGGGAAGCTGGACAAGCCTGGCAGGGCCATGGGACAGCTGATGACACAACCATTAAAAGGAACGTGCTACTTTGGGAGGCCGAGGTGGGCGGATCTCAAGGTCAGGAGTTCAAGAGCAGCCTGGCCAACATGGTGAAACCCCGTCTCTACTAAAAATACAAAAATTAGCCAGGTGTGGTGGCAAGCACCTGTGATTTCAGCTACTTGGGAGGCTGAGGCAGGAGAATCGCTTGAAAGCGGAAGGCGAAAGGTGGAGGTTACAGTGAGCCACAGTGAGCTGAGATCGCACCACTGCACTCCAGCCTGGGCCACGCTCTGTCAAAAAAAAAAAAAAAGAAAAAGAAAAAGGAACGTGCTACATCTACAAGTGGCAACAGTGTTGTTAAATGGAAAAAATAAAAGCTGGTAGCAGAAGTCTGATTTCCTTTGTGTTCTTGAAAAGTCTATATTTACACATTGACTTTTTTTACACAAGCCCTGAATGACTCTGCAGGAATAAAATTCAGGAGAATGCCACACCCAGCTGTCAACATGGCCACCCCTTGGGAGAGAGTTGGGGAATGGGAGAGAAAAACTTCTTTCCAAATTTCATGTGATCTTCATTTTCTATCTAAGAATGACTGGGCATCGCTTTTTTTTTTTTTTCCCAGATGGGAGTCTTGTTCTGTTGCCCAGGCTGGACTGCACTGGCACAATCTCAGCTCACTGCAACCTCCGCCTCCTGGGTTCAAGTGATTCTCCTGCCTCAGCCTCCCAAGCAGCTGGGACTACAGGTGCCCGCCACCACGCCCCGTCGTGCATTGCTTTTTAGGATGAAGAAAGGGAAAGGTCACAGGGAGAATGGGAGCCAGAACACAGAGCAGGGCTTCTAAACACCAGCTTGCGGGTGAGAGAGACACGGGGCGACACCACCGGCCTGGAACCTAGGGATGGCATGAGGTGCTGCCCAGGGGCTTCAGACAAGGCCTGCTTGCTGATTAAGTAAGGGTTGTGTTGGCTTTTGTTTATGTGCTTGTTTAACACGAATCCCCCAGGCGCTCCACCCTGCTTCACGAATCATCACTGTCCACTCTAACCACGCTGCACAGGAAGAATTGTGCCCACTTCCACAATGAGAAAACGGACCAGAGAGGAAAGCCACTAGGCAGGGCAGGGGCGGCAGCCCAGGCAGTGTGAGGGCAAAGCCGGTGCTCCTCTGCCATTTCCCCACACACGAGTGGGCAAGGCATTACAGGAGTCTATATCTTAACCTCTGCGGGCCATTTTGGAAGGCGGCAGATGGAATCAGTGATTTCCAGGGCCATTTCCAGTTCCAGGTTTCAGACAGGGGCCGTGGAGTGGAATCGAGCTTGACCCAGGTGTGCTGATGGTAGCCATGTAACTGTGGACAAATCACTTTCCCCCTCACCTGCACTGGATGAGACCGGGAATCTCCACTCTGGGTTCTTTAAGAGTCCTGGGGCTCCACAGAGTACACCCAGTAGCAGCAGTGGGATGGGGGGACAGGGTCAGGGGAGCTCCATGCCTCCCTCAACTTTAATCAGAGCATCTCCACTTTAACCCCTTCCTGGGCCCAGTGTTCAGAGAGAACGGGAAGGAAGCTCAGCCCTGGCCATGGGCTACTCTAGCCTGTCAGTTACAGCCCATACCCCAGGAGCCCCCCTTGGACTGAAGGAGACAGAGTCACTTATAACACCCACAGAAAACCCCGGAGAGGAAGTGGAGTCCAACTGAGGAAGCGCCTCCCTGCAGCTCTCAGAAATGAGGTCACAGGTGAGACAGTGTGTCAGGGTGGACCACATGGCATCCTCCCAGGCTGTCTGCTGGAATCCAGGGTCTGGTTAGGGGCTGCCCACACTTTGGGCCCCGAGGCGGGGAGTCTGAGTGCGCTCCTCCAGGGCTGAATGTGCCCTCTGTCCACACCGCACAGAGCATGGCTGTCTGGCCGCGGCGCGCCCCTCCGGACAGGCTCGCCATTGTGCAGACCCTCAATCCCGGCAGCTGTCCCGGGCCTGGGAGGCGGCGGGTACAGACACAGCTCCTCTCTCTTCTGGCAGCTGCTCTGACTTCCTGGGACAAGTGCTGAGAGGCGGCCTCACCCAGTGCCATGTGTCTGGGGGCCGGGGCTCCATCCTGGGGCCAGGCTGGGTGGTCAGGGCCACAGAGCTGCAGGGGGCGGAGCAGAGAAACCGCCCCCAGCGCCTGCCTCCTGGCCCCACCCTTCCCCGCAGCTGCGCTCTATTTAAGGTATTCCACAGCTGCTCGGCACCCGCTGCATTCCCGGACCAGCCCTCCTTTCCTCTCACCACTGCACGGTGCTTGGCAGGCCGGCGAGGGGAGGGGTTCTCTTCCTGGGCTCTGGAGCCAGGCTCTGTTCTCTGGCCCCACCCCGTCCCACCACGAAGGAGACACACCGGGCCTGGCCAATCCTCCCGCATTGATTCCTGTTCCCCCAGCACATGCGGGACTTCCCACTCTAGACCTAGGTCTGAGAGGCTCCAGGGACAGTTCGGAGAAGGAGGGTACTTGTTCTTAGAAGGGGAAAGAGAAAGAGACCCAATCCCAAAGTAAAAGGGGACCTGGGTGCCCTCTGCAAGCAGCTCAGGAAAATGGGAGGAGGTGGGAGCAGCGGGACCTTCCGAGTAAGGCATCCCGGCAGGAACGTCAGTGCCTTCTGGACACCTCCAGAAGCAGAAGCACACAGCCCCACAGAAAAATCCTGCAGGCTCAGGACCCGAGGCATGACACGATCCAAACTCACTGCTTCATCAGACACCAGTGAGTCCCTCGACGCTTACCAAGGCCCCCTGCCTTACACCTGGTACTGGACGAACCTGCACACCCTGCCTCAGGGAGTCCACAGTCCAGGGATAGGCTCAGAGCCTATGTGGGGTGTCCTGTAAACACGGGGCCAGAAGCTGGGCTGTCTATGGGGCCCTTCCTCCCTAAATCACAGTGGTCACCCTCTCCCCAACTTCACAGTCCCTGATCCCCACCAGGAACTTCTGGGGCCCAGTAGGTGTCCCTCCCTTGCAGGCTGATGCCCGCCCTCCCCACCCCCCACTCAGGCTCAGCTCTGACCCCACTTTCCCCAAAGCCACCTCTTCACTGCTCTGTGTTGGGTGGTTCCAGGGAGCCCTGTGCTTTGATTAACCCTATACTCAACGCTGTACTGGCAGCCCTGCTGTCTGTGCTGAGATTCCTCCCTGTTCTGCCCCTGGAACACACGGCCCGGTGCGGACCAAGTATGCGAAGAGCCACGCCCACCATCATCAGCTCGGGGGGGCCTGACCCCCTGCTCCCTCAACGCTCCACCCACATGACAAAGATTTCCAGACCCTCTGGGTCACAGGAAAACTACTGAGACATGCTGCCATGTCTACCCCGCCCCAATTTCACATCCATGTTCACAAGTGGCCCCAGAACCACTGTGGACTCCCTTCTTGGTTCTTGGGGTGGGTGGATACATGAGAGCTCAGCCCCCAGCCACCTCTGCAGATGCCTCTTTGACAGATCAAGAAATTGAGGCTGGGAGGGGTGGAATGATAGTTCAGAACCAGTTGACTCATGGGGCAGAGCTGGGACATGCCCAGAACTGAGCTGGGCACTGGGCCTGGCCTCCCTCTTGCCCCCAGTGAGCATCCCAAGAAGGCAGAGAACCAGACCCATGAACGAGCGCTGAGCACCCGCCTTATAAGGCAGCTCTGGAGAAACTTGGCTGGTGTGGCTGAGGAGCCGGAGGGGGGTAACTCTGGTGGGGGGGGCTCTGAGCCAGCAGCCAGCCCTTGCAGGCTCAGTACTGGGTGCTGCAGCCCAGCCCCACCCCACTCCACCCAGAGGCACCCATGTTGGGGGGCAGGAAAAGAGCAGGGATCCAGGAGAGGAGGCAAGGCCGTCCCCACCCAGAGCCTGAGAGGACCAGGGATGACCCCAAAGGATGAGCGCCCTTCTGTGGGAGGACAGCAAGGAGGGTGCCAAGTCCAGGGGCAGGGCCAGAGCCTCGGAAACCGAGAATCCACCCCACCAGCATAAAGCTCAGACCTCACCAGGCCCTGGGGCGGAGGAGCAGGCAGGGATGCCTCTGCCCTCTGCAGCGCCTCTCTTCCTCTCCCTCCCCTTCAACCATCTAGGTGCCCACACTCCCTCCTGAAATGCTGACTCCTTCCAGAACCCCCACACTGAAGCCAACACCCACCCACTGAGCCCTCCAGCACAACCTCCAGAGGAGAGACCAGGTGTCCTGGGGGTAAAGTTGACCAGGAAAGTTTCTGCTTGGTCTCTAGGGACGACCCATGGGGGTCACTACATCTGCCTACAAGAACCACAAAAAAGCCATCCCAACTCACCACCAGTGGCTCACTCCTTCAGCATAATTTCATGGCACACCTATTATGTCCAAGTCACTTACTTGGTATCTTATGGGATTTTTTTTTTTTTTTTTTTTTTTTTTGAGACAGGGTCTCACTCTGTCTCCTAGGCTGGAGTGCAGTGGCACAATCTCAGCTCACCGCAGCCTCAACCTCCCATGCTTAGGTGGTCCTCCCACCTCAACCTCCCCAGTAGCTGGGACTACAAGCGCATGCTATCATGCCTGGCTAATTTTTTGTATTTTTTGTAAAGATAGGGTTTCTCTATGTTGCCCAGGCTAGTCCCAAACTCCTGGGCTCAAGCAATCTGCCTGCTTCGGCCTCCAAAGTGCTGGATTTACAGGCATGAGCCACTGCACCTGGCCCCTTATGGGATTCTTTATAAAAACCAAGACAGGCTGGGCACGGTGGCATGATCCCAGCACTTTGGGAGGTCAGGGAAGCTGAGGTGGGTGGGTCACGAGGTCAGGAGTTCGAGACCAGCCTGGCCTATATGGTGAAACCCCGTCTCTACTAAAAATACAAAAGTTAGCCAGGCGTGGTAGCCCACGCCTATAGTCCCAGCTACTCGGGAGGCTGAGGCAGAAGAATCGCTTGAACCTGGGAGGCAGAGGTTGCAGTAAGCTGAGATCATGCCACTGCACTCCAGCCTGGGTGATAGAGAGAGACTCCATCTCAAAAAACAAAAAACAAAAAAAAAACACAAAAAAAAACAAAGACAACAGCCCTACCCTCAGAATCTAGTGGGGGCATGAAAGGAATTTTGAAGACTATACAGCAAAACCTCAAGCATGGATATCGCTGGCTTACAGGTGAATTTTAGGTTCTTTCTCATTTCTGTACTTCCTGCATTTTAAAGAAAGGGTACTCGATTACTTTTTATGATCTGAAAAACTACTTTCACATTTAAAAAAAAAAGTCTAGCAGAGGAAAGAAAGTTTATACACAAATCATTTATATCCCAAGCCAAACACGAGGTATTTGGACCAGGTTTTGAGGGATGCATAGGAGTTCACCAAGGCAGTGATGTAAAGAGAAGCAGAGGTCAGGGTTCAGGAGGTCAGGGCAAAGGGGTTGTGAGGAAAGGTGTGAGAGACCAAGGGAAGACCAAAGCAGGAGAAGCTGGGAAGGAGAGAGGTGTGAGCTGAGCAGGAGAGTGAATCAACCGTGGAGGGGCCTATGGTGAGTGAGCAGAGAAGGCTCAGCACGGGAAGAGATCTCAGCAGTGCTGTGCTTTGGGGAAGTCAGTCTGGGAGCAATTCAGCTGGGGCCCCAGGAGACCCTGCCCTGCACCCACAGCTCTGGGGTGGAGACAAACCACAGCACAGATGCCCTCCCGCAGGCAGAAGCCAAGGGGCTGGGCGTCTGCTCAGAGGGCACGGAACTCCCTCCATGATTCCTTTCCCCATGGTGCCAGCTGGATCCCTGGTGCTCGGGGGACAGAGGGGCCGCAGAGATTGGTCAGAGCTGTGCATGTCGGGGCTCAGGGAACTCCCAGCCCAGCCCCACATGGAGGGGCAGAAGGGGATGGGCCTGAAGGAAAGATGGGCAGGAAGCTGAGTTGGAGAGAACTGGATCCGTGTCCAGAACGGTCGTGACACAGAGAGGGAGGACGGAGAAGCAAGCAGGTGGTGCCTCGGAGGAAGAACTAGTGGGGCTCAGGCCTGGGCCCCCCGAGAAGCCACTCCCATCGGATTTCAAGAGCACTCCTCCATTGGGAAGGCCCTGCCCTCGTCTGTCCCTGCATTTCCTCCACCTGGACTTGCTTAGGCCCTCAGGACTGTCAGCCCAGCCCACGGACCTCTCCACGTGAGCTGGACTCCCACCTGCACAGGTCCCTGTCCGTGGGTGGCCGGGTCTGGGATGCTGATGGTTTTCTCCCATGCCCCGGCTCCAACGTGTACATCCTATTCCATGGAGAAAGCCACCGTCCCCCCAGAGCGCCAGGTTCCTGGCAGCTCTGAACGCTGCTGCCTCCACGTGGCCTGCCTTTCTCTCCCCTTCCTGGCCTGATGAAATTGTACTTCCACTGCTGGGGAAGCTCCCTGGACACTCCTTGTGTCCCAGCCATCCTGCTCACGGCTCGGTGAGCTCCAGAAAGCAGAGCCCGCAGGTTGTGTCCCTGGGCCTGGCTCCCGGCACAGTCTCTGGCACAATTTAGGGGCTAAACTGTGTCTGCCCCTGGAGGAGAATGTTCTTGTACATCCCCATGGACATCCCCCTACCTGTCCCCCAGAGCCAGGACCACGTCCCTGTGCATCCAGCACCAGCCATCACCGAGATTTAGATGGCTCGGTGACAACCGCCTCCCCAGCCACATCCTGTTTGACTCAGCTGAGTGTGAACACATCAACCCAGGATGGGGGTGTATCCGGCACGTCAAACAAAGGTCCTGCACCAACAGAAGGCAGGGGAGGAAACAGCCTCCTGCCACTCTGCAAACTGCCCATGCCTTTGGCCTGACACCATGCCACCAGCAACCACTGTCACTGAGTCTGGGTGGCTGGGGCAGGGTGGCTCTTCAGAGTCAAGCTTAGAGAGATGGGAGAGGGAACACGGGACTCGCACACTGAGGGCCGGAAAGGACCTTCCAAGGCCCACTAGCCTCTGGCTACTCAGTGTGTTCCGATGCCCCCTCTGTAGGAAATGCAGAGTCCCAGGCCCCAGACCCGCCAAGACAAATGTGCACTCCACATGCCCATGAAAGCATGAGGAGCACTGGTCTCCCCCCAAACCCACACCCTCTCCAGGCCCCACATCCTCCCAGCCCCCAAGCCCACTGACCACTGGAGAACTCTCATTCAAAAAGAAAAACCAAAAAGGGGTTGGGTGGCTCATGCCTATAATCCCAACACTTTGGGAGGCCGAGGCAGGAGGCTCATTTGAACCCAGGAGTTTGAGACCAGCCTGGGCAACCTAGTGAGAACCTGTCTCTACAAAAAAAATTTAAAAATTAGCCAGGCATGGTGGCGCGCAACCTGTGGTCCTAGGTACTTGGGAGGCTGAGGCTGGGGAATCACTTGAGCCCAGGGGGCAGAGGTTGCAGTAAGCAGTGATCACACCACTGCACGCCAGCCTGGAGGACAGAGCAAGACCCTGTCTCAAAAAAGTCAAAGAAAAGTCAAAGAAGATGGAAAGAGGGACTTAGAGAGATGTGGAAGCAACCCAAGGGTCCACCGATGGAGGAACAGCTACACAACACAAGTGCATCGCACAACAGAATATTATTCAGCCTCTGAAAGGAAGGAAATTCTGCCCCATGCTACAGCACGACGGATGAACCTTTAGGACGTCATGCTGAGTGAAATGAGCCAGACACAAAATGGGCAGTTATTGTATTTTTCCACACACACAAGGTTCCTAGAGTGGTCAAATAAATTCATAATAAAGACAGAAAATAGAATGGTGGCTGCCAGCAGCTGGGGGAGGGGCATGGGGAGCTTGGTCTAACGGGGACGGAGCTCAGTTTGGGAGGATGAAAAGGGTACCGGAGATGGACAGCGGTGGCAGCTGCGCAACACCGTGAATGTACTGAATGCCGCTGAAACGTACACTGCAAAGTGGCTAAAATTGCACATTGTATGTTGTGTATTTCACCACGGTTAGAAATAAGAAGCAGCAGCTAAATCAAAAACCCAGACTGTGCTGTTTGTCCAACCTAAAGAAGGCTTACTGAGCATTACTGAGTTCTGATCCTGTGCCCAGAATCAGACCTGGCTCTTGAGGGGCTTCTAACCCAGCTGGCACCTTACTATAGCCCCATGGAGCCACGATCCCTGCTGGGGCCAGGGGGCACGCTTCTGAGAAGGGACCCAACCATGTCCCACAGCCTGGCATTTCCAAACAGGCCCTGTGTCCCACAGGACTGGCACCAATCCCCTGCCTGTAAGCTCCATGTCAGCACGGCTGTGGGCTTGAGCCCTCCCAGGACGCTGCTGGAGCCCCATGGCCTCTCTCCTCTCGCCAGAAGGGCACCCCCAAATAAAACCGTGTGCAGCTATCACACAGCCCCCTGGTCCAGGCACCCCTTCCCAGTGCCCTGAGAATTTTGTCCTGCAGGCTAAGGTGCTCCTCATGTTCCCCTCCCTCTGCCACAACCATCCCTCCTGGGGGAGGAGGACCAGACCATGGGCTCCAATGCAAGCCTCAGGAGGCATACGTCCCTCCTCCCTTCCCCAAGCCCTCGGCCTCTGCTGGGCATATCCAGGCAGCCTGCAATTCCTCAAGCAGGAGCCACCAGAATGTGACAGCCCTTCTAGGGGTCTCAACTCCACCCTGTCCTACACCCCTGCATGAGCCTGCCCTGGTTCCTGCGTGGCTCCTCATTCTCTAAGCCTCCCAGGCCCTCCAGGGACACACAGCAGACAGAGGTCCCAGCAAGGCCCACGGTGACCCATAAAGGAGGCTCCTTGAAACCCAGAAAATCTTTCCAAACTCTCATTCAAGTCCCGCTTGGGGCATCTTGGCATGTTCCCATCAGACAGAGAGAGCCACCTCTCCTGAGCTTGCAGACCCCCACCCCCATGCATTCCGGTCTTTCTGGGTCTCCAGGGTAGCACCCTCCACCCCATATCCAGCTTCTTCCTCCAAGATTCTGTGGCAAAGCCAGCAACCAGGCCCCCCATTACCACAGCATCCAAGACCTAGCGCTCTGCGACTCACCCTCCTGGCTCCGGGGTGTAGCCTCAGCCACAGGGGGCTGGGGCTTGGGCTCCAGCCTGCTCTGCAGCTGAGACACAGGGGCAGGCTCTGAATTCTCCAAGGTCTGGGCTGGGCTGGGGGCGGTGGGCGCCTCAGCAGGCTTGGGCATCTGGATCTCCACCCTCTTGGGGGCTGCGTCGGTGGCAGGGGCAGTGGGCACCTCGGGGACCTTGGAGGCAGGGGGCTCCATCCTCCGGTGGGCTGACTCCTGGGGTTTGACGATGGTGATCTCCGTCCTCCGAGGGGCCGGTTCTGGCGTCTTGTGGCCCAACACCTCGGCCCTCTTGAGCCCGAACCGGGACGGGCCGATGGCCCCGGCGTTCTCCACCTGCTTGGACGAGATGTCAATGGACAGCTCAGTGCGCCGGGACACCGGCTCGGCCGCCTTGGGGCCCGAGAGCTCCACCCTCCGCAGGGACGCCTTGGGGGAGCGTTGGCTTAGGGAGTCCACATGGCGGGCCGAGGGTTCTGAGTTCTTCACGCCCAGGTCCTGGAATTTCTGGGTGGAGCTGGCCACAGTGGCTCGGAGTAGGGGAGTCTGGACCCTCCGGGGTGGGGTGGAGTTGGGTGTCTCGACCTCCTCGACCTCAAAAGATCTTTTCAAGGCTGAAAAATAAAGAGAGGGGATGCAATTGGTGAATGGATGGCTAGGGAACACTCCGGCATGTTTCCTGCTAAGGAGCAGCAGAGGAAGGCAGGCGATGCGGCGGTGAGGGCCGGGGGTCTCTTCCCGTCCTTCATGTCTCAGCAAGCGGAAGGGACAGCCCCATCCTAGGAGAACCATCATGAGTTCTGGGGCAGAGATGCAGGCTGGAGTGGGAAGATGCTGCCCGTCGTGTCTTGCCATGGCCACGGCGCAAACCACACAGCCTCCCCCTCCAGCTACGTCTACATAGGAACGTTCTAGTTCCAGAGAAGACTTTTATTTCCTTCTTTTTTTTTTTGAGATGGAGTCTTGCTCTGTTGCCCTGGCTGGAGTGCAGCGGCACCTCCCGGGTTCAAGCGATTCTCCTACCTCAGCCTCCCCAGTAGCTGGGATTATAGGCACGGGCCACCATGCCTGGCTAATTTTTGTATTTTTAGTAGAGATGGGGTTTCACCATGTTGGTCAGTCTGGTCTCGGACTCCTGACCTCAAGCGATCCACCCGCCTCGGCCTCCCAAAGTGCTGGGATTACAGGCGTGCGCCACCGTGCCCGGCCTTGATTTCCTTCTTGTCGCGGCTGTTTTTATCCCTCCTCACCTCCAGCCAAGGCACACACTGGGACACCACCAGCAAACACACCTCTACCATCAGCCACAGCGGGGGACATGCCTCCAATAATAAGTGACCGCAACTGTAACCAATCAGAACCGCAGCAGGAACAAAACCCCATCAATGACACTAAGGGCGGACACTGGAGCTTTCAGTGCCGGCGAGGCGCCGGGCCTACCGAGCTCATCACATCTGCAGCCGCTTAACCCTGGGATGTAAAGAATACCAGTACCCCCAGTACAGATGGGGAAAGTGGGGCACGGGGTAGACACAGAGCCAGACTGTACATCAGGCTGATACCAGAGCCCAAGGTTCTAACCACTTGGTTGTCCGGCTCCCCCAGCTTAGTCCACAGGAACCAACTTTCTCAGTCATCAGCCTCTCCTGCATCTTCCCATCCACTACTACAAGCCCGTGCAGTGATGCCAACCACCAGCTCCCGCCCTGCAGCCATCCTGCCTCTCCACCAGGGTCTGCTCCCTCGGAGGCAGTGGGGATGGTACCTGGGAAGCTGCCACCTCCACAGTCCCCACAACCGCACTCCAAATGAGAGCCAGCCGCTCCTGGTTATCAGGGCCAGAGCAGGGAGGGACCCACATGGCAGGCACATTCACCAGCTCCTTCCCCAGGCCAGACCCACAGCGCACCCCTGTGGAGACCCACAGTGTCTCCCCAGCCGCTCCCTGCCTCACCAGGCCACAGAGTCCGGGTCTCATGGGATCCCACCACTGCCTCCCCTGCCCACAGGAAAAGGGATGACAGCTGGTCCCCAGCCCCCAATAATAGCGCTCCAGGACCAATTTCAGTGCCTTCCCCTCACCCGTCTCTCTTCCTCCAAATGCACTCAGGCACTGGGGAGGGGAAGAGGAAGCCCAACCCCCTAACCCTGGCCGCCTCAGCTGCCAGCTTCCTGGGCAAGGCACTCCTGTGGGCGCCCTCTCTAAGCCACAGGCACCTCTCCTTCTTGGTGGACACAGACGAAATCCTGGGTCACTAAGCTCAACCTCCACCAGAAGCTGGGCAAGGAGCCGTGTGGACTCCAGAGAACTCTCAGTTGTCACAGGCCCTGTCTCAGCTCCGTCACTGCCCTAGAGGATATGGGCCCGGCGTGGCCAGAGCTGTTCACTTCTCAAGAGAGTAGAAATCTGGATCTTTATATGATATCTCCTGATCTTTAAATGCTGGCACAAAGCAAAACAAGCCCTTTTTAAAACACTGAGCAGCCTGGCTGATGTGGTGAAACCCCATCTTTACTAAAAATAAAAAATTAGCTGGGCATGGTGACACTCGCCTATAGTCCCAGCTACTCAGGAGGCTGAGGCAGGAGAATCGCTTGAACCCGGGAGGCAGAGGTTGCAGAGCTGAGATCGTGTCACTGCACTCAGCCTGACTGACAGAGCGAGACTCTGTCTCCACAAACTAAAACTAAAAATAAAATAAAACACCGCAGGGCCAAACAAAATCAAATCCACAGGCTGTATTCGCCTATGGGTCCAGCCATGACCTCTAGCTGATCACGTGGCCGCAGGGCAGCAGGACACTGAGCCCCAGAGTCAGGGGTGTGCCAGGTGTGGGCTCCCGACATGGTGTCCCTCTGTCCCTCTGCACCCTGCATGCAAACTGCTGGCTGTGTTCTGATTCTGCAGAAGCCCCAGGGCCCCAAGGAAAGGTTGAATGTCCACTTCTACCAGCCAGAAAGTCCAGGGTTCAATGCCCAGAACTGAATGTAATGAGATGGGCTTACCAAGCTCATCACATCTACACCCGCTTAAACCTGGGCTGTAAAGAATATTATTACCGCCCCCGTACAGATGGGGAAAGTGAAGTACGGGGTAGACACAGAGCCAGACTGTACATCGGGCTGATGCCAGAAAGTGCAGAGCTCAATGCCTGGGTCCTCGTGCGGTTCCCAGGGCCTCCCGCGGTCCTCTGATCTGCTCCCTGCCTCCTGAGCACTGTCCAAACTGTCCCCACATGGTGTGCCTCTGTCCTATGGGTGCTGTAGAGCAGGGGCCGGCTTCCAGGTGTCCTCAGCATCCTTCCGTGCGGTCAAGTTGGAGAACAGAAACTAGACAGGAGAAGGCCTTGTCCCAGGTCCAACCCAAGAAAACAAATGACCTTCCCTGGGAGATCCGGTGAACCCCCTCCTTGGGAGTCCCCTTGGAGTCACCCCCACCATGGCCAACTCATGATCGAAGACACTGCACCAAAGCAGAGGCTGCCCTGGTGTGAGCTTACGATTGAGTCTACGGTGCGGATGCAATGATTTATTCCAGCCAGGCCCACGTGCACAAGCGGATCATTCTAGAACCGGAGCTGGCCCCTCCCCTAGGGCACTCCTCCTTCCTCCAGTTGTCTGCGTGGCTGGCGCCTCACCACCTTGGCCATCTGCGCAAAATGCACATGTGTGCCGGTCCCCAACCATCCTCTCCTCTCTTTCAATGCTTGGTGTCTTTTCATGGATGGGTCCCTCCCTCCCCACTAGCTGGCCTCTGTGCTTACTGCCTGGCTCTATGATCCCTCTGGGTGTTTCGGTCCAGCACCACTCCCATGCCCACTAGCTCTCAGTAAGCTCTGAGACAGCAGGGGCTGTTCCACCCGCAGGGGCCACCCCACCATCAGGACGGCGCTGCTCAAAGGCGAGTTTGTTCTAGATAACAGCCAGGAGATCTCACAGCCTCCAGAACTGCAAGAGAATACAACTGTGTGCTAGAAGAACAGTGAGAACAGGAGGCGCCCCATTCCGGAGGTGTCCATCTTCCCCAGGAGATGCCCCACTCTGGGGGTGTCCATCTTCCCCAAGGAAACCATGTCCCGGCTGGAATGTCAAGAAGGTGACACCTAAATGAAGAGGTGCCCACCCTGGCTCACGCCATCCCCCCAAACGAGCATGCCACCGCCTCCTCCTCCTCTTGGGAATCCTCCTCAAAGCCAAGCCCACTCCAGCCCCCTTCCCGGGGAGCTGGCCTCCCACACAGTCCACACCACCCCCTCCCCATGTCATCCTGGCCACGTCATGACTGTTGAGATTGGCTACGAGGGGTGTGTTCCGGCTCCCCGGGAACAGAGTTGAATGTTCTCTACTCCATGACACCATGCCTTCACCAGGCCTCAGGCGCTTCTAGAAAACCTACTAAGCCAGGCGTGGTGGCTCACGCCTGTAACCCCAACACTTTGGGAAGCCAAGGTGGACAGATCGCTTGAGCCCAGGAGTTCAAGACAAACCTGGGCAACATGGCAAAGCCCCGACTCCACTAAACAATACAAAAATTGGCCAGGGGTGGTGGCATATGCCTGTAATCCCAGCTACTCGAGAGGCTGAGGTGAGAGGATCACTTGAGGCCAGGAGATCAAGGCTGCAGTGAGCCATGATCACACCACTACACTCCAGCCTGGATGACAGAGTGAGACTCTGTCTCAAAAAAAAAAAACAACCAAAACCTACTAAATGCCAGGCGTGGTGGCTCATGCCTGTAATCCCAGCACTTTGGGAGGCCAAGGCAGGCCCAAGGCAGGCGGATCACCTGAGGTCAGGAGTTCGAAACCAGCCTGGCCAACATGGTAAAACCCTGTCTCTACTAAAAACACAAAAAATTAGCTAGGCATGGGGGTGGGCGCCTGTAATCCCAGCTACTTGGAAGGCTGAGGCAGAAGAATCACTTAAATTCGGGAGGCAGAGGTTGCAGTGAGCCCAGATCGTGCCACAGTACTCCAGCCTGGGCGACAAAGCAAGACTTCATCTCAAAAAAAAGGCTGGATCACAGGATCACAGGATAGGCACAAGCCCTGAGGGAGCTCCCAAGGAGGAGGGACGCACTAGACCTTCACCCCCATTTCAGCCTGTGAAGATTCACTTTCGTCTGAGGTTCTGTAGAGGGTTGACTAGTGACCCCCAAAAAGACATGTCTAATACCTAACCCCAAGAACCCACGAATGTGACCTTATTTGGAAAAAGGGTCTTTGCAGATGTGATTAGGGATCCCGGGATGAGACTATCCTGGATTTGGGATGGGCTCTAAATCCAGTGCTCGGTGTCCTTATAGGAGAAAGGCAGAAGGGGACTTGGGACACAAAGAGACACGGTGGGGAGGGCTACGTGATGAGAGCAGAGACTGCAGATGCTGCCAGAGCCAAGGAGCGCCTGGGCCAACGCAAGCTGGAGGAGGCAAGGAAGGGTCCTCCCCTCGAGCTGTCGGAGGGAGTGTGGTCCTGCCAATACCTTGATGTCAAACTTGTGGCCTCCAGAACCATGAGCGAATCAATCTTTGTTGGGCCACTTGGTTTCCAGTAATTTGTTCCAGCAGCCCCAGGACACTCACAACGAGACCCCTGGGAAGATGAAACCCCTGGCTGCACAGTGGCCCAGGGTGAGGCTAGCTGGTGTGGTCACCCACTCTCCAGCCCAGCCCCAATCCCACCACAACCACATTCGACAAATGGCCCACTGTGGGCCAACGGACACGTGGCCATTCCAGAGCTGCCACATCAGGAGCCCAGAGGAGCGAGAGCTGCCTCCTTCCCCCTTCTTGGAGTCGCACAAAAACCCCAGATGGTTGGAGAAGTCATCGGAGGAATCACATCACTCTAGATTCTTGTTTCATTGCTGGGATATGTGGCAATGAAACAAGATCATCCCTGCCAGGGATGCCTCATGGGCAATTGCCTCCCCACGGAGGACATTGTGAGTTGTACCCAGCCGGGAAACATTAGGAGATGTCTGTCACCAGGCTGGCAGAACAGGGCTCCCCAGCATCTCCTCCCCCATCAGAGTCCTAAGACTGCGCCCTGGGTCCTGCAGTCACACACGGTCGCCCCTCTCTTCCCAATGTGCAGGCCTCCTGGGAAGCCCCCTGCCACCATCCTCACAGTGGAACCGGCATAACCTGCCCAGGGGTAGCAGGTCCTTGTCACTTTACACGTCTCCATCTTCCCTGTGGAGGGAGACGCAGCCAAGGGGTATCCACATTCACCCACAGAAGCGAGAGTGTTCGTGAGCTTGTCATTTTGCAGATTTTAGAACCCCGTACGTGACTGCACAGATCCACAGGCCCAACTGGGCAGATTCAAAGGACCCACGCAGCAGGGAGGAGCACCGGACAGCTTCCTCCTCTGTCTGCAAGGAGTTAATGCAACTGAAGGACACAGAAGAGGCTCCCAGCTGAGCATCACAACTGTGGACCGTGCACAGTGTCAGAAAGATGCGGAGCCAGGTCATGTTGGGAGGATCCCCATGCTGTCACTGGAAGGTAAAGCAGTGTCACCCCCCCACCCATAGAGCAGGAGGTTCCCACCTTTGCCAGCCATCTCCTTCATCTGTGAATTCAAGTCCCCTAAAGCCAGACTCCAATCTCGCAAGCTCCCAAAAGCCTCCCTGGGTCCCTTCTCCAATCCCCACCGATCTCAACTTGCTCCAAAAGCCTGAAGACCGTTCATGTGCTTTGGCCCACTTCTGGGAATTTATCCCAAGGAAATAATCAGAAGTACAGAAAGATTTACGTACGAGGACATTTGCATCAGCATTAAACTGACAAAACCTGGAAACAGTCCGGGTTTCCGCAGATTTTCTAAACCCATATGTCAAAGGCCTGCACCATCATTAAAATCACATTTTTGAAGATGAGAAATGCCGAGAATATTAAGTAAAAATAGCAGGACACAAGATGTATACAAAGATCCTAATTCCATTTCATACACACATGTGCAGTTTGCACGCACACACACACTCACACCCGGGCAGAAAATAACGATCTCTGGATGGAATGAATGGCGGTGGGTGTTGTTCATTACATTTTCCTGCCTTCTGAGATGCTTATACTACATGGGGATCACTTAGCATGTTCAGGGAATAAAACCATCGATATTGTTCTTTTTTTTTTTTTTTTTTGAGACAGTCTCGCTCTGTCGCCCAGACTGGAGTGCAGTGGCGCAATCTCGGCTCACCGCAAGCTCCACCTCCCAGGTTCACGCCATTCTCCTGCCTCAGCCTCCCGAGTAGCTGGGACTACAGGTGCCCGGCCACCACGTCTGGCTAATTTTTTTGTATTTTTAGTAGAGACACGATTTCACCGTGTTAGCCAGGATGGTCTCAATCTGCTGACCTCATGATCCGCCTGCCTCGGCCTCCCAAAGTGCTGCGATTACAGGCGTGAGCCACTGCACCCGGCCAATATTGCTCTTAAAAAACACACCTTGGTACTGGCTGGGCATGGTGGCTCACACCTATAATCCCAGCACTTTGGGAACCTGAGGCTAGAGGATCGCTTGAGCCAGGAGTCCGAGACCAGCCTGGGCAAATGGCAAGACTCCATGTTGGAAAAACAAAATTAAAAAAAAAAAAACACACACATACACAGACCTTGATGCCAACAAGCTGGAGGGTGTGGGTAACTGCATGCTGGCCCATCCCCATCCCCACCTCTGGAAAAACATCTCACAGCCCAGGATGGGCACAGGGCTTCTCCTATTCTCAAGCACCTACGGTCTCAGCTGCTACACAAAAAGAGGCCACAGTGGGCCACCCTCCAGATGCAAACTTTCCCCTCCAGGCCCATGGCGGGGTCGAAACAGGAGCAGCCTGGACCTGGGCCTATTTAGAGAGGAATGTGCCGCACAAGGGACCATTGTTAAGGCCCCTGCTCTGACCACAGGCTGCCTGGCAAACCGCTCCCAGCTCCTGAAACCAGATCAAGCACTTCCTGGTGTACATATCAGGCCTCAGTCTGGGGAGGGAACACCAAGCGAGCCACAGAGCCCTGCTCCAGCCTGGGACAAATGTCATGCAAAGAAATGGTAGAGCCCAAGGTCAGAATAATCTCATGCGCAGCTCAGCTCTCGTAGGAGGGAGCAACGTGGCCTCTGCCCAGGGCAGGGTGGAATTCCAGGCTCAGGTTCCAGGAACGCTAGCCCTGGTCAAACTGGGTCTCCTCTGAGCAGCAGCAAAGCAGGTTCTGTCCCTGAAGAAACACTGGCTATCTAGGAGCCAGGGTCAGGGCTCAGGGAAGCCGGACAGATGGTGCCAAGGAGTAGGGAAGCACCTCCCTGTATGCTACCCTGAGCCTGCAGGAAAAAGCCACGGGAAAACCTCACCTGGCAGATAACTCCCCATAACCCTTAGGATCTACAGAGTGAGTCCAGCAGCATGTACGCCATGGGCACCTCCTTGTCTTCACTCTCCTGTGACACTGGACCTTGGCACAGGTCCCTGATCTGTGTAGGGTGGGGTGGGTAGTCAGGCAGGGCCTTGGCGCTGGCAGAGTGGGGTCCAGTTGCAAAGGCTCCTTCACCTCCTATTTATCCAGGACTTGGGGGACGAGGCCCAAAGGCCTGGTGTGCCTTCAAGGAGCTTAAGGACTGCTCCAGGGCTGGAGACAGGACGTATGGGCCTGCACAGGGACCGTGCTCTTTATTTCAGGGCTGAGAGCAGGAGAACCAAACAGGAGAGTGACATAACCACAGTCTACTCTGAGCCTCAGTGTCCTCAGTGTCACCTGCTGTAGGAGGTGATGGGGTAATAAGGTGCCCCTGAGGCCAGGCGCGGTGGCTCATGCCTGTAATCCTAACACTTTGGGAGGCTGAGGTGGGTGGATCACCTGAGGTCAGGAGTTCGAGACCAGCCTGACCAAAATGGAGAAACCCCATCTCTACTAAAAATACAAAAATAGTCAGGCGTGGTGGTGCATGCCTGTAATCCCAGCTACTCGGGAGGCTGAGGCAGAATAGCTTGAACCCAGGAGGCGGAGGTTGTGGTGAGCCGAGATTGTGCCATTGCACTCTATCCTGGGCAACAAGAGCGCAACTCCATCTCAAATAAAAATAAATAAATAAATAAAAAATAAGATTCCCTGGGTGCAGGCATGGCACGCGGCAGGGGTGACTGTTGCTGGTGTAATTACCATCTCCTGGGTGTGTGTCTGTGGGGGCTGTGCATGCTGAAATGTGTGGTCACCTTGCTGGTGACCAAGGCTGTCCTGGCCTTACTGCTACCAATCACGCCCACTGACTTCACATGGCCTATTTCCGTGTCTCCACCCAGAGCCTTTCCTAGTGCCCAAGCCCTCGGAAGGCTGGAAGGAGTGAGCAGTGCAGTCCTTGGCCAAGAACTGAAGTATAAAAACCCCAGCTCCCTTACCCAACCCCAGGTGGGACAAGGCTGGGGGCACGGTCTGCAGTCTCCCCATGCTGCCCGGTATGGGGGCTGGGCAGCCACCTGTGGTCACAATGAGCTGGTGAGGCACCCTTTATTGGCTGGATTCCCTGCCTGGCCCATTCCCACACTCAGGCATCCCCTGGTGTCCCCTCCCACTGAAATCCCTGTCTCAGGACCTGCTTCTGGAGGGACACAAATTAGCCCTCCAGAATTGGCCTGGGCTGCTTGGTGGAGGAGGGAGGTGGCTCCTGGGGCAGGTGGAGCAGGCTCCGGATAGGGAGGAGGACACAGTTGGGGTGATGGGGAGGGGTGTGTTCTCAGGAAGCAAAACCGTCCAAAAGGAAAGGCTTAAAAATAGGCGCAGTGAAGCTGAGCGGAGCCTGCAAAGGGAAGCCAGGAAACAGCAGTGTCAGTGGAGGGCGGCCCCCAGGCTCCCCACAGAGAGCCACATTTGTTTAGGGACAGGGACAACGTGAACAGAAGGCAAAGTCCACATCAAGGCGGAGGAGGCGCTCCCTCCTTAGAGAGCCGCAGCCAGATAGTTCAAACCTGCCAAAGGTCTGGGAGGGAAGAACCAGGGTACCACCCCACCCCCAGCTCAATCCCTTTCCCAGTCCCCTCCCCCTCTGCCTTCCCAAGGCCAGGCCTGGCTGGGCCACAGTGCTAGCAGCTAAGACCCGCCTCCAGTGCCGGCCCAGTCCGCAGGAGGCCAGCTTGGTGGCCAAAGGTTACTGACTGCCCAGGCTTATCTGCACACGTGGCCCAATGACTGAGGTCTGGGACCTGGGGTCATCATCCACAGTACCTCTGGACAAGGAGGAAAAGAACCATTTCCACTAACCCCTGGATGGAGGTGCAGGGAGCGTCAATAGTATCCCTGAAAACTTCAAATGCACCAGGGGGGTCAGCACCCAGGGAAGAGCCACAGGAGGCCACTCTGATGGATTCTGATGACTATCTTTGCTCAAGTGTTAGGAGGAGGCTTCTTTCTCTCTGCCTCTGGCAACCCTGGGCCCAAGAAGTCCCAGGCACTCCGGAGGTCCTTCCTGCTCATCACAGCCCCACCCAAGAGGCCTGGCTCACTCTGCAATGATGATGTGAGAATGAGCAGGTCTGCCTAGTGCCAGAGCCTGTGGTTGGATTTTCGGCTGAGGCCAAGAGAAATAAACAAGCCTCCTCCTTCCCTCTGCACGCTACAGGAAGAGCAGCTCGCTGGCTGCAAGGGGACCCTCCACCCTGCCTATGGGGCACAGCAGCCCACAGCATTCCTTCCAGAAACGGAGCACTGGCAGGCCTGGGTCCCTGTAAGATGGAACACAAAGGGGTGGGCAGCTGACCTCAACAGCCAGCCCTTGGGATTCCAAACCTTCTCTTATCCCCCAACTTTGTGATGTTAATTTCTCCCTGGATAAAGCTCTCTAACAACCTGGCAAGCCAGCACCAGCTGAACCAGCCCCAGCTTGAACCAGCAGCTTTCCCCAGCCCAGCTACAGTCTCATCCCTCCAGAAGGGAAAAGAAGTCCTACGGATTCCTTTACAAGGAACCTCCAGAATCTGCTATGGTGTCCGCAGGGGACATTGGCACCAACTCTGGGTTTATTAAATGTAGTGGGTTCAACAGTGTCCCCCAAAACGATATGTCTTAAGTCCTAACTCCTGGAACCTGCGAACATGATCACATTTGGAAAACGGATCTTTGCAGATGTAATTAAGGTAAGGGTCTCAAGGTGAGATCATTCTGAATTTAGTGGGCCCTAAATCCAATGGTGAGCATCTTTATAAAAGACAGAAAAGGAGAAAGACACACAGACAGGGGGAGAAAGCCACGTGGAGACAGGGGCCAGAGATCAGAGATGATGGTGATGCGTCTGCAGGCCAAGGAACGCCAGGAATCTCCAGGAGCCGCCGGAAGCTATGTTTGTAAGCCCCCAGGTTGTGGCACTCTGTTACAGCAACCCCAGGATATAGACCCCAGGAACAGAACACAGAAAAGAAACGGGAGGAGGCCTAGAGCCTGCTGTGGCCACTCCAGCCATTCCATTCGACTCCCTCAGTGTCCCGTCAATTCTGAAGCCCCTTCTAGCCACTGAGTCACCGGTTCTGAAAAGGAGATATGGGTGTCCTGGAGCTGGTCTAGCCTGGCAGGAGGCAGCCTCGCCCCACTGCCCTCTCATCAGCCATCAGCTCACACAGGCCCTTCACAGTGGGCAAGTGCGTTGTTGCCCCAGCCTCCGCCGGCCCTTCTCCTGCTCGGTCCCATCAGCCGCAGAGCTTTCTGCTGTTGTCTCCTCTGGCTCAAGAGGCCCATACATCCAGCCTTCCTGGGACAAACCCAGCTCACATCTGTTGTCCCACCGTAGTCATTCAAGGGTCCCTTTCACTAACGTGTCCCCCAAGGGACAGTAAGTTATACGGTCGCCCTACCTGGGGCCAGAATTGTGCCCCACCAGAGCAAGGTCTTGGAGTAACCACACCCAGGGTCAGGGAGCCACCTGTTCAAGAACAGAAACGTGTGGCCGGGCGCGGCGGCTCACGCCTGTAATCCCAGCACTTTGGGAGGCAGAGGCGGGCAGATCACGAGGTCAGGAGATCGAGACCATCCTGGCTAACACAGTGAAACCCCGTCTCTACTAAAAACACAAAAAATTAGCCGGGCGTGGTGGCGGGCGCCTGTAGTCCCAGCTACTCGGGAGGCTGAGGCAGGAGAATGGCGTGAACCCGGGAGGCGGAGCTTGCAGCGAGCCGAGATCGCGCCACTGCACTCCAGCCTGGGCGACAGAGCGAGACTCCGTCTCAAAAAAAAAAAAAAAAAGCGAAATGTGCAGTTTTTTTTTTTTTTACCTCTGAAACATGAAGGGGAGGTGACTGCAGGCCTTCTGGGAAAGATTTCTCTACTCCTTTTTTTTTTTTTTTTTTTTAAGACGGAGTCTTGCTCTGTCGCCCAGGCTGCGGTGCAGTGGTGCCATCTCTGCTCACTGCAAGCTCCGCCTCCCGGGTTCATGCCATTCTCCTGCCTCCGCCTCCCGAGTAGCTGGGACTACGGGCGCCTGCCTGGGACAGCCACGTAGCAGCTTCTGCTTCAAGCCATCTCTCTTTACGCAGAGCAGAACCAGGACCACAGTAAAGGCTCCAGAGGAGGCCACCGCTCACAGGGCCTTGGGTCCTCTTCTTGAAAGGCAGCCCAGCCTCCAAGAGGGCAACAGCGACTGATCCGGGACGAAGGCCTCTCTGTGCCTGCTCCCGTCATCTACCGCGTGCCCCTGGTTCCGGCAGCCACAGGGTCATTCCAGGCGGACTTTAAAGTGGCGCTAAGTTGCTGGACTTCCTCTTTTCTTTACTAAATCAGCTATGGGAATGGGAGCACCTCTGGCACACTCTCAGATGTGCTGCACTGGTCTAGCGCTCCCCCCACCCCCGGGTTCTAAACCAGCTGCTGGCTGCTCCACTAGGAGCAGATTGAGGGGAAATGGGCGGAAGCCGCAGGGGAAGAGATGTGAGGCAGATAAAGAGGAAGAATTTCCTGGCTGGGGTGGGGCCGCCAGGGCCTGGGTGGGAGGGCCGCCCACCCTCCGTCCCTGGTGGAAGGCAGCAGAAGGGTGGGACGGATCTGTGTGGGAGGGTCTAGGTGTGGCCTGCCTGGGGGTAGGAGAGGGACCAGATGACCTTTCAGGTCTCCTTGGGTCAAAGACTCCCTGATAAATGGCTGTCGCTGAAGGCAGGAGCGAGGCCCTGGGAGGTGATTGACTTCGAAAAACCACAGGCTGCAGCTCTGAGGGCCTCAAAGGTTAAGTACGGAGTCCCCCAAAATGAGGCTTTCCTCAGCTTTAATCCACCCACGCCCTTTAGGTGGCCCCAGACACCCCGCCAGGGCCTCTCTGGCAGCTCTCCGTCCTCGATTCTGGAGACAGAGAAACGTGATGCTGGCTCCTGGTCTGCTCATAGCCCCCTCGTCCCCACCACAGGGTCGCCAGCCACCTCCTCAGCCTACCGCGTGCCCCTCCTTCCCCTCTACTTCCGACCCTCCAACAACAGCAGACTCTTCCCCAAACACTCCTTTGCCCAGACCCCGGGCTTCACGCATGCTGCTCTTAGAAATGCATCCCAGCTCCCTGCGAGGAGCCAGCAAGGCTGCTCGGTGCTTCTTCCCATGGATGGGAAGCTCTGCCGGGGACCAGGACCCGGACCTGGAGACCCTGAGGAGCGTGTTGGTCAGTGTCTGTTCTGAGGCCCGGGACAGAGCTGCCAGGCACAGGCAGCATCGGTGTGAGGGTCCAGCCTCCCGGACAAGCTCTCCCTTGTCTGTTCCCAGACCTGTCACTGCACACACAGGCGGTGACCATTCCTGATCTGCCTGGGCAGAGAAGCCACCCCTCCCTCCCTCCTCGTCTCATTGTCCATTAGGGGAAATGTTACAAGCACTTAAAAAATGCAAAAAAAAAAAAAAAAAAAAAAAAGCGCCTAACACCAGGGGCCACTTGGCCCAGGTGGAGCCTCCATTAATCACGGGGCTCTCTGTGTTGTGGCCCCAAGGCGGGCAGCCGATGGCCTCTGCCCGAGCCAATATGAGCTGCAGCCTAATTACAGGGGACGGTGACCCCAGGGAGCAGAGTTCAGGCTCCGGTCACAGCTGCACCCAGGAGCCAGCTGCTTCCCAGACCTGCAGAGCCAGGGGAGAGGTTTGGAGGACCGGCACTGAATGACATGATCCAAAGCGCGCCAAGCTGGGCTGGAGGTGACGGCAGAGCCACAGTGGCCACAGAGCCCCCACGTGAACCTACACGGATCTGCCTGGTTTAGGTTCTGCTGAACTCCAGGGTGAGGAGGACCTGGTCTCCATTCTCAAAGACATGAAGAGGTTGACAAAGAAGAGTCACAGGTAAAAGGGGGTGGTGGGTGTGCTGTGTAGGAGGGGCCGCAACTGGACGCAGAAGATTCCAGAAGGGGTAACCAGAGAGAGGCAGCACCTCCAGAAGACGGGCTGCCTGGCTGCCCCAAACAGCCCAGGGTGTGACTGAGGGGACTCTCGGACTCAGCCGGGGCCCCTCCTGCTCTGAGACAACGCATTGGGAAACTCCATCAAGCCCATCTAAGAACTTGAAAAGCTCCCTGGAAACCTAGCGGGCAGGGCGGGCCCCTGGGAGGACCCCTGGTATACCGCGAGAGCCAGACACAGCGAGGGGGCCCCACACTTCTGCCCAGAAGCCTCACGGTAGAGGGGCAGAAGCCCAGGGAGGAGTAGGCGCTGAGACCAGAGGGGCCTACAAGAGAGGGGTCTGGGGTAGGGGGTAGCTGCTGAGAAGTCCAGGAAACGGCGCCTGCCTTTGGGGAAGTGAAGCTCTGGGAACAGGGCTGGTGAAGGGGGGCGGGAAGGGGGAGGTGGGGGTGGAGGGTCAGGCTAGATCAGGCACCTTCCCCAGCAGCAGATTCATGAGCCTCTGGAATCTGTCCACAGAAGTGACAAGTGTCCTGCTCCCAGCCCCGTTCACACACTCACCCATCAAGTGTGGCAGGGACAGCCGCCTCTTACCATCCACCTTGGGACCTGGACCTAAGTGGAGGTTTCTGGAGGGGCAGATCCAGGGGAAAGGGTCTCCTCAGAAGCAGCCGCCATTCAGAGGACCTGAGATGAGAACCTCATCACGCCCTCATCAGACAGAGGAGATCCGCGGTGTCTCCGAGCCTGGTCTCCCACTCCCCACCCAGCAGCGTTCCCTCCGCTCACCCCAAGCTTAGAACATTCTGCTTCCCCTAAGATCAGCTGCCGCAGTGGACTGAATAGTGACCCCCAAAAGACATGCCAGAGCCCTAGCCCTCGGACCTGTGAATGTGACAGGAGTTGGAATAGGGTCTTTGCAGATGCAATAAAGGATCTCAAGAGGAGAGTATCCTGGATTTAGGGTGGGCTCTAAATGCAATGACAAGCATCCTTACGAGACACAGAGACACAGAGAAAAGGCCATGTGAAGACGGAGCAGGGAGTGGCGTGACGCATCTACATGCCCAGGAGCACCCGGGAGCCACCAGAAGCTGGGAGAGAGGCCTGGGCCGGAGCCTCCCGCAGAGGCCCCAAAGGATCAGCCTGGTCGACACCTTGATTTTGGACTTCTGGCCTCTAGAACCATCTTCAGCCCCCAAAGTTCGTGGGGCTTTGTTGCAGCAGCCCCAGCAAACTGTCACGGGGGCCCTCCTCCCCTGCTAAGCCTGGTACCCAAAGCTCCCCAGCTATCTGGGGCTAACCACACTGACCCTGGGACTTTCAGGTCACCCGTGTGTCCCACTCTTCTGCTTAACCTTCAGTGCCTGTGTGGTCACAGCTTCTCTCTCGTGATATGAGTCCTCTGGGCCTCTGAGTGCTCATCTGCCCTGCACTGAAGGCTGAAGTTAAATCCTGGAGAGAACTGACCCCTCTTGTGGGCAGGGCAGGCACTGTGCCCCCAGCACAGCCAGAGGGTACTGGCTGAAATGTGTCCCTGTAAAGTGTCTCCCCTATGCCCGTATTTTCCTTCCAAGTGGGGAAGCCAGAGAGGCCTCCCCGATCTTTCCCCCAGCCCCCTGGGGCAGGAAGCCTGTGGTCACCTGTCCGCAAGGATCAGGTGGACAGACAACTAGCCCCTCCCAGGCCACACCTCATCAACAGAGGGCCCCTCAATTCTGCTGGTGGCCTATGAGAGAAGGAAAAACTGAAGGAGTTGTTTACAGTAAACTCCAAACCCTTGTGCCAGAGAGGCCCATGGCTGAGCAAGGTACCCCCACCCCCACTGCCCTGAGCTGCCAACTCAGCCCAGCTCAGCACTGTGACCTCTGACCTGCCTGTGGGCCACGGGAGCCTGGCCTGCCAATCAGCATCTCCCAGATACCCATCTTGTGAAGTCCCCAGTGGCTGAGTGCTTCCCCGCCCTTCCCGGACAGCGTGGGCTACAGGGGACATTGGGCAGGAAGACAGCCAAGCCTCCACTGCCCAGAAACTGCCTGGGCCCATTGCAGCAACAGGGACCCACCCACCAGCATGAGGCCCCTCTGCAGGAGGGGTGGGGGCAGGAGGGAGCCTGTGGGGCACAGGGCTGCAGGAGGAGTCATTCTTCTCTTCATTAAATCGCAGGTTTCAGCCAAGTTATCCCCAGCATGGCTGCTTGCGTGGGAAGCCCACAGCTGAGGGACTGTCTGCACGTGGCATGCAGGAGTCACAAGCGCCATCTACACCCCACCCCGGGCCAGGCAGATGACCTCTCTGGTCTCAGTTTCCTGATGAGGAACAGGAAGGGCTGGACCGAAAGATCCCTTCCAGCCCGGACATGGAATGACCCCACGAGGGCCACGGTGAGGTCTGTCCCAGCTCCGCACACTAGCTCGGGCCAGCAGTTTCCAAAGGCACAGCCGCAGGGGCCTTGGAGCAGGGACAAGGAGGACCAGCCCACTTCACCCTCCTGGGCAGAGGTCAAGGACCCTGCCTTTGGCCCACATTCCTTGTGGCCAAAAATGCAGAAGCAAGCAGTGCTGGCAGAGGCACCTAGACCTTTGGGCAAAGCAGGGGCTCCACCTGACACCCCAGGCCTGGAGCACGAGAAAACCAGCCCAGGCCTCAGGTCCCCTGACTGCCAGCGACCAGGGAATGTGACACTTTCCGGCCTCTGCTTCCTCATCTCTCAATCCTAGGGGGAGATTAGGTTGGGTGATGTGTTTTTCTTTTTGACAGTAAACTTTTATTTATTTTTATTTTTATTCTTGTTTTAAGAGGGGGTCTCCCATGGCCGGGCGCAGTGGCTCACGCCTGTAATCCTGGAACCTTGGGAGGCCGAGATGGATGGATCACTTGAGGACAGGAGTTTGAGACCAGCCTGGTCAACATGGTGAAACCCTGTCTCTACTAAAAAATATGTGAGCTGGCAACTCCAAGTCCCCAGCAGCCTCCGAATGGAGGCTTTCCTCTTGTAGGATTCTCAAATCCTACAAATATGAGTGTCTGTAATCCAGCTACTCAGGAGGCTGAGGCATGAGAATCACCTGAACCTGGGAGGCAGAGGTTGCAGTGAACCAAGAACGTGCCACCGCCACTTCAGCCTGGGACACAGTGAAACTCTGTCAAAAAAAAAAAAAAAAAAAGGTGGGGGTCTCCCTATGTTGCCCAGGCTGGTCTCAAACTCCTGGGCTTAAGGAATCCTCCTGCCTCAGCCTCCCAGAGTGTTGGGATTACGGGCACGAGCCCATGAACTTTAAAAAATAACATCTATTGCTTTGTTCCTGACTGTAAAAGGAATTTAGGCACAAAGCCGAAAATTTGCAAAATGCACAAAAACAAAGGGAAAAAATCTATAAACCCACAACCCAGGTAACTTCCATCAATATTCTGACAAATGTCTTTCCACTCTTTACTGGGGAGTGTGTGTGTGTGTGTGTGTGTGTGTGTGTGTGTGTGTGTGTGTGTTTAAACAGGTTCATACAGTGATGATGTTGGGTGCTTTCCTCCATGTGGCGCCATGTGGCTGAGGTCCCTACACATTTTGGGCCCGTTCTCTCGATTCCTCTGTAGTTCTGATGTTCTGATTCCAGATATGTCATTCTTGGCTCGGACTGTTCAGGAGAATCATTTCTGGATCTTGCTAAAAAATGGACTGCTGGTCCCCAACTCTTGGTGGTTCTGGCTCAGGAGGGCTGGGTAAGCCTGGGCACCCCGGAGTGTTTCTGGGGCGCTGCAGGTGTGAACCTCTGCCCTCCTGAAGACTCACAAGCCTCATCTCCCCCATCCCCTCCTTCCTCCCCGAGAATCCTACAAGAGGAAAGCCTCCATTCGGAGGCTGCTAGGGACTCGGAGTTGCCAGCTCACAGCCCCACCCTGCCCCCACCTCCCCGGGAGTTATCCAAGGACAATGTCCAGCCTCAGCTGCCAAGTCTCAGCTCCAGGGTCAGTCACACACTGAAGGACATGCAGAAGTCGCCGTGTGCTGGGCACTGCTGAGGACAAAGGCCTGAATGACAAGCGGGAACAAAGTCACAAGGTCCCAAAACCTGCCCGAGGTCCCACAGTCAGGGCCTCGGAAATCCATGAAAAAAGCCAGTTTAATACCCTGCCACGGAACACAGGCAGGAGAGGGAGCAGCCCCCAGCCAGCCCCCAGCCAGCCTCCCGCCAGCCTCTTTGCGAATCACCCCACTCCGGGTCACAGTCAGGGCAGCCGCCGCCTTCCTCCCTGCTCGACAGCCCTTGAGGGCAGGAGCCAGCTTGCCCATCATTGTCCCCTCTCCACTAGGGCCTGGCACCCTGCCTGGCATGTAGTAGAAGCCTAAGAAGGGCTCACTGTGTTCATTCTGCAATAGTCAATGTGTATGAGTGCTTACCATACCTGAAGACAGTGATTTACTCTTGTCCCCATTGCACAGATGGGAAACTGAGGCACTGAGAGGCTGATGACTCCCCCACATTGCCGTGTGGGCAAGGGCAAGGCCAGATGTGAGCCGGCACGCTGGGCCATCGCGCCCTCTGCCTACACTCCGCCCTGGGCCTGGGAAGGCTACCCTCGGAGATCCCCACGATGCTGACACCTCGCTCAGCCCCTCCGTGCACCCTCTCCCACGCCTCCCAGCCACCCAAAGTACCAGCCAGGTAGCACTGTTATTCTGGTTTTGCAAACTCAGTCATTGAGTGGAAGAGCAGCCAGGCTGAAGTGGGGCAGAGGCAGCCCCCGTCAGACCCCAGGGTCGGGACCCTCAGCCATCCCCACTCTCCAAGGACTAGTAGACAGAGATTTCCATCGTGCTCAGCCAGGGGCCAGGGAACAGGTCTCCACAGTGGGGGAGTGATGGATGGATGCAGGTGCGGACTGGGAGGACCCGGGCCGGCCTTCCAGCGCTGGAGCCTCAGCAGCCCAATCTACCTTGTTGGGCTCTCGTGGGGATTAAAAGACACCTTGTATACAAAGTACCAGCCCAGGGCCTGGCACCTAGGAGGTGCTCAATTAAAGGAAATGGTTATGAAAAATAACAAGGAGAAGCTCAGTCACAGGAGGTGCCTGTGGGTAAGGAGAGAACAGCTGGAAGGGCCTGGACTTGGGTCAGAGACAAAGAATGCAAGAGGGAGGGAGGGAGAGAAGGAGGGAGGGAGAGAAAGAGGGAGGGAAAGAAAGAGGGAGGGAGAGAGGGAGGGTAGGGCAGGCAACAGCTGGCTCCAGGGCAGCTGTGTGCAGGAGCCTGCTTCATCATTTAAATATTAGGAGAGATGTAAATATTTGAGTGAGGTCCTCCCAGCCTGGCCTTGCTGTGGCCACAGCCAGGGCTGGAGAAAGAGTTCCTCCCTCACCAGGGTCTCCGTTCTGTGCCCCCTACCCCAGCTGTCCCAAGATTCCATGTTTCCGGGCCAGGAGTAGGGGTCTGAGAGCAGCAACCAGGCAGGGCAGCGGGGCTAGGGAGGGACCCCGCCTTTGCTTCCACCCTCCTCCCTCGCCTTTGCCTCCACCCTCCTCCCTCTGCACAGTACTGGGCCTGCAAAGGTGCGAATGAAGGATCTCCTCCCCCACCCGACCCCAAGGGGCCCAGGCGGCCAAGGGTTTCTTTTGTAGTTTAGAAAAAAAAGCAAAGCAGCCCTTTCTGAGGTTTTCTGGTGGAGGCCCAGGGTTTAAAGCTCGCTGCTACAAACCTGCAGCTCCCTCTGCCTCTCCAACAGTGCCTCTCTCCCACCTGGGTTATTTCACCACCCTGGTCCCTCCCAGCCCTCCAGGCCTCCTGGGGAGGAGGACAGATGCAGAGCCTGGATCTCGTGCGCAGCAGGGCCCCTCCAATGCTGCGGTGCACCCCGCTTGGCTGCGGGAGCCTGTCTCATGCCATGACCTGTGCTGGCACCAACAGCCCTCTCCCCCACCTCCCACCTGAGTGCCGAGGGCAGCTGTGCCAGGCACAGACATACAGTCTTCCACACACACTATGAGTCTGCAGAAATGGCAAGAGAAGGCCGAGCGCAGTGGCTCACACCTGTAATCCCAGCACTTTGGGAAGCCAAGGTGGGCGGATCACCTGAGGTAAGGAGTTTGAGACCAGCCTGGCCAACAGGATGAAACCTTGTCTCTACTAAAAATACAAAAAATTAGCTGGGCGTGGTGGTGCGTGCCTGGAGTCTCAGCTACTCAGGAGGCTGAGGCAGGAGAATCGCTTGAACCCAGGAGGCGGAGGATGCAGTGAGCCGAGATCACGCCACTGCACTGCAGCCTGGGCAACAAGAGCGAAACTCTGTCTCAAAAAAAAAGAAAGAAAGAAAAAGAAAAAAAGAAAAGGAAAATGGCAAGAGAAGCTGGCCAGCATCACCTGCCTGGCAAACTCCTACCCCGGTCTCTGGTTAGGAAGCCTTCCTCCAGGAAGCCCTCCCGTTCTACCCCTTCTCCTGAGCCCATGCCTAGACCCCCAGTGCCTAGAACAGAGCTGGCCCTTGGGGTACCCATGGATGGCTGTTGGATAAACAAATAAGCCAACTGCCTCTCCCACCCCCAGCGATGCTCCTGGCCTGGCAGGGCATTCAGCAGTAATGCTCCTCGAGTGGATCCCAAGGAGCACCTCTCACCGTGCAGTCTGCACCAGGGATTCCAGCCCTTCATTTTAAACCAAAGGAAAAAACCCAACCCCAGCAAACATACAGAGCACTCCATTCCCTGACCTTTAATGGGGGGCAAGAGGCAGAGGACAGAGGAGAAGACCACCCCTCCAGGCCTGGTTTGGAGCCAAAAAGACTTGTATGCTCTTACTGTAGATAACATCGGTCTCTGGGGGACATAGGGCAGGGGCCTGGCCTGCCCCTCGCAGGGAAACTGCCCACCCACGTGGAAAGCGGGGCCAAGGGTCCCTGCTTGGAACCAGCTTCCTGCACATGGGGTGGGGGGTGGGGACAGAAGGAGATCCTGCCTGGACTGCATGGAAATCCACCAGACTGCTGGCTGTTGACCTGGCAGGAGCAGAGCCATCTCCATCTTTCAGGGCCCTGCCTGGGGGAGGGGAGAGGCTAGGTGGCTCTGTCCAGGCCACATTCCCCATGGCCAGGAATGCTCTCTTCCCACCAGAAAGAAAGATGAGACAGGTCCATCCTGAACCTCCTGGATACAGGAAGGGGGTCTATCTGTGGCCCAGGTGGCTCCCTCCCTCATACCCAAGGGGTCCCACAAGGAGGTGCCAGGACCCCCAGGCCCTGCCCCAGGGAACTGCTGCCTGCAAAGGCCACAGGTAGAGACAGCCAGGAATGTTCTTCATGCCACTGGCTATGGGTTGGAGGCTGCGAAACCAGGCACAGAATCAGAAAGACCTGCCACAGGCTGCAAAGGGCTCCAGAGAGCTCCAGCCCCTCAGAGGGGCAGCACTGTAGAAGGGGTGAGAAGGAAAAACCAGCTCCCAGGAACTGCCCATTCAGAGTCTACATAACACCCAGGTGGCACGAGACAACGGCCTACTCCCCACCCCACCCTTCCGCTGTCCCTCAAGACCTGAGTCCCTGGGGGTGCCCCTAGCAGACAGGGGGATGTGGGGTAACTGCCCCCCTCCAACTGTACACCTGGAGGCAACCTACACTCAGATGACCCCTCCGAGGCTGTGACCAGAGCTTGGGGCAGGGGAGGGGAAGCGGGTGGATGGGAAGGCGAGGGAGACTCTCCCAGGAAAGCCGCTCCAGGTGTCTGCAAGGCTCCATCGCCCACATCCAAGGCACAGGCTCCTGGCTTTGAGGACACAGGAAATTCGATGCCATGTGGGGAGGAGGGCACTGCAATGTATTTAAGGCCAGGCCCCTTGATTTTCTGGATATTGGACAAATGATGGCTTTCCCAGTTGGCCCAGAGATGCCAGGAGTGACAGAATGCCAAAGGCTGTAGGGGGATATTCAGAAATTTCCGAGAAAGAAGATGGACAAGGAAAAACAAAAAAATACGAGAAGCCCAGTAGAGTCTGAGCCCCGCATTCCCGGCCTCCCCCATGGCCACGGGCAATCCCCTGGAGACCCAGCTACGGGAGCAGTGGAGGCAGGCATGGGTGGGGGGGGGGGCGGGCCTCACTGTTTATGGTCCCGGCTGACATCGAGGTCATCTTCTTGTCCCTCTAAGTTTCTGGGCATTGGCAGGACTTTTAAAAACGACAACAAACTTGAAGTCTCTAGAACTGTCTGCTGGCCCAGTCTAAACGGAGCCTCGGGGCTCTGCAGACCAAATTAAACAGCCTGAGCCCAGAAATGCCCCAGGCGCCTGGGGGTGTCTAGGGGCCAACTGGTGGGTCTGTTTGGCTGGAGAGATGACAAATCCTCCCACTTCTGGGACTGTGTTCCAGAGAGTTCCGGACCCTTTGGTCTCATAAGCAACTCAGAGCCTCCAAATTTGGGAAAAACCAAGAGGGCTTTGGAAAGAAAGGCAGTGTTTGACCATTTTTCCTCAGTGGCTTTGTCAAGGGAGAGCACAGGAACTTGGTTTTTGGCTGGGTTTCTGGGATGAATCAAAATAAAAAGAAAAAGTCGGGGGAGGGGGTGGCGGAATCGTCCGGGGCTCCAGCCTAGGCTATACACCAAGGAGACTTCAGAGGAGCAGGCCAGCCCCATCCCCGGCACGATGATGGACGGGCATTTGGCTGGCTGGCAAAGGGAAGAGATGGCAACAGTGAGGCCCTGAACCCAGTGGCCAAGACTCATCCCTGAGTGTGACCTCCCCTGATGCCTGGGCATGTAAGAAATGGGAGGTGGAGAAAGGAGGAGGAGACCCTAGTTCTGCTCTCCCGGCACCAGGCTATCAGGGAACAGCACCTCTCTCCCAACGGGTAGGCAGAGGTCACAGGTTGCCAGGCTGAGAAGTCCCTGGCTCCTACAGACAAATGCACAGTCTGCATATCTGTATTACCCTGGGTGATGCCCATCACGTACGGCCACCATGCACGCTCTCCACCACCAAGACAGCCGACGAGACCAGGTGGCCACTGTGTACCGGGCACCGTGGTGACTGCCTGATACTGACCCCTGGGGGCTCAGGCTCTCGGTGGGCTTGTTTTTCCAGGCACCCAGTCCCCCCTCCACCTCCTGACACCCCGGGCCCAGTGTAGGGGTATGGGGGTGCTCAGTGGATGGGTCCACGGGCTGGGCAAGCAGCACGCAGCCTTGGCCCATCAGCCCTTGGTCTCACCACTAGACAAGATGAGACTGTTCCAGCTGCCAGCCCAGCTCTGCACCACACTTGACTGGGCCCTTGCAGAGGCCTGCTGGATGAGAATGTTCAGGGCAGCAGGCACCACTCCCTGGGATGCACACTCTGCCACAACCGCTTTTCAGGGAAAGGCCAGCCTGCAGAGCCGAACGCAGGCTGCCAGCGCCCCCGCTGTCCTCATGGTCCGGTCATCCAGCAAGTGCTCACCTCATTGTCAGCGCTTGGCCCTGCAGATGGGCATATGGTCCACCCATCTGTGACACTCCAGGGTGGGGGTGGGGGTAGATGGTGGCAGGGAAGACCAGGACAACCTCCCAGTAAGAGGAACCTGCAGCCAACATGACGCCAGCCTCCAGAATGTCAGCCAGGCAGGAAAAGGGGGGTCCCATGGCTGCACTGGGAGCCTGAGTACCTGTCGGGCTCAGAGGGACCCCCAGGCGGGCGCTACTGGCACTAGTGTCTGCCGTGCTTTCCATAATTAGTGGTGACCATGCTGTCCGGCCTCATTCATACAGTGGCATCACACAGGCCCTTGCCTGAGACCTCCCATCCCCAGATCTGCATATTTAAGCATCCAAACCTACCTGTCCTTTGCAAATGCCCCCTTTTCCCGCCCAGATGCCACACCAGCCGCGACACCCACCACACCCGTAGGAGGCAGGACCCGTGCTCAGCGCCATGGGCTGCATCTCAGAGTCCCCCAGCAACCCTCAAAGAGAGCTGTTTCTAACCCCACTTTGCAGGCAGGGAAACAGGCGAAGAAACTGAAGAAACCGAAGCCGCCCAGCTTTCCAATGGCAGAGTGAGGGCGGCCTGGGCATCCCTACACTGCCATACCCCTCACTCCTCCAAAGCACTGCCCCTCTGGATGCAAACTCTGTCCACTAGCCCCATTCAAAACCTTCCTGGACAGCCACAGCCCACAGAAAGCATTTCCAGCCTGCAGTCACCCAGTCACTGCAGGGGTGTCCTGGCGTTTACCTCCACCTGCCTCTTCCCGGACATCCAGCCCAGAGAACCCACAGCCCCGCTGCAAGGCTGATCACAGTGCATCTGCTGCCTGGGTGCTGTGTCCGCCCCCCTCTAAATGAACCAACTCGTAGTCGGGACAGTGGGTCTGTCTGGCCCTGGGCTCTGAACTCAAAGAGCATCAAGTCAGTGCTGCCAGTGGCTGTGGGACCCGTGTAAGAGGCCTGCCCCCACTCCCCATGGCTCCTGCCTCCCACCACAAAAGCTCAAACTGCAGAGAGGCAGTATTCACAGGATGCCTTGAGTCTTGGCTGAAAGGCAGGGTTCATCACGCAAGAGGCCTACTGGCATTAATTAGGGACAGGTCTGCACCTATTACCAAGCAACGGGGCCTTTTTCTCTAGAGAGGAAAGAGGCACCTGAATCCTGCCAGCGCGCCAGCTCCCACGTCCCGGAGGTGTTGGGACTCTCAGACAAGAAGGCATATCCACATGGTCCTTCCCACCCAGAAGCCCGTCCCACAGCCTGCTCTGCCTCCAGAACACAGATCTGGGGGTCCTCCTCGGGCGACAGTGGGGGCTCGGGAGAAGCTCAGATGCCACACAGCTCTGGGATCTGAGCACGTGGGTCCTGGGCCAGATTGTTTCAACAAACATCAAGGACTTTTGGATTCTTTCTCGGTGTGCAAATCTGGTTACAGCAAACACCGCTGAGCAAAGCAGGCCAACAGCTGGTACTTGGAAAGGCTTTTGTTACACAAAGACCCGAGTTGTAATCGTGTTTGCGATAACAGATTTGGCCTGAATTCACGAAAGCACATGCCGTCCGCCAGCCCCGTGCCTCCACCAACCAGAAGGGAGAAAGAGGAAAGGGTCATCCCTCTTGTCACCCTATTACGGGCAGTGGCGGGTGCTGCAGTCGCCTGGAGGCCCGTTTGTACAGTGGAAAAGTAGAAAATGAGACTCTAAAAATCTCATCAGCCAAATACAAAACATTCTCCTTGCTGCTACGTGGCGGCCTCCACAGAGCCCTAAAACCTTGAAGCTCGGAGACCTATCTTGAAGGGGGAGCAAAGGCGGGATGCGGGAAGTTTGAGTCCATGGAAGACACTGATACCCTCTCCATTCCTGGGAACCCTGAGCCTGAAGGACCCGGCCTGAACAGCGGAAGGACTGAATCCCTGTGCAACTCATCGGTGATGGAACATAAAGCCATGGTGCCCTCGGTCCCCAAGACGGGAGGGATGGGGAAGGCCCTGGGTGAAGGGGACAGGCGGGGAAGGAAAAGGTGAAGAGAAAGGTGCTCCCCAGGGAGGGGGTAGATGTGCCCAGGACATGGGACATTGGCAGAATTTTAACTCCGAGCACACACACAGGCCCACGGACGGCTTCCCGTCTACCTGTTCCTTACGGGTGTGCTGTGCCGGCCTGGGCACCTGCCTCTTTCCCCATGCCAGGTCACTTGCCGTCTACCCTGTATACTGCCACTAGTTCTAAGCCTCCCAGAACACCCTGATCAGGGCCCTGTGGCCTCTGTTACAGGATTCCAGGCCTAGACGTCTGCTCGATTGGAAAACTGCCCCCAGAGATGCCGTGGCTCAGAGCTCGTCCTGCTTTGGGGTGGCCCCTGGAGTCTCCGCCCCTCAGCAACCCACATGGTGACAGGCACCCACATCCGCTGGCCTCAGGAACCCTGGGGCCACCATCCCAGCGCTGTAAGGAGCTGGCAGTTTCCTCCCCACCCTTTCGGCCTACCTTGCAGGAACCAAGACACCAGGTGAGCCGCCCCGGGAAAGAGACCTGTGCTCCCACGGCGCTGCTCCTGCGCCCATTCCCAGCCACTCCAGATGCTTCCCGTGGACCAGCTGCACTCCCGGCGGGCATGCCTGGCCCTCCGCAGCCTGGCCCATATGATCTTCACAGGCAGGCCCCTCCTTATGCCCCAGCCCCCTCTCCAGCCAGCTCATTCCAGCCTCCCCCACTGCTGCTGGCTGCTGCTGGCCAGAAGGCTCTCCTTCCTCTTGCAATCCAATTCCTACTCTCCCTCAAGGTCCGCCTCCTCCATACTGACTTCTCCCCTGCTAGCTAGTGGTGACTTTTCTCTACCCTGATTCGGAAGCTGCCTGTCCACATCACCCCTGGCTGGGCTGAATCACACTCTCTCCTCCACCTCCTTCAATCATCCCTTCCCCACGTCTGTCTGTCCACCCAAGGTTGTCCAACTCCCATATACACACCCCCACACCCTCCAACTATACTCCAGGCTCCTTGGGCACCAGGGAGGGCCACCTTTCCATACCCCAGGTCAGCCCCCATGCACATGCGCACTCATGCACACACACACTCTCTCACGCCTATCGACTCGGGCCACCTGATGGCTCTAAGACCAGAATTCCCAGCAAAACCATTCAGGACACACAAGGGGGAGACTGATAAACACAGGGAACCAGCAGATTGAGGCCCCACTCCCCGAGACTGAGAAACCTTCCCCCAGAGCCAAAGGATTGCCAACTGCTGCACCAGGATGGTCTCAATGAGCCCATTGTCTTGGACTAAATTACAGGGTCACAAAACTGGCTTGGGAGACAGCCGCAGAAGCAGCTCCAGATGGAGGCACATGGGGGCAAGGGTGGAGTTACACCCAGAGACCCAAGGAAGGGGCACTAACAACTTTCATAGTGCAAATGGTGACAGCTGTACAACGAACACAACCCCAAACCCTGGCCTCCCCTCCCGCCACAGGGCTCCCGTTGAGACACGAGAGTTCTTCCCCAGAAATCCCACTGGGGGCCCGACACTTTCTGTTAGGAACTGAGAGCAGAGACCTCGATCCCGCAGGCAGGAGGAGAGCTCTGCACAACACAGGGCCTCTCTCCATAAGGGCTTACTGGAAAGTGGTCAGACCGGCTAAGTCGTGCCACTTGGACATTTGGGACAAGGAAGGCCCCTGGAGGAGCGGTCGCAGGGAGGAGTTGCAAAGAGGCAGGGGCAGGGAGGTCACATTCACTCGGGGACTGCAGGAGGCTCAACGGAACACAGTGGACCTAGGGAGACCCCAGTATGAGCATGTGCCCAAAGATGTCCAGATGAGGAGGTGTTGTGGGGGAGGGGGGCGGGAACAGCAAGCCCTCCCAGCTCTGCAGACCCAGACCTCCCCTCCCTCTGGGAAGCAGGGATGCAAAGGGATAGAGCCTGAAAAAGGGCTTTCACCACTAAGCTGACAAAGTAACTACGATGTTTCCAGCTCACACTCTGCACAGCGCCAGTGGCCACTGGATCACAACCCCCTCCCGTCCCTTCGCCGCCCCACACCCTCCTCAGGCCCAGCCCTGAAGAACAGCCACTGGCACTCTGCTTGGCGTCCAGCCAAAGTTCTGGTCCCCCAGGAGGCCCCGCCTCCCCCACTCAGATAGGGCTGACCCCAGGTGGGCCGTGTGGGCAGCTGGGCTCAGGACACCCAGATGTCAGCCCTGGTTCTGGCCATGGAGCGGGGAGGACCTCAGGCTGGTCACCTCCCAGCTTGGCCTGACACCTGGACAGTTTGCTCATTTCAACACAGCCTTTCCCCCTCCCGGCCCACCAGAGGGCTCTGCCCAAGTCAGCCTAGGAGCCTCTCCGAGGGGCGGGGGCTCCAGGTCCCGGCAGAGGCAGGCCCGCCCCTCAGAAGCCCTGCCCCAGAGCGCTGGAGACCATTGTGTGAGCTTCCCCTTCGCCTGCTGTATTTACTCCCGCGGACGCAGGACGCAGAGCCCCAGCACCGGCAGTCAAGAGGACGCAGGAAAGCGCACGCACTCACAGGCTCAGAGACGCGGACGCCAGACCCAGGCTTGGACAGAGCAGCCCCGCAAGTCCCAACACACTTTGTAAACCCCGAAGACAGGAGAGAGCCAAAATACTCTCCCTGCCCGCACGCAGGCCCCTTCTGTCCCCCACGGCCCGATTCTGGGAGGCGGATGAGGATATCCCCAGGCCTGGATGGGGGCCATGGGACATCCCACTCTAGACCCTGCCACGACCTGGGCTGTGTCCGTTCGGTGCTCCCGGCCCACGGGCTGCACAACTTGGCGGCCCCGAAACTGGCGTGGGGGAGGGGAGGGCTGTCCACCCGAGCAGGACGCGGCTGTCCACTCAGTCGGAGGTGAGGAACGACCTCCCTATCCCGTTGCCGGGTCCAAGCGGGGCCCGAGAGCCGCCGGGGAGAGCCAAAGGGAGGGGACCGATGGATTTCCCAGAGTGAAACTGTGCGTCCTGGAGAGTTCCGAGGCAGCCTCGCGAGCCCTCGAGGAGGTCGCTGTCGCTTGGCAAACACAAACAACAATAAAAGGAAGGAAACCCAGGCGGCAGTGCGCAGAACGAGCACAGGGTCCTGTGAGGGCGCGCAGGGTCTACGCGGGTGCCCCTAACAGGGTCCCCCACGTAGGCGGCGCGGGCACGGGGCCGGGGGCGCGCGGCGCTCTCAGCGGGAGGGCGCCTGGATTAGGGGTCCCGTCTCCCCTCAGCGCACTCCCGTCTCCCCTCAGCGCACCCCCGTCCCGCGCCAGGCCCACCCGCAGGGTCCTCTCCAGCACGTCCGCGGCCGCAGCAGCCAGCCCAGCACCCACCTTCGAAGTCCGAAATGATCCCATCCAGCTGCGCGTTGACCGCGGGGTCCGACATGATGGCTGGTGGGCAGCGGGTCGCGCGGAGGGCAGCGGCGAGGAAGCGCCCCCGGCGGGGCCCGGGCCCTGCGCGCTGGCTGGGGCGCCGCGCCCGCGCTCCTGCAGTGCAGAGCTAGCCGCCGGAGGAGCCCCTAGGCCCCCTGGCTCAGCTGAATGAATGGGGGAGGAAGGCGGGCGCCGGCCCCTCCCCGCGCGCTGCGCCCCCGCCCCGCCCCCGCCTCCCGGGCGGATCAGGTTCCCGCACCCGCACCGGCCTCCCTGTCTCGCACTGGCTGCTCCGCCCGCCTGTCAAGGCCAGGCCTGGGGGGCTGGGGCCCGAGTGGCCGCTGGGGGACAGTCCTGGGCACACGACCGGAGCGCCCCCCTCCTCCCCGCCTGGCCCGCGCCCAGGGGACGGCGAGAGACGCGGCCTCAGCCCCTCCCCCCGGGCGCCCCGCTGCGGCCAGATGTGGGCGGATGTGGAGGCCGGGCCATGGCGAGGAGGGCGGGCGCCCAGAGGGGAAGAGATTCCTCCCCTTCCCCGGGCGCAGGGTCCTTCTGCAGGAGGCTGTATTTGGGCAGCCAAACAAAGTTCTCTGTCACCGCCGCCGCGCGCTCTGCGCCTGCAAGGGTTAAACGGCAGCGCACGCGGCTGGCAGGCAGGATCCCGGCCTGTGGGCTCAAGAGCCGAGGGGCGCAGGGCGAACATGCGAGTCCCATGGCACCAGCGAGAGGCCACCAACTCCCACCCACCGAGGGCACCCCTGCAGCTAACACCCCCACCACGACCACCGCCCCGGGGGCCACCGCTGCACCCTCCTGGGTGAGCCCTGGAGAAGGCACTGTCCGGGAGAAGGGGCACAGGGCGGGGATGGAACACGGCTGTCAGAGAAGCCAGGGACGGGCGACGCCTCCCTTCCTCCACAATAAGGGCCTCCTGAGAGCAGGAAGTAGACCTTGTCAGGAGCAGACGTTTCCGAAGGAAGGTGTGAAGGAAGGAGCTAGGCAGTGAGTGAGCAGAAAGGGAGCTGCCCCAAGGGCTTCTCCCTCCCTTCTGGGCCCTAACCTGAGGCCTAGCCTTCCCTCCAGGCCAGCGGTCTCTACCCTTAAACTATATCATCCACAAGGCAGGCAGGGCCGAGGGGCTGGGGTAGACCTGGGGACCTGGGTTAGACACAGAACTTGAGAAGCAACAGGCTCTCATCCTCAAGAAGGGCCCCCCAGGTCTGTCACCTACAAGAGAGAGAGGCGCTTCTTCCACTCGCCCTGGAAAGCCAGAAACCCACTCCTGCATGCTCTCCCTGTCACCCCGTCCCTTAGACCCTCGGCCTCTGCCCAGAGTCAGGGGCCATGTGAGAATTCACAGCATGGAACAACACCCCCACCCCCGAAGCAGCAGGCCGCAACGCTACAACTGCACTCCGGTCCCTTGAATGTGTGGCCGGGGAGCGCCTGACAGCTCATCCTGGGTCTGAGGTCGCTCGCTGCCCACTTGCCCCTCCCCACCCCCTCTGAAATATCCCAAATGTGCAGGAGTGCTGAGACTCTCCAGCCATTCTGGAGAGGCGGGGGGCAGGGGGTCTCTTGCGGAAAATGTTCTAGGTTTGGGTGGCTTTTTAAGTAGATGAAATCAAGTCCTTCCTTTTTAAGAAAAGCAGGCACTCCCTCCCTCATGCTTTGGATATTTTGAACTATTTTCAACCAAGTGAGTTTGTGGACATGGGAACTGCAAAACCACAGACATTTCAGATGCGTGCACACCCTCGTCGGCCTGGGAGCCCGGGTTTCAGAAATGCAGCCATTGCTGCCATTAATAGCACCCCGTATCTTCCACGCCAGGCCAGGGTATGTCTTGTCTGAACTCCAGCACCTGGGCCTATCGGATAGTCCAGCCCCTACTGGGCCACCTGTCCACGCCGTATTTGGGGATTTGGGGGTCCAGTACCTAAGAAACTCAGCCCAACAACACAGCCCCCCTGGGAAGATGCCGGGTCCGGCACAACAGCCATCCTAAGCCACAGCATTATTCTCGAGTGTTTTTCTAAAAAGCACCTGGTGAGTGTGGACACACCCATGCAATTGTTCTTTCCCAGGGCTGGCATGGAGTTCCACCAGATTAGCACAGGGTCAGCCAATTGTACATTCTCCATCTCCACGCACAGTGCAGCAAACATATTTAGTTCCCTGGGGAGCGCCGCCAGGGTGCACGCCTCACCAAAATGGGAACCCAAGGGACAATGGCAGGAGAGCAGCCAGAAAGTGCGCATGCCTTCGTGACTGTGCTCAGAGCCCACCGGCTCCAGCCCCAGCCACTGCCCCTTCAATGTAATCACTCAGAGCCACATGACCAGGCCTAGAAACCTCCAGGTAAGGAGGTTCCCCGAGCTCTTTCAGGAAACCCAAATCAGGGCTTGGCCATACTCCCAGCCAGGAAGTTCACCCTCGTATCTAACCAACTGCTCTAATTGTACATCATTTATTTCCTTTTTTTTCCTGTCCTCAGAGGAGATGGGAAACAGCTGGGCACCACCCTTCAAGTCATAATTACCTTTTCCACATTCAAGGACAATCCAGTTGCTCCTTGGCCTCCTCTTTCTCAGCCTAAATCATCTTTCTCTAGCCCTTTAATCATATCCCGAGCTGTCCTTTGATCATAGCTAAGGGCTGGGTCCAGTCTGGGGCTCCAGGATTTTAATGAGGCCTCATTGCTACAGGATAGTGAGGAGGCCCTCCACCCCCCTTTTCTAGGGCCTCAGGGCCTGGACACACAGTCCCAGAAGGGGCACTGGGCAGAGAAGATGCACGCCGGCAGCAGAGAGGAAACTGAGCTGAAATTTGGCAAGAACAAAAGAACTATAAAGGCCTGTGCATCCAGCAAGGTGCATTCTTCCACGGTCACAAAAGAAGGCAAGACCGACTGCAGGCCTGGCCAAAGGGACCGCCTGCGTCTTCAGTGCACAACGAGACCTACAGTGGGCCGGTGATCCCCCCCAAAACAAAGATATGCCCACTTGGAACCTCAAATGTGACCTGATTCTGTTTAAGGGTCTCTGCAGAAAGAATTTAGGCAAGGATCTCAAGATAAGGTGGGCCCTAAATTCAATGCTGTGTCCTTCTAAGAGACAGAAAAGAAAGTACAGAGACACAGAAAAAGGCCTTGTGAAGACAGAGGCAGAGACCGGAGTGATGCAGCCACAGGCCAAGGAACACCTGGGGCCACCAGAAGCTGGAAGAGGCAAAGAAAGGTTTTCCCCTGGAGTCTTCAGAGGAAGCTGGCCCTGCTGGCACCTTGATTTCAGACTTCTGGCCTCCAGAACTGTGAGAGGACACATTCCCCTTGCTATAAGCCACCCAGTTTCGACAGTTGTTACAGCAGCCAGGAGAAACTCGTGCCTTATTCCCATCTGCATCATGCCTTGAGGTCAAAGCTTCATACAGCAAAGATGTCTAAGCAATCACAAACCCTGTGGGTAGCCCACCCGTCCAGCAGATCACTGTCCCAAGGGAAGGGGGATGGGGACAGGGAAGAGAGCCATAGGAAACCCCTGCACGCCTTTCTGGAAATGGGAAGGAGCAGGTCTGGAGAGAAACCCCACAGGTCAGGCCCCGGGGAAATGAAGCTTACAAAGCGTGGGAACGGAGTGGGGAGGAAATCCACGAGGAAGCAGCGTTTGGCGCACACATCCATATCCATGACCCCCCTCCAGGCACAGCCTCCATGGAGAGGCTCAGCTGGCAGGGAAGCAAAAGAGGCTCGGAGAGCGAAGGAAGGTGAGGGGCTTTCTCCCAGCAACACTGAGGCTCCAGACGGGACACCCCATTAGGTGGCAGGCTGTGTCCTCATAGACAGAGACTTCCCAAGGGCAGGGCCCAGATGGTCTTATCTCTGCGTGGCCTGACACAAAGTAGGCCTCCCAGAGCTGCCGAGCCCTGGGTCCGTCAGTGGCAGAGCCTTCCACAGCCCCTCAAGTTCCCACAGCCCCTCATCTTAGGAAACGGTGCTACCATCCACCTAGTTGCTCAAGCCAAGTCTCCGGGCACCACTGTTGACTCCTCTCTTTCCCTCACCCTCAGCATCCAAACCATGGTGCGTTTCTACCTCTAGTCTCTCTGCGAATCAGTCTGAACCTCCCTCCTCCAGTAGTGTGCCAGTTAACGGTCAACAACCGGCCACCTGGGGCCAGCAAAAGCAACAACACTCAGTTTCCCGATTTGTAGCGCTTGCCTATTCCTGTGGTGTCAATATTCCTGCCTTGGCCAATTTCTTTCTTTTCTTTTCTTTTTTGACAGGGTCTCACTCTGTCACCCGGTCTGGAGTGCAGTGGGGCAATCCTGGCTCACTGCAAACTCCACCTCCCAGGTTCAAGTGATTCTCCTGCCTCAGCCTCCCAAGTAGCTCGGATTACAGGCACCCGCCACCACTCCTGGCTAATTTTTGTATTTTTACTAGAGATGAGGATTCACCCTGCTGGCCAGGCTGGTTTTGAACTCAGATGATCTGCCTGCCTTGGCCTCCCAAAGTGCTGGGATTACAGGCATGAGCCATCGTGCCCAGCCGGCCAATTTCAAGTTATCTGTATGACATCATTGGAGGTGAGACTGAGAAGAGATGTTTAGTCACCACGAATATAGTGTTTCTATCATACAAATACAACCTCAAGAACATAACCGCAACAGGACAGACAATAGTTAAATGTTGCAAAAAACCTAAGAGGTGATGAAAGTTGTGTATTTATTATCTTTTGTTTTAAATATAATTACTTATAAGTAATTTTTTAATGTTTTGCTTAATTTTTCCTTCATAACTTGTAATTTAATTCATATTGTAAAAATCTATCATTTTTCTAATAGAGCAATGCATTTTTACTGTGATAAAATATATGTAATATAAAATTTACCATTTTTGGCCAGCCACCATGGCTCACGCCTGTAATCCCAGCACTTTGGAAGGCCAAGGTGGGTGGATCACCTGAGGTCAGGAGTTCAAGACCAGCCTGGCCAACATGGTGAAACCCTGTCTCTACTAAAAATACAAAAATCAGCCGGGCGTGGTGGCAAACGCCTATAATCCCAGCTCTCTGGGAGGCTGAGGCACGAGAATCGCCTGAACCTGGGAGGCGGAGGTTACAGTGAGCCAAGATCACGCCAGTGCACTCCAGCCTGGGCGACAGAGCGAGACTCCGTCTCAAAAAAAAAAAAAACAAAAACAAAAAAGACAAATTTACCATTTTAACCAAGTTTCCATGTTAGTGACATTAAGTACATTCACATTGTACACCCATCAACACCATCCACCTCCGAAACTTCTTCCAACTTCCCAAACTGAAACTCTGTCCTCATTAAACAATAACTCCCCATCCTTCCTTCCCCTAGCTGCTGGCAACCGTCATTCCAATTTCTCTATGAATTTGACTTCACATAAGTGAAATCATACAATATTTGTCCTTGTGAGACAGGCTTACGTAGCATGAGGTCTTCAAGGTTCATTATTCAAGGTTCACATGTAGTGACAGAATTCCGTTCCTTTTGAAGGCTGAATGATATTCCACTGTGTGTACACACACTTTGTATATCCATTCCTTCCACATTTGAGCAATTGAGAGTAAAGCTGCTACAAACATGGGTGTGCAAATATTTGTTCAAGTCCTTGCTTTTATTATTTTATTATTATTATTTTATTTATTATTAGCATTATTATTATTTTAGACAGTCTCACTCTGTCGCCCGGGCTGTAGTGTAGTGGCGTGATCTCGGCTCACTGCAACCTCCGCCTCCCAGATCGGAGCAATTCTCCTGCCTCAGCCTCCCGAGTAGCTGGGATTACAGGCACCCGCTACCATGCCCGGCTAATTTTTGTTTTTTTAGTAGAGATGGGGTTTCACCGTGTTGGCCAGGGTAGTCTCGAACTCCTGGCCTCAAGTGATCCATCCTCCTCAGCCTCCCAAAGTGCTGGGATTACAGACGTGAGCCACTGCGCCCAGCCATCACTTTAGTCTTAAACATCACAGCAACTCTCCCATTGTCCCATGAGACCCCTTGAGACAGTGGCTTTAGGGACTCCACACACACCTGTTCGATCCTGTGCAATGACAAAGCGCAGTTTCCTTTGCAGAATGGCAGAGTCGGGAGACTCCTGATGGGGCATGAGCCCAAAGGGGCAGAGGGGACGTTCAGAACACACATGGATTCTTCATGTGCGTTCTGCCAGCCACCAAGCAGACCTGCTCCAGCCTCGACATGCCCAGGATCACAGACAGTGCATGGTTTCCACCTGGGCCAAGCCCCCGGAACCCCTTCTCTCTTTACATCACCTGTACTGGGAGCAGCCACCAGGCTGTGGACCACTAAGTCTCTTTCAGGCCACCTGAGTTTGCATTTCCCCATTCAGCCTGACTGAGCCGGTGTGCAGCTACCACACCCCATCACACCCTCTGCCTGGCCGCTTCAATGCAACCATAAGGTTTCACTCAAAGAAGCACATGACCAATCTGTTCCCCAGACTTCCCAGTGATCCCCCCAGCCTGCTTTGTGCAGAACATTTACAGCAAAACCTGACCACAGCGGCCTGAGCTCTTATCTCCAAGGCAGGGGACTTTTTAAACAAAGTATTAGTGTTCTAAATTCATGATCTCCCAAGGAGGCTCCTGGCCTTCAGCACAGCAAATGCTCTGCTCCATGGCTCCCCGGTTCCCCACCCCCACCTCATCCGAGCTCCCCGCTCCGGCACTTGGGACTGAATCAGCTTGGAGTTCCCCAGCCCTGCTGCCTGCTGGCTCTGATGATACCACCAGGGACTGCAGCACTGCCTGGACCTTCTGTTGCTACATTTTATTGCAATAACATCCAACCTGATGGAACCCTGGGAGCAAGTGGCAGGGGCAGGGATGGTGGTGGTCAGGGGCTGCACACACACAGGACAGAAGGACTGAAGGACTGGGTGGAAAGTATGACCCCTCCAAGATGATCCCTCTCCAGCAGAACCCTGGCTGTGCCTCCTGAACAGCATTTGTTTATTTGCACACCTGGTGAGCTTTGTGATTAGTAAATTCAGATGCCTGGGAGGCCACCAGCGGCTCTGCTGAGGTATAACCCAGACATGATAGCTCATGTTTTCTTCCTGATCCTTCTCTCTTCACACAGTCCCATGACCAGAGCGTTCCTCCTACTCCTGTTCCTACTCCAGCCCCGCAAGACACAGTCGTGAAATGGCTAAAGTCTCCAACTTCCTAGCACCCGTCTGAGACTGGAGTACAAAAATGAGATGGGGACACAGTATCCCATGGACACCAGTGATGGAAAAAAACCCTCTGACCCTTCCGGGAGCTCTGCAAAGTCACACTAGGGGACAAGAAGGAGTGGCCAGCCTGGCACCGACCCAGCCTCAAAGCAGCCAGTGACTAAAGCACACAGCTGGTACCTCCTCACCCCCAGGGTACCAGGAGGCTTGGCTAGAACTCATGCCAGCCAGGAGAAACAGGCTGTCCCTGGGGCCCTTGGTGTCCTGGCCTCCCTACTGTTTTTCTGAAGAAGGCACCCTGCTCTGTGGGGTCTGAGGCTGGAGGCAACTTGCCACCGATGCAGTGCAGGGATGAGGGCTGAGTCACCAGCCTGCCCTAGTTCCACGTCAGCAGGAACAACAGGGACTCAAGCAGAGAAGAAAGCATTTATTTTCAAAGTCACCACAGTGACTGAGGCGACGTGGTCCCCAGGGAGCTCTCCTCCCTGCTGGCCCTCTGTGGACCGCGGCTCCATGTTCTAACAATGCCTCTGCCCATCCCGTAAGGCCCAGCAGGTGGAAGGAAAGAGGGTGGAGGTTGGGAGTGGCGGCCTGGCAACCCGGGAAGGGCAGGGAGCAGGAACATGCCCTCCCTCTTCTGCACCCGCTCAGAAGGCTCCACAGGGCCTGTCCTGCCATCCACAATCCCAGGGAGATCCTTCCTCAATGCCTGCCCTATAAATGCCCATCCACCCTACACTTGAACACCTCCAGTTACAGGGAGCTCAGTACCTACCTATGCCATTCATTCTATCTTTGGCTGTTCAAAAAAGAGGAAAGAGAGAGAAAGAAAAGATAGGAAAGACAGAGAAAGGGGGAAAGAGAGAGAGAGGAAAGAAAGAAAGAGGAAAGAATAAGACAGGAAGGAAAGAAAAAGGAAGGGAACGGAAGGGAAGGAAGAGAGGGAAGAAAGAGAGAAAGAGAGAGAAAGAGGTACAAACAAGGCAGGCTTCATGGAGCAGAGACTCAATAAGGGAGCAAAATACATCTGCAGTCAGGCTGTAGATGGATTTCTACAGGAGCGCATATCCACTCTACTCTTTCCGGAACAGAAAAGTGGAAAGAAGATGTAGCGGTGTGGGTGGGTGGCGGCTCTTTCTGGGGGCCTGGAATGTGGGGCATCAGCCCTCTTGGTTTTGAGAAGGAGACTAAGATCACCAACATCCACAGTGGAGACCGAACCACATAAGGGCTGGGGACATCGTCTCTTCTGCATCTCTAACAAAGACCCGATGCTCTAACTATGGGAACCTGTGGAAGAAGAAACAAAACTGGCTCTGGGGCCCTTTAGAGAACTGGTTTTCCATCCAGTGGTGGTTGTGAAGAAATTTCTGGAGCCAGCCTCAGCGGCCTGGGCCTGCACAGCTGAGACTGTCCCTGGAAGCTGAGTGGAAGTGGGGAGCCTCCAGGCACAGCTGGGCTCTGCTCCCCACCTCAGCCAGCAGCCCCAGGACTTCTGGGTGCTCCAGAGCTTTCTCCAGAGGGCAAATCCAGAGTATGAGGGAGCGGGGAGATGCCCAACATTGGGGGACCCCTGCCCGTCTCTGCCCCCAGCCTCGCTGACCTGAACAGGGAGGCCATGGGTGTTCAGGGGTAGAACTGTGGGCTGGCAAGCCCCCAGCCCTGGTCTCTTCCTGCCCCCCTCTCCTCACTGCCACTGACCATCTCTGGCTACATGTTGACACCTCCACAGGATGATGGAGAAGAGAGAAGAGGAACCTCTCCGCTCTGCCCAGCACACTCCAAAGAGGCTCCAGTGCAAAGGCACCGACGTTCACAGCCAAATGTGTGTGGGGGTTCCCCAGGAGTGGGACGCTTCCACTCCGTTCCAGACTGCCATGAATCGACAGAAGGTTTTATGTCACCAAATATACCCCATTAACAAATTACCCTAACACTCAGTAAAAAAATAAATAAAAATGCATGCACCCCGTGCCCTGCAGTGCCCCCATGCCGCACCCCTCTTTGCACCTGAGCCTCGGCTCGCGCTCTTGGCCTGCCGCCTTGGGAACAGAACGCTCTGCGTGGGAGGCAGACAGGAAGCGCGGGGTGCGCTGGCTGGGCCCCTCCAGACAATCTGGTATTGCTTTCCCCAGATAATGAAATCTTCCCCACCCTGAGTGTCTCTGGAAGCCAGCCGGCAGCCAGATCAACCTAAATGAACCATTTGTCCCTCCTGTGAAGTGACCTCAGGGACCTAATGGGTTTGTTATTAACACAGTCCCCCTCGCACTCTGTTCCCCCTCCTCACTTTTCTCCCCCTGCATGAGTCACTGGCCACGATGACTCGGCCCAGCCAAGGGACCTGGCCAGCTCTGGCCAGGCTATGTGAGAGACAGCACAAAGGACCAAGGCTGCCGGAACCAGGCCAGAGGCTGAGGGCCACACGGACCCCCTGGAGTGTCTGTAACTGGGGACTCCTAAGGCTGCTCCTTGGTTCTGGGGACCTGTCCACTTGGGGACAGTCTTAAGGGAGACTCTTAAAAGCAGGGAGCCAAAAGGGTGAACTAATACAGAAACACTGAGGGCCAGGGAGAACTTGAAGATGGGCTCGGCTGGGCACAGTGGCTCATGCCTGTAATCCCAGCACTTTGGGAGGCCAAGGTGGGCGGATCACCTGAGGTCAGGAATTCGAGACCAGCCTGGCCAACATGGTGAAACACCATCTCTACTAAAAATACAAAAATTAGCCGGGTGTGGTGGCAGGTGCCTGTAATCCCAGCTACTCAGGAGGCTGAGGCAGGAGGATTGCTTGAACGCAGGAGGCAGAGGTGGTAGTGAGCCAAGATTACACCACTGCACTCCAGCCTGGGCAACAGAGTGAGACTCCATCTCAAAAAAAAAAAAAAAAAAAAAAAAAAGACAGGCCCAAGGCCTGGAGAGCCAGAAGTCACCTTCCCACCTCTGGGTGGCCCACTTTGAGATTGTATCACGTCAGAGAAAGTTGCGGGAGTGTCTGTTTATAATTCATAAGCAACACTGTTTCCTTCTCCCACTAGCTCCTGGCTCTAGCAGGCCCCTGACTCGTGCCTTCCCCAGGGTCTTGGGTCCCCCCAAGCTGGACTCCCGGCTGTTGGTGGGATGACCATGTGACCTGTCACTTCCCTGCCCACCGTCCTGGGCAGCCTCTGTCACCTGGTGCATACAGAGTGGAGCTCAGCAAGGCCGGGGCCGCCGATCTCCTGCCAGCCACATCTGCCTCCTCTCACGCCACTTCTCCCCGCCTTGGTCATGCCCAGGGGCTCACACTTCCCCACAAGCCAGGTGCCAGACCTCTGTGCCTGCCCTATCCTGTTCCCTCTGCCTGGTGGGCCCCTCACACCCTCCCTGGCCTGACTCAGGCCTGATCTGTCTTCAGGTCTCAGCTCAGAGGCTGCTTCTTCTAGGAAGCCTTCCTGGGATCGTCAGATGAAGGGATTCTCCTCTGGACCCTTCTTCTATTTTCACAGCCTCAGGAACAGCCTCTAACTCAGGCCTTACTGAGTTAGTGTGGCATCCAGGAGAGCCACAAGCGTGTGACGAACGTGTTGAAGCCTTTTTAAAAGCTGAAGGAGCCCTGTGAACATACAGCAGCATCAGCTCAGACTGCGAAGGCACAGGGGAGTCAGCCTCCTTCAGCCTCGTCTGCCCCTGGCCTTCCTCTTGAGGAGGTGGGAGCCAGTCAGCTGGGATTAGGAGGTGGGCTTCATGGAGTAGAGACTCAATAAGGGAACAAAATAAATTAGAGAATTCTTTTGCTGCAAGGAACCTAGACAAGGAGCACCCAGTCAGAGGAGGAAGGAAGAGACCGGCAGCAGACCTCCCTTGCCCCAGCAGTCCTGCAAGCCAGATGGGCCAACTTCTCAGCACAGCTGTTCTCCAGCACAGAGAAATTTCTCACCTTCAGCAACAGGGTGGGAACATTCCCAGACAGGGCCACGGCTACTCTGGTCACAGGGACCACGGAGTCTGAGTCTCTGTGGCTTGTCCCATCCATGTGGCCACAGATCTTGAGCACACATCTGGAGCTACAGAGCCCAAAGGGCAGGGCAGGGCAGGGAATCTGCCTGATTGGTGAAGGCCACCCCACCATCTGGAGTACAGGCCTCTGCCCCCAAATCCACATGGAGCCTCCGATACGGGGCATCGATTTCAAGGAGGTGAATGTGGACATTCAAGGCCAGTGAATGGCCAGGTGTCAACACATCGACAGGCCCTTGGCCCCTCCCCCAACACTGAGGGTAGGAAACAAATGGGGTCTACATGGTGCATATGGTCTCCAGAGCCAGCAAGGTGTGCAAGACCCGGCAGCTGAGAAAACTGACCACTTGGCCGGGCGCGGTGGCTCACGCCTGTAATCCCAGCACTTTGGGAGGCCGAGGCGGGCGGATCACGAGGTCAAGAGATCGAGACCATCCTGGCTAACACGGTGAAACCCTGTCTCTACTAAAAATACAAAAAATTAGCCGGACGCGGTGGCAGGCGCCTGTAGTCCCAGCTACTCCGGAGGCTGAGGCGGGAGAATGGCGTGAACCTGGGAGGCGGAGCTTGCAGTGAGCCGAGATAGCGCCACTGCACTCCAGCCTGGGCGAAAGAGCGAGACTCCATCTCAAAAAAAAAAAGAAAAGAAAAGAAAAGAAAACTGACCACTCGATTATGAATAAGCTAGAACATTTATCCAGAAAAAAAAAACAGCTTTGTCCAATTGGGGACCTAAAATCTCAGGACCTATGTCCCCTTCCTATAGAGCCACATCACTTTCCTAATGCCCACCCTCGATCCCACCTGCCTGCCAAGCTTCAGGTATCCAGAACACAGCATGACAGCAAGCTCTGTGATTCCCACAGGTTTTCCCAACCTACCCCAGGCATAGCTACATCTTTAGTTCTGAGCAGCAGGGAGTGACATGCAGATGGTCACCCAGACAGAGAAAGACCTTCAAAAGGAGGGCAGGCTCTGTCCCGCAGGCAGTACCTATTGACACAGACATCAGTAGGCAAATCTTTCAGGAAGATTTTCATTAAGAAAGAACGAAAGAGGCCCAGTGCGGTGGCTCACGCCTGTAATCCCAGCACTTTGGGAGGCCAAGGCGGGTGGATCACCTTAGGTAAGGAGTTCGATACCAGCCTGGCCAATGTGGTGAAACCCCATCTCTACTAAAAATACAAAATTTAGCTGGACGTGGTGGTGGGCACCTGTAATCCCAGCTACTTGGGAGGCTGAGGCAGGAGAATCACTTGATCCCAGGAGGCAGAGGTTGCAGTGAGCCAGGATCACACCACTGCACTCCAGCCTGGGGGGCAACAGAGAGAGACCCCGTCTCAAAAAAAAAAAAAAAAAAAAAAAGGATGAAAGACAAACAAGGCTGAAACTGGCAGGCTGGTACATTTCTAACAACCTACCCTAGGCCGGGCGCAGTGGCATAATGCCAGCATTTTGGGAGGCCGAGGAGGGCAGATTGCGAGGTCAGGAGATCGAGACCATCCTGGCTAACACGGTGAAACCCCGTCTCTACTAAAAATACAAAAAATTAGCCGGGTGTGGTGGCGGGCGCCTGTAGTCCCAGCTATTCTGGAAGCTCAGGCAGGAGAATGGTGTGAACCAGGGAGGCGGAGCTTGCAGTGAGCGGAGATCGCATCACTCCACGCCAGCCTGGGCGACAGAGCGAGACTCCGTCTCAAAAAAAAAAAGAAACAAAAAACAAAAACAACAAAAAAAAAACAACCTACCCTAGTAGGGAGCAGGAGGTAAGGCCTGATATGTAGTGTTTGCCAATTCCTGTGGTGTAAACACACCCACTGTGGCAAATTTCAAGCTACAAACAGGACATCACTAAACACAGAGTTGGGAAAAGACATGCACACCACTGGATAAAACGCTCAGGCAGCTACGGCTTATTCTTCCCTGGGAAGGGGGGTATGTCTAGAATGCCCCTTACTATGGAGAATGACTGTGGCAAATAGGGTTCAACTGGCAGGCTGACCCAATCAACTGCCCACTGATGTGATGTGGGGCAGGTTTCTGAGGCTGCCTCCATGCTCAGGGAAGAAGGTGGCCATGTGGCTACAGACCTGGCCCTGGGTTTGCTTTTTTTTTTTTTTTTTGAGACAGAGTTTTGCTTTTTTTCTCCAGGCTGGAGTGCAATGGTGTGATCTTGGCTCACTGCAACCTCCGCCTCCTGGGTTCAAGCAATTCTCCTGCCTCAGCCTTCCAAGTAGCTGGGATCACAGGTGCCCACCACCATGCCCAGCTAATTTTGTATTTGTAGTACAGATGGGGCTGTTGGCCAGGCTAGTCTCAAACTCCTGACCTCAGGTGATCCACCCACCTTGGCCTCCCAAAGTGCCAGGATTACAGGCATGAGCCACTGCGCCCACCCGGGTTTGCTATCTTGAGGATACATCTGGAGTTATGTGCTCATGATTTTTTTTCCATTTTAAAACTTTGATTTTATTTTATTGTTTTTAGAGACAGGTCCTGCTCTGTCACCCAGGCTGGAGTGCAGTGGTGCAATCATAGCTCACTGCAGCCTCGAACTCCTAGGCCCAAGCGATCCTCCCATCTCAGCCTCTCGAGTAGCTGGGGCTGGGTCTACAGGTGCCACCACACTCAGCTACATTTTATATTTTTTTGCAGAGACAGGGTCTTGCAATTTGCCCAAACTGGTCTCAAACTCCTGGCCCCAAGCAATCTTCCCACCCTCAGCCTCACAAAGTGCTGGGATTATAGATGTTAGCCAGTGCACCCAGCAGCCATCATGATTGACTGGTGACGTCTGTTCCAGCTCCAGGATGAAAGAGCAGTAGCACTTCAGCCAAGCATTTGTGGCTCCTGATTGGAAGACGTTTTTCTTGCCCCTTAAGCACAGTGCAAATGCCACCTCCTTGGTAAGCTCTTTTCCAATCTTACTTTCTCCCTGGCATAGGGCCTGCCACAGCTCTGTTCATACAAAGAGAGCTATCAGTGCATGTGGTACAGATGCTAGTTGTTTCCCCAATATCTGAGCTCCCTTTTTTCTATAGTAACTGAAGTTTTGGTTGTGCACAGGGAAGCCCAGCTGAAGAATACATTGCTCAGCCTCCCTGATGACAGGAGCGGCCATACAACTGGGTTCTGGCCAGTGGGAAGGAGCTGAAGTGTTTAACTTTCAGGTCATGCCCTTAAAAATAAAGAGGGACACTTGCCCTTTCCCCTCTCCCTTCTTCCCTTCCCTCTGGCTGGAGTGCAGACATGACGGCAGGAGCTGGAACCATCTCAGCTCAAGAGATGGAAGCTGTGTGTCGAGGATGCACCAAAGGAATGAACTAGGTCCGGGCTGTCCTGGGCCCCCATAACGACTGACACTTGGACTGGGACGTGGGTCCGAGTGCTGCTCAGCCTCTGATGTTTTAGCTTTTGTTACACAGCCAGATGGTGCCTTGACTAACTCAAGGTATGGCCATCATCCCACCTGTCTGGCAGGGCAGGGGTCTCATCTTTATACGCTGAGCCCCTGGCAGAATCTGGTGCAATATACATAGTTAAAGCAAAATGAACAGGCTACTTTAACCAAGGTTTATTTTGTGGGTTGGTTTTGGCATTTGGTTTTAATTTTTATTTTATTTTATTTATTTATTATTTTTGAGACAGAGTCTCACACTTGTTGCCTAGCCTAGAGAGGAGTGGTGCGATCTCGGCTCACTGCAACCTCCACCTCCCAGGTTTAAGTGATTCTCGTGCCTCAGTAGCTGGGTAGCTGGGTTCTCCTTGAGTAGCTGGGACTACAGGTGCACGCCACCATGTCTGGCTAATTTTTGTATTTTTTGTAGAGATGGGGTTTTACCATGTTGGCCAGGCTGGTCTTGAACTCCTGACTTCAAGTGATCCACCCGCCTTGGTCTCCCAAAGTGCTGGGATTACAGGCATGAGCCACCGTGCCTAGCCAGTTTTGGTATTTGGAACTGGAAAATAACAGTCTGAGCTTCAGAGGGGACAAACACAAACATGAGGCAGAAGGAACAGCAAGTAAACACGTGCCCAGAGTAGGCTGGGCTGCTCACACCCCCAAAACATCGCCAGGTGCTGAGGCCTGGGCTCTGTGTCAGACTCCTGGGTGCAGACCCCGTGGGGACATTCACTGGGTAGTGGGACTTTTGGCAAGTTACACCACCTCTCTGAGCTTCCGTTGACTAAGCTGTCCATTGAGAACAATACCTAGATTGAAAGGACTCATAATAACATGTGAAAAGTGCCTGGCCTAAAATAGGAGCTTGGTAACTGGTAGCCCTCATTATTTATAACATACAGTTTAACGCCCTCGTTTCATAGGAATGAAAACAGGACCTAGACAGGCAAAATGATTTGCTGAGGGTCGCACAGTGTTAATGACAGAGCCAGGATTAGGGCTTGGGGTTCTGACCCCTCCTGCAGCACCCTGGCTTTGTGAGAAGTGGTCCTGGGTGAATACAAGGAGTGAGGAGTTGGTGAGAAATTTTGAAAATGAAGCTGGGTGTGGTGGTGGATGCCTGCGGTCCCAGCTACTCAGGAGGCTGAGGCAGGAGGATTGCTTGAGCTCGGGAGTTGGAGGCTGCAGTGTGCTATGACTGCACCACCGCACTTCAGCCTAGGTGACCTAGCAAGATCCCATCTCAGAAAAGGAAAGGAAAGGAGAGGGGAGGGGAAGGGAGGGAATTTCTGACAGTGATTCCAGAGATAATCAGGATGACCTGAAATTACTTTGAAATGCACCAAAAAATAAAAATAAAATGGATTCATGGCCAGGCGAAGGAGGGATAGATGGACGGTGAGGTGATAAAGCAGGTGTAGCTTGGTGTTAGTGGTAGAATCTAGGTGATGGCTGAATGTGTTCCCTGTAAAATGCTTTCAACTTGACCATGTGTTTTGAACATTTTCACAACAGAATGGAGGGAAGAGAAAGGTAAGAGGGAGCCACTGTAGCTGTTGCAGCAGGAGCAGACCCCAAAACACCATGCATCAGACTTTCAGCCCTGCCCCTGTGGATGTGTCCTTGTTCTTCTTCTTGGGATTTAAGGACATTTAATGAGCGCATGTGTCTTCAAGCCCCCTTGCTTCCCCATCTGCCCCCACACCTGGAAGATTCCACAGGTGGCGTGGGCCAGCTCTCCATCCTGCCCTTTGTGCCCTCAGTGCATGACAGACACTGAGTGAGTGTCAGCCCCTTCCTCCGACACCTTGTCTGCCTGTCCAGAGAGGTCCCCCCACAGCCCAGCCACCAGGTTGATGCTTCTGGACGTCTGGCCGACAGCTTCCTCAGCTGTGTTCTAGTGACCTGGCAGGTGTCCTGAGTCATAAATAAGGCCACTAGTGGATGTTTCCAAAGCTTCCCCTACCACGGCGCCTTCCCCTCTCCCACCAACAGTCCGTCATGACAGCCAGCCTGCATGAGCCTTTTCCTAGGGTTGTGTCTCCTGAGGCTGCTCAGCGCCTGGCCTGCCAGAGCCCACCAGACAGGGTGCCCACCCTTTCCAGGCCTGAGTTCCCACTTAGAGAACCACTTACAGAAGGACAATGGAGAAAGGCAGTTGGGGCACCAAATGGAGTGTGCCTGCATGTGGGGGGGGAGGGGAGGGGGAGGGAAAGCAGGAAGAGAAGATACAAGAGGAGAAATAAGAACAAGAGGAAACATAGAAGGAGGAGGAGCAGCCCCCTTCATGGGGGTGGACTCTGTGTCCAGTTCTCTACCAAGGACACTACATTTATCACCTCGCTTGGTTCCCACGAATACCTTCAAGGTCGCTCCCCCCTGGCCCCCATTTTTCCATCAGGAAGCGGAGGCACAGAGTGAGAAAGAGCTGCCCAAGGCTCCCAGGCAGTTCACGGAGCCACTGGGAGTTACACTCAACCCGTCCAACCCCACGTCCCTGTTCTCAGCCACCACAATAAACCACCAAGGTTCCACAGCCACAGGAGCTCAGCCCGGAGTCCCCACCGGGTCTCCCAAGGCAGGGAGATGGGGCTGGAGGCCATGCCAGGTGCACGGTGCCCAGAGCTGCTTAGGAAGCCTCGCGGTGCGGGCTGGGCACCAGGCAGTGTCTGTAGGATGGAGAAATGAATGAGGCTGAGACACAGTGTCGCCTCTTCCAAACGTGACTTTCCCTGAGTCTCTGTGATTGGTCACCTGAGAGGGCAGCCCTGGTCTCCTGGCGTTTATGTCCGGGTCTAGAGATGCCCTCCCCAGCCAGGTTTTCTTCTGAGGATGGAAACTCAGAACCTCACCACAGGAGGAAGAGCTGGGAGCACTTCATTTTTTTTTTTTTTTTGAGACGGAGTCTCGCTCTGTCGCCCAGGCTGGAGTGCAGTGACGCGATCTCGGCTCACTGCAAGCTCCGCCTCCTGGGTTCACGCCATTCTCCTGCCTCAGCCTCCCGAGTAGCTGGGACTACAGGCACCCGCCACCACGCCCGGCTAATTTTTTGTATTTTTAGTAGAGACGGGGTTTCACCGTGTTAGCCAGGATGGTCTCGATCTCCTGACCTTGTGATCCGCCCACCTCGGCCTCCCAAAGTGCTGGGATTACAGGTGTGAGCCACCGCGCCCGGCCAGGGAGCACTTCTAAGACCTCTGCGGAGGGTTGCTCAGGTCCAAGTCCTTCACCATGGAAGGCCTTTCAGATGCGGCAGCCACGGTGCATGGGTTGAGGGTCTCCACCCACCAAGAAGCAGGAGCATCTGATGCACATTCAGCCCACGATCCCCATCCACTTGGGGGCTGTGCCTGCAGCCACGTGACACAAGGGAACAGCCACAGCAGTGGGCCACAAAGAGAGTGTGGGCTAATGTGCAGGGGCAGAATCTTGACAGCCTCCCATGGGCTGGCAGCAGGGAGGGGCACATTTGCACAAATCCTACACGCACAGCCCTTCACACACATGTGGCTGACAATCACCCACACATCCAAGACGGGATCTGGCGCACAGCCCACCAGCAACAGGCGCTGGCAATCCCCAGCTGCTCCCCTGCTGCGGCGCAGACACCATTCAAGGTGGGATGGAGAGAGTCACTGCTTCCAAGGTCACACACCCCAAAGGGAGATGCTGGGCCACGGAATGAAAACAGGAGGATCAGCCAGAGTCATTGGCTCTGAGTCACACAATGGGACATATAGGCCCATTCATTCCACATTTTTATTGAGCAACTACAACGAGCTAAGCTGCACAGATCATCCAAATAATCGGCACGTAGAAAAGCATTCTAATCCTTTCCTGGCCCTGACGTGATGGGAAGAACTTGGACTTCTGGAGTCACAGAGCTGGATGGAAATCCTGGCTCAGCCAATTATTGGCTGGGGGAGCCCGGGCAAGTGACTCAAGGCCTCTGAGCCTGTTTCCTTGTAAAAGAGCAGTGCTCGGGCCTGCCACGCCAGGTCAGGGCAAGATGACTGAAGAGCAAGCGCCCAGCACCGGCCAGGGGTCAACGTCCTCAAGGACGCAAAGTGCAACAAGCAGGCGTCACGATTGCACCGCCCTCCACTGTCTGTGGCAAACACACAAGCAAAGATGGCTTCGCGCCTGCGCTGGGGGAGGCAGGGAATTGGCCTCAGGAGGACGCTGGCCCCCTCAGCTGCTTCTCCCAAAGCTTCTTGGGAGGAGAAATGATCCACCCCAGCTGCTGGGAGCCTCAACCCACAAGCAGGCCTGTCCACCCGGCAGCGGCCGCATGCAGGCAGGAGGGGCTCCGGCAGCCTCCAAGAGTGAGGGGTCGTTCAGCCCTCCCCCAGCTGGAAAGGAGGCTCCAGGCTGGGCAGGAGCATTTGGGGAAATCCAGTCCCTGGAGCTAGGTCATACCAGGGAGATGAGGCTGCTAGAAGCTTCCTTGGTGCCCACAGCAAAACACAACCAAAGTGGGACCCAGACCCCAACCAGCTCAAGGCCTGACTCACATCAGAGGGAAACTAGCGCCTGCCGCATGAGTGAGCGTTCATGTGCGTGTAAGGTAGAGACAGACCTTGGGCAAGTCCCTTTATCCCTCTACGCCTGTTTCCTCATCTATAAAACGGGGTAACACTACCTACTTCACAGGGTTGTCATGAAACAAACATGCATCAATATTTGTAAAGTGCTGAGAACAGCATCTGGCACAAAACAAGAGCGACAGATTTGCTAAATAAGTAAAAAATAAGACACAAGCTTAAAGCAGAGCTTGGTACACCGTGAGCATCAAGAGCTGTGCTTCTTGACCCTTCTTCTCTGTGGAGATCCTCCCACCAGAAGTGGGAGGGACTGCCGAGGCTGGAGCCTTGTTCTAGGGACCCTTGTGGGGAGTCTTTCAGCCTAGAGGGATCTGTCTCACGGACTATACCTGCCTCGGGTCTTCGTGTTCTTGTGCATGTGTGCATACATGTGTGCACACACATGCAATGTGCGTGTGTGCATTCTCATGGACTTGTGACAATCTGCACACACATGCCCAGAACCCATCTGACACAGTGTTTCATTAAGATGTTGGAGCTCCGATGAATGGATTGCGGGGCTGAGACACTGTTTCCACAGGAAGCTGCCTCAGCAGCAAGCCTCCTGGTCCTCACAGACAACCAAAAAGAATGGAGCCTGCTCTCATTCCCTGCCCTAAAAATGATGCATAGTGTGTGGGGCCTGATGCTGGAGGCCCCTCTAGTAGACATATCCCCAATAACATTACATTCTGAAATTCAAGTTGTCGTAAAATAAGACAAGCAAAGATGGTATTGGCAGGGACCTCTGAGGTCCCTTCTATGCACTCCTGAACAACTCCCACATGGCCCCTGCTTGAATGCTTCCAGGCATGGGGAACTCACTACCTTGTGAAATAGCCTGTTCCACCGTCCTCAAGTGAACATTGTGAGAAAAACACCTCTTTCTGTAAAGAGTCAAGCTCTACTCGCTAGCACCTTCCAGGTACCTGGTACTAGCTTCATATCTTGGGGGAACTCAAAATAAATGCTCCCTTTCTACCAGACAACCCACCAACTACTTGGAGACAGTGGCTGTAGCCCCTTGCTCCATGCAGCCACCCCATCCAGTCTCCTTCTGGAATCTCTGACGTGAACACAAGCCCTCTTGCCACGCAGGTCCCTCTCCTGGGCCCCTCACCCACCTGCGCACACCCTGGAGAGGCCGTTCGTTCTGTGGGTGAGACCCATTGTGGGTTGAATTGTGTTCCCCCAAAAGACATATGCAAGTCCTGACCCCCCAGTACCTATGAATGTGACTTTATATGGACATAGGGTCTTTGAAGATGTAATTGGGTTATTTGAGGGCATATTGAATCAGAGTGGGCCCTAAATCCAATGACAGGTGTCTTTATAAGACAGAGGTAGGCTGGGCACAGCAGCTCATGTCTCTAATCCCAGTGTTTTGGGAGGCAAAGTCTCATTGCCTGAGCGCAGGAGTTTGAGACCAGCCTGGGCCCTCGTCTCTACAAAAAAATTAAAAAATTAGCCAGGCATGGTGGCGTGCGCCTGTGTCCCAGCTACTTGGAAGGCTGAGGTGGGAGGATTGCTTGAGCCTGGGAGGCTGAGGCTGCAGTGAGCCATGATCACGCCACTGCACTCCAGCCTGGAGGACAGAATGAGAACCTGTCCCTAAAAATAAATTAAAAAGACAACAGAGAGGGCAGTTTGGACAGAGACACAAGAAGAGACACAGGGTGAAGGCCAGGTGGGGGGTAGGCCGAGCTGCAAGCCGAGGAATACCAGGGGTTGCTGGCCGCCGCAGAGCTCGGAGAAAGGCATGGGACAGTCTCCCTCGGAACCCCCAGGAGGAATGAACCTTCAGACACCTCGGTCTGGGATTTCTGGCTCCAGAAACTTTAGGGAAGACATTTCGGATGTTTTTGTTTTTGTTTTTGTTTTTGTTTTTGAGACGGAGTCTTGCTCTGTCACCCAGGCTGGAGTGCAATGGCGCGATCTCGGCTCACTGCAACCTCCACCTCCAAGGTTCATGCCATTCTCCTGCCTCAGCCTCCTGAGCAGCTGGGACTACAGGCACCCACCACCACGCCCGGCTAATTTTTTTTTTTTTTTTGTATTTTTAGTAGAGACGGGGTTTCACCATGTTAGCCAGGATGGTCTCGATCTCCTGACCTCGTGATCCAACCGCCTCGGCCTCCCAAAGTGCTGGGATTACAGGCATGAGCCACCGCACGTGGCCGATTTCGGATGTTTTGAGTCACCTCATTTGTGGTCCTTTGTTATGACAGCCGCAGGACAGTAACACAGGGCCTCAGCAGGGTGGCCCGGCAAGGGCCCCTCCCCCACGGCAGCCCTTATTTTGTCTCATCTGCAGGGTCACCCAGATGCTCACCCCGGCTCTGGTCAGCAAGTGTCAGTGCATTTTCCCACGTCCAGCAGTAAGGGCAGCACCGCTGCTGACCAAGCACCTGCCATGTCGGGGCCCCTGTGTGGTCCTGGGGCTCCTCTCTCCTGTTCACACTTGGCAGCTCAGTTCCCTTCTCTGCACCTCATCTGATGCCGGGGCTCTGGGCAAGCCTGGGGGACCTGTGCTTTATTTCACAGATTTCCCAGCTGACTTCATCAGCCCCTGCACAGGGCCCGCCTGAAGGGCCGCTGGGCTGGGCGCCAACCAGAGTCCTCAGCAGCAGCCTTCTCGGCTCTCTGACCTTGGCCCATGTCTCAGGGGCAGGGCCTCCAAGGGCCCTGGGGCCGCCTCTGAGGTCAGCCTTCCTGCTGACCGCAGCTCACACAGAGGAGGGCCTAACCTTGAGTGTGGCCGCCCGTGACCTTGAGAGATGCCCAGAGCTGCAGACGTGTCTCCCAAGCCCTCCAGAGCCCGGGACAGGAGCCACTCAATGTCCCCAGTGCCATAGGCAAAATTTGCTCTTCTCAACATAAACTGTCCCCAGCCCCACTTAATGTTCCCTTCAACGAGCAGCAACAAAAACATGGTTTTCTGCCAAAGGTGGGGCCTACAGTTTCCCAGAACCCGGTTTCCTGCCAGGCCTAGGTACAATCCACAGGAGTGCTCGCCCCTGACTCGTGTGTGTGTGTGTGTGTGTGTGTGTGTGTGTGTGTGTGTGTTGTGTGCACGCGCACATGTGCCTGCGCAAGTCCCTCCATGTGCAGCCTTGGGAAGGGTGGAGAGGCTCACGGAAATTCTTTCTGGCACTTAGTAAGCCAGAAAAAAGGAAAATGAGATCTGTGTACACATGTGCAAGTGCATACACAGCACACAGGCACACACATATACACACTCAGCACACACCACACAGGTCCACACGTGCACACATGTGCAGGCACACACCACACAGGTCCACACGTGCACACACATGGGGGCACACAGCACACAGGCACACACAGGCACACACACCCCCCTGCAGGAAAGCCCTTCCTTGTCTTTCACTCTGCAGGGTCCTCAGGCTTCATGAAACAAGATTGAATTTTGGAAGTTTGATAAAAGGTCTGTCTGGAGCATTCTGGTCATCTCCACCAGCCCTTCTAGTTGTGGAAGGCATGCCTCGTGGCATCTACCCACCTCCTGTTCCCACCCTCACCCCCGCCCCCGTTTCCTCCTCTCTGCTCCTTTAGCCCACATGCTGCCTGCTCCAATCCCAACCTTTGCACTTGGACGGGAATTATTTCCTCTGTAGAAGGGTGTAATGCATGTGGGGACACACACACACACACACACACACACACTGCACTGGAGGAGAGAAGAGAGGCAGAGCTTCTTCCAGATCTAGAGCTCTAGCGAGTGACGGGATTTCTCCTAGAGAACACGTGCAGAAGTCTGCGTTACTGGAAGAAGACACTACCCTGACTCACACTCTCTCTCCTCTCTCTCGTCTCTCTCACAGAGAAGGAAAGGCCCCAGCAAACAGTGGTCATGTGGGCCTCCTGCATGCCACTGGTAGCCCCCCAGCTAGGACCACCTCTCCTTTATCCCTGGAAGCACAAGAACAGAGAGAAGGGTGAGTTTCTGCCTTTGGGGGCTCCTTTCTGCACCCCTCTGGAGCTAACCCCAGGGCTGTGGGCTGCACAGGAAGGAGGGCTCAACAGGCTTCCCGCCCAACCCTGCCCCTCTAGTGAGGAGCCGACCCACCCTGTCTGCAAAAGATGCTGGTTGGGACCTGATGCTGGGCAACTTGAGGAGAAGAGAAGGGGGACAGGGGCTGAGGCCAGGCCCCTGGCCCTGAAACAGCCATAACTCCTGGGGTAGAGTCCAAGGGTGCTAGGCTGGAGACCCCACATTCGGCCAGCTGGCAGTCACCACCCTGGTCTAGCCAGTGGTCTAGGGCACCATAGCCACCCAGACCAGGAATTCCACTTTTCTGGACTGTACTAATGAGGAAGGTTGAGCCTGTAGGTTTTACACACTCATGGCAACTTCAAGGCAGAGAGGCCACTGCCAACTGAGGGCCACGGGCAGGAGCTTTGTGAGCCCATCAGCAAGTCTGGAAGATCAAGGCTCCTGGTCACAGAGAGTAGCTGCTATCTGGTCAATTCTGCAGAAAACATTATAGCTCTGGACAAAATATTTGAAAGAACAAAATAACAACAGCCTGGAGTCAGTATAGAATATCTCAAGTAGGTAGAAGCTGGAGTAGAGTCTACACCTGACAGAGGGGAATAAAACTAGATAAGTTTCTGGTTTCTGGAGGCTTTTTTGCCCAGAGGTAGGTACTGAGCAATCAAACTTGGATAAAAAGTCTTAAAAGCATCCAGGGAAAAACAACATGTGGTCTACAGGGGAATAGCTAGATGAATGCTGATTCCTTGACAGAAACAACGGAGGCCAAAGACACTGGAACCCTATATTTTAAAGTCCTGAAAGAAAAAACTGACAACTCAGAATTCTATAACCAGTGAAATTATGGTTCAAGAATGACAGCAGGCTGGGCACAGTGGCTCACACCTATAATCCCAGCATTTTAGGAGGCCAAAGCAGGCAGATCACTTGAGGTCAGGAGTTCGAGACCAGCCTGGCCATCATGGTGAAATCCCATCTCTACTAAAAATACAAAAATTAGCTGGGTATGATGGCACATGCCTGTAGTCCCAGCTACTTGGGAGGCTGAGGCAGGAGAATCGTTTGAGCCCGGGAGGAGAAGGTTGGTGAGTTGAGATTGGGCAGGAGTTTTGAAATCACACCATTGCACTGTAGCCTGTGGGGAGACAGAGTGAGACTCTGTCTCAAAAATAAAAATAAAAATAAAAAAAGAAAGAATGACAGCAAAATAAAGATTTGCAGATAAGTGAAAATGAAAGGGAATTAGCTGTCTGCAAACCTGCACTACAAAAACCGTGAAGCAAGTTCTCCAAGATCATGGGAAATGAGACCAGATGGGAACTCAGCTCTTCAGGAAGGAATGAAGAGCACAGGATATAGCAAATACATGGGCAAATAGAAAAGATTCTGTTTTACTTTTAATTTCTTTAAAATGCATGGGGCTGTTTAAAGCAAAAATTTCCTTATTGTATTGTCTAGTTTACAATGTGTATGGATGTAGTAAATATCTAACAACCATCACATACAGGATGGAAAGTGGTAAATGAACCCATAGGATTGCCTAGTTCTTACACTTTTTTTCCATGAAGAAAAACAATGTTAATTCTAAGTAGACTGTGAAAAGCTAAGAATGTGCAATAGAATCTATAAAGTAACTACTAAAATAGCAATACAAAGAGATACAATTAAAAAGTCAAAACAGGCCGGGCTCAGTGGCTCACGCTTGTAATCCCAGCACTTTGGGAGGCCAGGGTGGGCGGATCGCCTGAGGTCAGGAGTTCGAGGCCAGCCTGGCCAGCATGGTGAAACCCCGTCTTTACTAAAAATACAAAAATTAGCCGGCCGTGGTGGCAGGCGTCTGTAATCCCAGTATACTAGGGAAGCTGAGGCAGGAGAATCACTTGAACCCAGGAGGCAGAGGTTGCAGTGAGCCAAGATCATGCTATTGCACTCCAGCCTGGGCAACAGAGTGAGACTCTGTCTTAAAAAAAAAAAAAAAAAAAAAACATAAATTAAAATAGAATTCTAAAAAATACTTAATTAACATAAAAGAAGCCAAGAAAGCAAGATGAAAGAAATAAATATCAAAGAGCAAGGTAGTAGCTCTAAACCCAGTCATATCTATAACTATGTTAAACAGAAATAGCCTGAATATTCCAATTAAAAGGCGGAGGCTGTCAGAATGAATAAAATAGCAAGACTCAACTATATACTATCTACAAAAGATGCTGTTTCAGTATAAACACAGGTTGAAATTTTCTGTTTGGAAAAAGACATACTGATGCTGCTTGAATGATGATGGAGTTATGTCTTGACAAACCCATCATAAGTGGAAAATAAATATCATCTCAAAAATGCACTTAATACATCTAACTTACCGAACATTCTAGCTTAGCCTAGCCTACCTTAACATGATTAGAACACTTACTTCAGCCTACAGTTGAGCAAAATCAACAAACACAAAGCCTATTTTATAATAAAGTGTTGACTATCTCATGTAAGTTATTGAATACTGTACTGAAAGTGAGAAACACAATGGTTTCACACATACTTAAAGTACAGTTTCTACTGTATACATACCACGTTCGCACCATGGTAAAGTTGAAAAACTGTAAGTCAAACCATCATAAGTTTCTCCATAAGCCTCTCCAGCCTTCTTATGCATCCCAAACAGCATGTTTAAGAAGGCTGGAGAGGCTACATAAATATCAATAAAGTTGAGTCCAAGATAAAATTATTACGAGATAAAGGAATACATTCATCATGGTTAAATGATCAGTTCATCGAGACACCATTATAATCATAAATGTGTATGCACCTAACCAAAGGAGCTTCAAAATACATGATATAAAACCTGAAAGAATTAAAGGGAGAAATGGGCAATTCCACAATCATAGGTGGAGACTCTTTTTTTTTTTTTTTGAGACGGAGTTTCACTCTTGTTGCCCAGGCTGGAGTACAATGGTGCAATCTCGGCTCACTGCAACCTCCACCTCCTGGGTTCAAGCGATTCTCCTGCCTCAGCCTCCCGAGTAGCTGGGATTACAGGAGCCTGCCACCACGCCCAGCTAATTTTTGTATTTTTAGTAGAGACAAGGTTTCACCATGTTGTCCAGGCTGGTCTCAAACTCCTGACCTCAGGTGATCCACCCGCCTTGGCCTCCTGAAGTGCTGGGATTACAGGTGTGAGCCACTGCGCCTGGATGCATAGTTGGAGATTTTAACACCACCTCAGTTCATTCAGGATGTTAAAACAAAATGCCTTAGGCTGGGTAATTTATAAACAGATTGTAGTGCTCACAGTTCTAGAGGCTGGGAAGTCCAAAATCAGGGTGCTCAGTGTCTGGTGAGAGCTAGCTCCCTGCTTCAGAGATGTCCTTTTCCTGCTGTGTCCCCACATGGCAGAAGGGACTAATCCCATTCACGATGACTCTGCCCTCATGAGCCAATACTTCCCTGATGCCCCAATTCCCAACACCACTGCACCAGAGATTAAGCTCCAACATATGAATTTTGGGGGACACAAACAGGTAGGCCATAGCAAACACCATTCTCTCAACATCTGAGAAACAAGCATCAGATAATCTGAAGAACACTGGTAACTAGCAATTGACCTAATCAGCAGTTATAAAGCTCTATACTCAGGAAGTCTAGAATATATATACATATTTTTTTCTCAAGTGAAAACAGTGCATTCACCAAGATACACATTCTGGGCCATAAGTCTCAAATTTTAAAAGCATGCAAAATATGCTTGTCTGGCCAAAGTAAGATTAAATTAGAAATCAATAGCTCTAAGATACTCAGAGGAGCCTTGACTATTTGCAAATTAAACAACATACTTCTAAATAACCCATGAGTCAAAGAGGAAATCACAAGAAAAATTTTACAATATTTCAAATGAAATGATAATGAAAACACAGCATACTAAAATACGTAGGCTGAAGCTAGTGCTTAGAGGGAAACTGTAAGTGCTTATATTAGAAAAGAAGTAAAAAAAAAAAAAAAAAAAAAAAAAAAAAGACCTAAGGATCTGCTTTAAGAATCTGGAAAAATGGGCCAGGTGCAGTGTAGCTCACGCCTGTAATCCCAGCACTTTGGGAGGCCAAGGCAGGTGGATCACCTGAGATCAGGAGTTCAAGACCAGCCTGGCCAACATGGTGAAACCCTGTCTCTACTAAAAATACAAAAATTAGCTGGGCATGGTGGGCATCTCCAGCTACTTAGAAGGCTGAGGCAGGAGAATGGCTTGAACCCGGGAGGTGGAGGTTGCAGTGAGCCTAGATCATGCCACTGCACTCCAGCCTGGGCAACAGAGCAGGATGCTCTCTCAAAACAAAACAAAACAAAACAAAACAAAACAAAACAACAAAAAAAACAAAGAATCTGGAAAAATATGCCAGTTACCCATGTATTGCCTCTTAACTCTGCATACATCCTGCCAGGCCCCGCTCCGTGATACTGGACCGAGGCCTTATGAGTCTTTCTCCTTGGCCAAATACAGTCATGTCAGGCTCTATCCACAGGGGACAACACTGTGGGGAGCTGCCAGGCCTTGCTGAGGTAGCAGCTTCTCTTCCTGGTTCCAGGGTCTCTTTTTCCTCTGAAGGCACAGCTGCCAGTGGCGTGTGCCCAGTGGGGCCTGCTCTGTACTGAGTTTCTCCAGCACCCCAGCTCTAGCCCAATGGGACCTCAGCAAACTTCTCAGACACCCAGCTCCTGCCCACCCATACCCTCTAGTAGGTTTCTCGGCTACCCAGTAAGCTGATCCTGCAGATCCACTCTTTCTACACCTTCTGGCAAGAACCTTTTTGTTACCAGTAGGCTGCAGGTTTCTGTGGCAGTCACACACTCTCCAACAAGGCCTGAACGTAAGACGTGGCAAGGTGTGGAGGACGCTCCGAGTTCTTGGTTTCTTTTCCATCAACCCCAGTGGTAGTAACTGCTTCTGTGTGTTTGCATACATGCCTTAAAGTATCCATCACAGAAAATTTACCATTTTAACCATTTTCAGGTGTGCAGTTTGGTGGCATGAAGCACATTCACACTGTTGTGTAACCATCACCACCATCCATCTCATCTTCCCAAACTGCAATTCTATCCCCATTAAACACCAACTTCCCATTCATTCTCCCTTCCCCCAGCCTCTGGCAACCTCCATCCCACTTTCTGTCTCTCTGAATTTGACTACTCTAGGGACCTCATAAAAGTGAAATCATACAGTATTTGTCTTTTCATGTCTGGCTTCTGTCACTTAGCATGTCTTCAAGGCTCATCTATGCTATAGCATGTGTCAGAATCTCCTTTTTTTTTTTTTTTTTTTTTTTTTTTGAGGCAGTCTTGCTCTGTCGCCCAAGCTGGAGTGCAGTGGCATGGTCTCGGCTCACTGCAACCTCCACCTCCCTAGTTCAAGCGATTCTCCTGCCTCAGCCTCCCTAGTAGCTGGGATTACAGGCACATGCCCCCATGCCTGGCTAATTTTTGTATTTTTAGCAGAGACAGGGTTTCGCCATGCTGGCCAGGCTAGTCTCAAACTCCTGACCTCAAGTGATCTGCCCACCTCGGCCTTCCAAAGCGCTGGGATTACAGGCGTGAGCCACCACACCTGGCCTCTCCTTCCTTTTTAAGGCAGAATAATATTCCACTGTACAGATGGACCACATTTTGTCTGTTCATTCATCCGCTGGTGGACACCTGGGTTGCCTGCATCTTTTGGTTATGGGAAAAGTGCTGCTACAAACAAGAATGTAGCACACCTGTTCAAGTCCCTGCTGTCAGTTCTTTGGAGTATACATCTAGAAGTGGAATCACTGGATGTTATGGTCATTCTGAGTTTAATTTTTTGAGCAATTGTTATATCTTTTCCACAGCAGCTGCACCATTTTACATTCCCACCAGCAGTGCACGGGGCTCCAATTTCTCCATATCCTTGCCAACACTTGCTGTTATCCATGTTTTGGCTAACAGCCACCTTAAAGGGTGTGAAATCATATTTTATTGTGGCTTTGATTTTCATTTCCCTGATGATTAGTGACACTGCGCATCTCTTCCTGTGCTTCTTGGCCATTGGTATGTCTTCTGTGGAAAAATGTCTGTTCACTGGGTTGTTTTTTTTTGTTTTGTGGCTTAGTTGTAGGAGTTCTTTATATATTCTGGATACTAGTCCTTTATCGGATATACGATTTTCAAATACTTTCTTCCATTCTGTGGATTTCCTTTTCACGCCATTGGTAGTATTCCTTGATGCACAAAAGTTTTAAGTTTTGGTGAAGTCCAATTTATCATTTATTTCTTTTGTTGTATTTTCGGTGTCACATCCAAGAAAGCATTGCCAACTCCAATGTCACGAAGCTTTCCTCCTATGTTTTCTTCTAAAGTAGCTGCTTCTCATATTTGCTCTTTCTATACTCCTTAGAGTCCTCTTGCATAAGGCAAAACAAACTCTATCTCTCCACTCTCATTCACAACACTCAGTGCTTCAGCTCTGACACCAGATGTGTGGTTTCCTCCCGCCGACCCCCAAGCAATTCTCCAATACTCAGCAGTCCCCAACTGGGTGTCCTGCAATTCAGTTCAATTCTGACACCAACCAGAGTTAGTGCAGATCCCATAGGTTAAGGGTTCCATCTCACAAGACTGCCCTCAACTTCAGAGATCAGTCGCAAGTGGTAAGACACCAGGTTACCCATAACTTCTGTCTGACTTGGCTACAAATTTGAGGTCTTCACAACTCCCTTCTCAGGTTCAATAATTTGCTTGAGTGACTCACAGAACCCAGGAAATCAGTTTACTTAAAATTGCTGACTTATTACAAATGATATTTCAAAGGATACAAATGAACAGCCAACTGGAAGAGATGCATAAGAAAGGTATGAAGGAAGCGGCATGGAGCTTCCACGGGAGGGTACACTGCCCTCCCAGCACCTGCAGGTATTCAACAACCTGAAACTCTACAAACCTCATCCTTTTGGGTTTTCAGGGAGGCTTCACTACATAAGCATGACATGAAATCTTTGGCCATTGATGATCAACTCAACCTTCATCCCCTCTTGCCTCGCAGGAGGTGGATGGGAAAGGCTGCAAGTTCTAGCCTTCTAATCACAAGGCTGGGTCCCCTGGCAACCAGCCCTTATCCCCAGGCTGTCCAGGAGCCTCCAGCCACCAGTCGCCTCCTTAGCAAACAAAAAGACACCCATCACTTTGGAGATTTCAAGAGTTTTAGGAGCTACATGCCAAACAAAGTTGGGGGACAGAGACTAGATAGATAGATAGATAGATAGATAGATAGATAGATAGACAGACAGACAGACAGATACATTGATTTTTGAGACAGAGTCTCCCTCTGTCATCCAGGCTGGAGTGCAGTAGTGCAATCTCGGCTCACCACAACGTCTGCCTTCCCGGGCTCAAACTATCCTCTCACCTCAACCTCCCAAGTAGCTGGAACCGCAGGCACACACCGCCACGCCAGGATAATTTTTTGTATTTTTGGTAGACATGAGGTTTCACCATGTTGCCCAGGCTGGTCTCAAACTCCTGAGCTCAAGGGATCCGCCTGCCTCAGCCTCCCAAAGTGCTGGGATTACAAACATGAGCCACTGCACCGAGCCCAGCCCAAATACATCTTTCTTATATCACAATGTCACCCCTTTGTGATCCCTTTAATAGTTAACTACCTCTTACAGTTAAGAACACTTTATATTACAAGTTGCTATTCAAATTGCCGGTGTGGTTTTTGTTTCCTGACTGGGCCCTGACTAATGCGCTGAAGCAAGTACAAGGAAGGAAGTAATGAAGATAACAGAGAAACTCAAGGAAATGGACACCAGAAAAGGGGAGTCCAATGCTGGTTCTTTAAAAAGATCTAGATTGATAACCTCCTAGCCAGGCTGCTGATGAGAGGGAGATGGCGAACATAAAGTCACAATAAAAGGAATGAAGTGTTTTCCTTACGGATCCTACCGACATTACAGTGACAAGGAACACAGGCACACCTCATTTCATTGTGCTTCACAGATACTGCACTTTTTACAAATTGAAGGTTCGTGGCAGCCCTGCATCAAGTAAGTCTGCTGGCACCATTTTTCCAACAACATGTTAACACTGTGTCTCTGTGTAGGAGTTTGATGATTCTTGAAATAGTTCAAACTTTTTCATTATTATTATATCTGCTATGGTGATCTGTGATCTCTTTTTTCTTTTTTCTTTCTTTGTTTTTTTTTTTTTGAGACAGAGTCTTGCTCTGTCTGGAGTGCAGCGGCGCGATCTCGGCTCACTGCAAGCTCCGCCTCCCGGGTTCACGCCATTCTCCTGCCTCAGCCTCCCGAGTAGCTGGGACTACAGGCACCCACCACCACGCCCGGCTATTTTTTTCGTATCTTTAGTAGAGACGGGGTTTCATCGTGTTAGCCAGGATGGTCTCAATCCCCTGACCTCATGATCTGCCCGCCTCGGCCTCCCAAAGTGCTGGGATTACAGGCGTGAGCCACTGCGCCCGGCCCTTTTTTTTTTTTTTTGAGATGGAGTCTCGCTCTGTTGCCCAGGCTGGAGTGCAGTGGAGTGCAGTGGTGTGATCTCGGCTCACTGCAACCTCCACCTCCCAGGTTCAAGCGACTCTTCTGCCCCAGCTTCCCCAGTAGCTGGGACTACAGGCACCCGCCACCACGCCTGGCTAATTTTGGTATTTTTAGTAGAGACGAGGTTTCACCATGTTGGCCAGGCTGGTCTCAAACTCCTGACCTCAGGTGATCCACCTGCCTCGGCCTCCCAAAGTGCTGGGATTACAGGCATGGGCCACCGCGCCCAGTGATCAGTGATCTTCAATGCCATTATTGCAGTTGTTTTTGGGGCATGACGAGCCACATCCAGATAAGACAGTGAACTTATTCAATAAACGTTGTATGTTCTGACTGCTCCACTGACTGGCTGTTCCCCGCTCTCTCTCCCTCTGCTCAGGCATCCCTATTCCCTGAGACTCAACAATATTGAAATTAGGCCAATTAATAACCCTACAATGGCCTCTAAGTGTTCAAGTGAAAGGAAGAGTCACCCGTCTCTCACTTTAAATCAAAAGCTAGAAATGATTAAGCTGAGTGAGGAAGGCGTGTCGAAAGCCAAGACAGGCAAAAGTGAGATCTCTTATGCCAAATAGCTAGCCAAGTTGTGAATGCCAAGAAAAAGTTATTGAAAGAAATTAAAAGTGCGATTCCAGTGCACACATGAAGAAGAAGAAAGCAAAACAGCCTTAATGCTGATATGAAGAAAGTTTGAGTGGTCTGGATAGAAGATCAAATCAGCCACAACATTCCCTTAAACAAAAGCCTAATCCAGGGCAAAGCCCTAACTCTCTTCAATGGTATGAAGGCTAAGAGAAGTGAGGAAGCTGGAGAAGGAAAGTTTGAGGCTAGCAGAGGTCAGGTCATGAAGTTTAAGGAAAGAAGCCATCTCTATAATGTAAAAGTGCAAGGTGAAGCAGCAGGTGCTGATGGAGAAGCGGCAGCAAGTTACCCAGAAGATCTAGCTCAGAGCACTGATGAAGGTGGCTACACTAAGCAACAGAATTTCAGCATAGATGTCCCACCTTCTACTGGAAGAAGATGTCATCTAGGATTTTCATAGCTAGAGGGGAGAAGTCAATGCCTGTCTTTAAAGCTTCAAAGGACAGGCTGACTCTCATGAGAGGCTAACGCAGCTGTTGACCGTAAGTTAAAGCCAATACTCATTGACCGTTCCAAAAATCCTAGGGCCCTTAAGAATTCTGCCAAATCTATTCTGTCTATGCTTCAGAAATGGAATAACAGGCCCTACTTGACAGCACATCTGTTTACAGCATGGTTTACTGAATATTAAAAACCCATTGAGGCCTGGTGCGGCAACTCACGCCTGTAATCCCAGCACTTTTGAAGGCTGGGGCGGGGGGATCACTTGAGGTCAGGAGTTCGAGACCAGCCTGGCCAACATGGTGAAACCGCATCTCTACTAAAAATACAAAAATTATTCAGGCATGGTGTCACACGCCTGTAATTCCAGCTACTTGGGAGGCTGAGGCAGGAGAACCGCTTGAGCCCAGGAGGCGGAGGTTGCAGTGAGCCGAGATCGTGCCACTGTACTCCAGCCTGGGCAACAGAGGGAGACTCTGTCTCAATTTGAAAAAAAACAAAAAAACAAAAAAGGGCCAAGCACGGTGGCTCACAGCTGTAATCCCAGCATTTTGGGAGGCCAAGGCAGGCAAATCACCTGAGTTCAGGAGTTCAAGACCAGCCTGGCCAACATGGTGGTGAAACCTCATCTCTATTAAAAATACAAAAATTAGCCAGGCATGGTAGTGCACACCTGCAGTCCCAGCTACTCAGGAGGCTGAGGCAGGAGAATCACTTGAACCTGGGAGGCGGAGGCTGCGGTGAGCTGAGATAGCGCTGCTGCACTCCAGTCTAGGCAACAAAGCGAGACTCTGTCTCAATTAAAAAACAACAACAAAAAAAAAACAAATAGGGCCCGGTGCAGTGGCTCATGCCTGTAGTCCCAATGCTTTGAGAGGCTGAGGCAGGTGGATCACCTGAGGTCAGGAGTTCGAGACCAGCCTGGCCAACATGGTGAAACCCTGTTTCTACAAAAAATACAAAAACTAGCCAAGCATGGTGGTGTGTGCCTGTAATCCCAACTACTCAGGAGGCTGAGGCACAAGAATCACTTGAACCCGGGAGGCAGAGGTTACAATGAGCCGAGATCATGCCACCGCATTCCATTCTGGGTGACACAGCGAGACTCCATCAAAAAAAAAAAAAAATCATTGAGACCTACTGCTCAGGAAAAAAGAATCCTTTCAAAATATTATTGCTCATTGACAATGCACCTTGTGACCCAAGAGCTCTGACGGAGATGTATGTAAAGATGAATGTTGTTTTCATGCCTGCTAATGTAACACCCATTCTGCAGCCCATGGAGAAGGGATAAATTTGATTTTCAAGTCTTATTATTTAAGAAATATATTTTATAAAGCAGTATCTGCCATAGTTAGTGATTCCTCTAATGGATCTGGGCAAAGTAAATTGAAAACCTTCTGGAAAGGATTCCCCATTCTAGATGCCATTAAGAACACTTGTGATTCACAAGAAGAGGTTGAAATATCAACATTAACAGGAGTTTGGAAGAAGTTGATTCCAACCCTCATGGATGAGCGGTTTAAGACTTCAGCAGAGGAAGTCACTGCAGATGTGGTGGAAATAGCAGAGAACTAGAATTAGAAGTGGAGCCTGGAGATGGGACTGGATTGCTGCAATCCCATGATCAAACTTGAACAGATGAGGAGTTGCTTCTTATGGATGAGCAGACAAAGTGGTTCCTGGAGATGGGATCTACTCCAGGCGAAGATGCTGTGAACATTGTTGAAATGACAACAAAAGATTTAGAATATTACATCAACTTATTTGATCAATCCGTGGCCAGGGTTGAAAGAATTGACTCTAATTTTGAAGGAAGCTCTATTGTGGGTAAGATGCTATCAAACATAATGCGTGCCACAGAAAAATCTTTCATGAAAGAAAGAGTCAACCCATGTCAAAAACTTCAGTTAAGAAACTGCCGGCCAGGTGCAGTGGCTCACGCCTGTAATCCCAGCACTTTGGGAGGCCAAGGCAGGTGGATCACCTGAGGTCAGGAGTTTGAGACCAGCCTGGCCAACAAGGTGAAACCCTGTCTCTACTAAAAATACAAAAATTAGCCAGGCGTGGTGGCAGGCACCTGTAGTCCCAGCTACTCGGGAGGCTGAGGCAGGAGAATTGCTTGAACCCGGGAGGCAGAGGTTGCAGTGAGCTGAAATCGTGCCACTGCACTCCAGCCTGGGCAATAGAGCAAGACTCTGTCTCAAAAAAAAAGAAAAAGAAAAAAGAAACAAAGAAACTGCTGCCACAGCTACCTTCAACTTTCAGCAACCACCACCTGGTCAGCAGCCATCAACATTGAGGCAGACCTTCTACCAAGAAAAAGATTATGGCTTGCTGAAGGCTCAGATGATTATTAGCATTTTTTAGCAAAAAGACATAATGATCTTATACACTTTAATAGACTATAGTATAGTGTAAACATAACTTTTTTCTTTTTTTTTTGAGATGGAGTCTCGCCCTGTCACCCAGTCTGGAGTACAGTGGTGTGATCTCAGCTCACCGCAACCTCCACCTCCCAGGTTCGAGCAATTCTCCCACCTCAGCCTCCCAAGCAGCTGGGACTACAGGCATGTGCCACCACACCCAGCTAATTTTTGTATTTCTAATAGAGATGAGGTTTCACCATGTTGGCCAGGCTGTTCTCAAACTCCTAACCTCAAATGATCCGCCCACCTTGGCCTCCCAAAGGGCTAGGATTACAGGCATGAGCCACCATGCCTGGCCTAAACATAACTTTTATATGTACTGGGAAACCAAAAAGTTTGTGTGACGTGCTTTATTGCAATATTTGCTTTATTGCCGAGGTCTGGAAGCAAACCCTAGGTATGCTTGTATTACGAACAACTTTAAATGAGTAAATTCAACAACTTACCTGAAAGGGACAAATTCCTTCAAAGTACAACTTACCAAAAGTAAGACAAGGGGAAGTAAAAAAACCTGAATAACTCTTTCTATACATTAAATTGAATTTGTGATTAAAAACAAACAATCACCTTTCCTAGTAGAAAATTCTAGGTCCAGACGGTTTTCTTGGTGGATTCTATCAAACATTTAAGGAAGAAACAACATCAACCTTATGAAAACACAGAAAACAAAGAGAAGGGAACACTTCCAAACTAATTTTATGAAGCCAAAATGAGGCTGACAAAGACATTACCGAAACAAACTAACAAACAAAGAAAATACCACACCAATATCCCTCATGAATCAACACGCAAAAATCCTTAAAAACTGGGCAAATCAAATTTAGCAATATATAAAAAGGATGATATCTCATAAGCAAGTTGGACTTCTTCCAGAAATGCAAGGTTGGTTCAATATTAAAAAATCAGGCCTGCACAGTGGCTCACACCTGTAATCTCAGCACTTTGGGAGGCAGAGGTGGGAGTATTGCTTAAGCTCAAGAATTGCAGACCAGCCTGAGCAACACAATGAGACCCCATCTGTACAAAAAATTTTAAAAATTAAAAATTAGCTTGGCATGGTGGCATGTGCCTATAGTCCCTGCTACTTAGGAGGCTGAGGTGGGAGGATTGCTTAAGTCCAGGAGTTCAGGCTGCAGTGAGCTACGATGGCACCACTGTGCTACAGCCTGGGCAAGAGTGAGACTCTGTTTCTTTAAAAAAAAAAAAAAAAAAAACGGGGGGCAAAAATCAATCATTGTAATTTATCCTATTAAACGAATAAAAGACAAAACAATGATCATTTCCATAGATGCAGAAAAAGCATTTACTAAAATCATACCCATTCATGTTAAAAAATTTCAGCAAATTAAGAATAGAAGGGAATTTCCTCAATCTGACAAAGGTCATATATGACAAATCTAAAGTTAACATTATAAGTTTGGCACAGGCAAGGATGTCCACTAATCACTACTATTCAATACTGAACTGGCAGCTCTAACCAGTGCAATAAAGCAAGAAAAAAAAACAAGGCATCAAGATCAGAAAGAAGTAAAACTATGTATTTAAATCCTAAAAGACCTACAAAACCATTACCAGAGTAATAAATGACTTTGGAAAAGATCATAGGATATAAGATTTACATACAAAAATCTATTGTATTTTTACATACTAGCAGCAAATAATTAAAAATGAAATTTAAAATCTATTTCAGCTTAAAATAGTGCCAAAAGTAAAATTCTTAGGAATAAATTTAACAAATGGCATGCAAGATCTTTTTCTTGAAAACTACAAAACAATGTAATTCTGTAGAGATTTTTTTTCAGTAGAGAAATAAAAGAAATACAAAAGGACCTTTAAAACGGAGATATACCATCTATACAAAAGACTCAATATTGTTAAAATGCCAATTCTTCCTTAATTGATCTACAGATTCAACACAATCTCAACCAAAATTCACACTGCATTTTTGTAGACATCAACAAGCTACTTCTTAAATTTATAAGGAAACTCAAAGGACCTAGAATATTCAAAGTAATATTTTAGATATTTGAGAGACTTTATATTAAGACTTACTGTAAAGCCACATTAATCAAGATGTGGCATCAGCAAAGGAATGGACAAAATATCAAGAAAACACAATAGTGTCTCAACACAGGGCCTACATGTATACAGTACATATACTAATATAGGACCACATATACAGTCAACATAGGACCTACATGTATACAGTACATATACTAATATAGGACCACATATACAGTCAACATAGGACCTACATGTATATATGTACATATACTAATACAGGACCACATATACAGTCAACACGGGGCCTACATGTATATATGTACATATACTAATACAGGACCACATATATATATACAGTCAACATAGGGCCTACATGTATATATGTACATATACTAATACAGGACCACATATACAGTCAACATAGGGCCTACATGTATATATGTACATATACTAATACAGGACCACATATACAGTCAACATAGGGCCTACATGTATATATGTACATATACTAATACAGGACCACATATACAGTCAACATAGGGCCTACATGTATATATGTACATATACTAATACAGGACCACATATACAGTCAACATGGGGCCTACATGTATATATGTACATATACTAATATAGGACTACATATACAGTCAACATAGGGCCTACATGTATATATGTACATATACTAATATAGGACTACATATACAGTCAACATAGGGCCTACATGTATATATGTACATATACTAATACAAGACCACATATACAGTCAACATGGGGCCTACATGTATATATGTACATATACTAATACAGGACCACATATACAGTCAACACGGGGCCTATATGTATATATGTACATATACTAATACAGGACCACATATACAGTCAACATGGGGCCTACATGTATATATGTACATATACTAATACAGGACCACATATACAGTCAACACGGGGCCTATATGTATATATGTACATATACTAATACAGGACCACATATACAGTCAACACAGGGCCTACATGTATAAATGTACATATACTAATATAGGACCACATATACAGTCAACATAGGGCCTACATGTATATATGTACATATACTAATACAGGACCACATATACAGTCAATATAGGGCTGATATGTATATACTAATACAGGACCACATATACAGTCAACATAGGGCCAATATGTATATACGTACATATACTAATATAGGACCACACATACAGTCAACACAGGGCCTACATGTATATACGTACATATACTAATATAGGGCCACATATACAGTCAATGATTTTTAGCAAAGGTGTCAGGTAATTCAATAGAGTAAGGTATGTCTTTTCAACAAACGGTGCTAGAACTGGATATGAGTATAGAAAAACAAGAATTAACCCTGACCTCAAACCAAATACAAAAACTGATTTAAAATGGATCATACAACATCCTGACGGCTATAATAGGTTAAAAAATGTAAAAATTTAAAAAATTAAAAAATAAAAGGAATCATAGAATATACAACTATAAAATTTCTAGAAAATAAGAGAACTTCTTTTGACCTTAGTGTAGGCAAAGATTTCCTCCATAGGTCACAAAAATCATAAATCGAAACTGGAAAAAGTTGATAAATTGGACTTTATGAAAACAAAATACTCTTGCTCATTAAATAACATCATTAAGAAAACCAAAAGGAAAGGAGCAATGTGGAAAAAAAAACTTATGATACATATATCTGATAAAGGACTTATATCCAGAATATATAAAAAACATATGAAACAACATTTTTTTTTTTTTTTTTTTTTGAGACAGAGTCTTGCTCTGTCACCTAGGCTGGAGTGCAGTGGTGCAATCTCGGCTCACTGCAAGCTCCGCCTCCCAGGTTCACACCATTTTCCTGCCTCGGCCTCCCGATTATCTGGGACTACAGGCGCCCGCCACCACGCCCGGCTAATTTTTTGTATTTTTAGTAGAGATGGGGTTTCACCGTGTTAGCCAGGATGGTCTTGATCTCCTGACCTCGTGATCTGCCCGCCTCGGCCTCCCAAAGTGCTGGGATTACAGGCGTGAGCCACTGTGCCCGGCCAATTTTTTTTTTAAATGAGACCCATGGGGAAACAGTCAAATGAAGAAACAACAAAGCAGCAACAAAACAAAACCCAAGTCTTACCCCACTGTGCAGCTGCAGGACAAAGAGCAGAAGCCTGTAGCTGGGGAACAAGGTGTTCATTCTTTCAAGCATTATAAAATGAAGGCTTCAGAAATCACTCGATCTTGAAACAACATAATTTTAAAAAGAAGTAAGACGTGGACAGATAATTTTACAAAGGAAAATACGTAAATGACCAACAAGGATCTTGGAAAATTGTGCGACCTCATAAGTCACCAAGAAAATACAAAATAAAAGCTTTAAAAAAAAATGAAGTTTGGAACAACTGAATAAACACATAAAACGACAACAAAATGAACCCTGACCCTCTACCTCACACCATATGCAAAAGTTAATTCATAAAAGCTATATAACTCTAAGCCTTCTAAAGGAAAACATAAATATCTTTGCAATTTGGCAGGGTAGGCAAAGGTTTCTTACAAAGAACACAGAGAGAGAACCACAAAGAAAGGAGTTTGTTAAATTAGACTTCATAAAAATTAAAGTGACACACTTTTGCTTATTGGAAAATACCACTAAGAAAATGAACAGGCCGGGCATGGTGGCTCATGCCTGTAAAACCGGCTCTTGGGGAGGCAGAGGCAGGAGGACAGCTTGAGCCCAGGAGTTTCAGACCTGCTTGGGCAATACAGCGAGACCTTGTTCTTGAAAAAGGAAAGAAAATGAACAGGCAAGCCACAGACTGGAATAAAATATTTGTAAAACACGTATCTGACAAAAGATCAGTATCCAGAAGAAAAAGTCAAGCAACCCAATTTTAAAATGAGCAACAGATTTGAAAAGACATTTCACAAAGGAAAAATATATGAAGAGCCAATCATGAAAATGTGCTCAACCGCATTAGTCATCAGGCCAAAGCAAATTAAAGCCATAATGAGATGATACCACTACACGCCCACCAGAATGACTAAGATTTCACAGAGTGACAGCACCAAATGTTGGCCAGGATGTGGAGCAACTAGAACTCGTATCCATTGCTGGTGGGAGTGTGAAATGGAAGGGCCACTTTGGGAAAAGATCTGGCAGTTTCTTATAAAACTAAATGTATACCTACCCTATACCTACTCTAGGTGTTTCTACAGAATAAATGAACGCCCATATGCACAGAAAAACTTGTACAAGAAGAACCAGCGTAACAGGTTTACTCATAAGAGCCTCCAGATGGAAACAGCCAGGGGTCTTTCAACAAGAGAATGACTAAAAACCCACAGAATGTTCACACAGTGGACGTTACTCAGCAATAAAACAGAACAAATCGCTGGCACCTGCAGCAACATGGGTAGCTCTAAGAAACACTCAAACTGGCAAAATTATTTCGTGGTGGAAAAAAAGCACAATTGTGGTTGCCCTGGGGAAGGTGGGGACTGTGATGCACCTGGAGGGGCATGAGGAACTTACTGGGGTGATAGTGATGTTCTATGTTCTGGTCAGGCTGGGATACACGTGGATACCTTTGTTAAAATTCAAAGAACGGAACGTTTCACACCTGTGCATCTCAGGGTATATACATTTTACTTCAAAGAAAAACAAAAATAATCACAGACAAATGCCGGACTCTAGTTAATGAAATGCAAACTGAGGTGTTGACAGGATGTTGTGTGCTGATTTCTGCAGCTTATTTTAAGTGCATCAAAACCAGCGTGGATGCTGGTGGCCAGAGGGATTTGTGGTGAAGCAAACAGCAAAATGGTTGCTGTGGAATCTAGGTGGTAGGTGCATGGGTGTTTACTTTAGAATCTTTCATGGTTTCTTTTTTGTGGTTTTGTTTTGTTTTGTTTTTGAGACAGGGTTTTGTTCTGTCGCCCAGGCTGGAGTGCATTGGCACAATCCCAGCTCACTGCAGCCTCAACCTCCCAGGTTCAAGCAATCCTCTCACCTCAACCTTCCGAGTAGCTGGGACTCCAAGCCTGCACCACCATGCCTGACTAATTTTTTGTATCCTTTATAGAGATGGGATCTCACTATATTGCCCGGGCTGGTCTTGAACTCCTGGGCTCAAGTGATCCTCCTACCTCAACCTCCCAAAGTGCTGGGATTACAGTCATGAGCCACCACACTCAGCCCTCTTTCATCTTTTCTATGTTTGAAAAGTTTTACGGCAAAAAGTTGGAAAAATGTAAAAAAGATTGAAACCTATCAACCAAAAATAGGAAAAATAAAATAAAAGAGATGGCAGGAGACCACCCCCTTTCCCCCTAACTCAGCTTCCAACCCTCCCTTTCCCCGCCCAGTTAGGACAGGAACCCCAAGGGCTCGGGCCCCCCGTGCCTGTGCGGGGAAGGAGGCACCCCCGTGCCTGTGCGGGGGCTGGTCATCTGCCCTCCGGTGCATTCTCTGCACTCCACTTCCCCTCGCCCGCAGTGAGCAGTCACAGTTGGCGGAAACTACACCCAGGCAGCCTCTGCCCACAAATTCAGTGAAAATGCAAACCCCGCAGGAGCTGGACTCTCGAGAGCTTGCGGCGCCACCTGCTGGAGGAAAGGCTTTCTGCACCCGAGTTCCTCTCCCCTTCCTCGCTGCCACCCGCCTCCCTGCCCAGGCTGGGCGGGTCCCCTCTCTGCAATCTCGGGGCACTGGTGCACGGGAAATGCCCAGTGCTTCATAACCTCCCCCCACCCACACCTCAACATCCAGTCCTCAGTGGACACCGCCCCCGCTCGACAAACATATCACACAGGCACAGTCCAAGACCACCCATTCCAGGAGGAGCATAAGCCCCAGTGCCCATCACCCCAGCCTCTTCCTCTCTCCCTCTGACGCAGTGACATAGGCCCAGGACACTGAAGACCCTTGACTTTATAAACATGCTGAAGTCAATCATTCTGAAGCTGTAGTTTTTATTATTATTATTATTTTTTATTTTTTGTAAAGACAAAGCCTTGCTATGTTGCCCAGCCTGGTCTGGAACTCCTGGATTCAATTGATTCTCCTGCCTCGGCCTCCCAAAGTTCTGGGATTGCAGGTGTGAGCCACTGTACCCAGCCTGAAGCCGTAGTTCTTTAATTATTGTCAACAGCAATACCCATCCCTCTGTGAGCAGCAGGGCCTGCTGGCATGGCTGACAGCCCTGCATCACTGCATCGAATCTGCTGCCTGGGACTCCAGGTGAGCTCCGATTCCCAGCTGGAGGGACAAGCTGTGTGGGGCTGGGCAGGGTGAATTGCGGGAGACCAAGCCCAGACTGAGGGCCACAAGCCACATGAGCACTGGGGCCAGGCAGGGACAGTGAAGGAGACAGTGCAACTCTGAGGAAAGACAACGCCACAGAATGGAGAGGCCCAGGCCCGGGGTTCCCTTCTGCTGCCGGACAGGCATGCCTGTGCCTCTCCCCCAGTCCCCGTGATGGTCAAGCCATGTGCTCTCTGAGAGGCAAGCGAGGCTCCTGACAGCAGGCTTTAGGCTTTAACCAAATTGTCTGTTCTGCAGGGTGAGCTGCACAGGTGCCCCCACTCCCGACTTCTTTGAATCCCTGTTGTCTCCAAGTCCTACCCATCCTTTCCAGGTGAACAGAAACACTGCCCAGGGGAGAACGGAGGAAGAATCCAGGAAAGGCTGCCCGAGAGCCTGGCTGAGTCCACGCCATCGCCAAGAGCAGCGCCAAAACTCAGGAGCTGGTGAGATTATGGCTCAGGGCCCACATCAACATGAGGGGGTGTCAGTCCCATGATCAATGAGTCCCTGTCTCACCACCTCCTGCCATCCACACCTTGAGGGCCACAGCCAGCACGTGAATTGGAGCTGGCTCCCGGCACCTTCCTTCCTACACCAGCTCCACAATGTGAGGTGGGGGCCCGCCCCCAGAGGCACCCGGAGCAGCAGGTGCTCCAAGAGGGGGAAGTCCCCCCGAAGCCCTCTCTCACCCACGGCACAGGACGCAGAGGGGACAGAGCATCAGGAACACCCAGCGATCACAGGGGTCTGTCCCGAAGGAGAGGAGGCAGGAGGCAGGGAGAGTGGCTGGGAGGCTAGTCTTGGAGTGTCCACCCCCCATTCCGAGGGAGAGGAAGGAAGCAGAAGGTGAGCACAGGGAGCCCCAGCTGGGGATGGAGCGGGGGCTGCAGCTCGACTGTGTTGCCTGGAGCGGGGGCATGGACTGCAGCCCCCACCCACCTGCCTGGCCAGTCCGAAGCCACCCCAAGTCTGGAGACCTCACTTGTCCTGCTCACCCCTCCCAGGGATGGTGTCCAAACCCCGAAGCCTTGGCTGGTGCTGTAAATATGGGAGGGAGGTTCTGCCTCACCCCAGCTCCAAGAGCCAGCCAAGAATGTTCTGGATATCTGAACCTTGCCCCGAGTCAGAGGCTGGGAAGAAACCTGAAGGATGGTGGGACGGTGGACAGCAGTCCTCAGGCACCAGGCACCAGGGTTCCTGCTTGGGGATGGGGGCACCAGCAGGTGTTAAGTGCATCACACCAGGGCTCACCATGTCCCTGCCCAGAGACTCAGCATCCCACGAAACAGGAAGGAACGAGGGATGAGCGTGCTTCCTCCTCCAACACCCCAGCTCCTGCCTTGAGGCTGCCAGGTACCCAACCTTCCCAGGATCCAAACCACCTTGGCCTCACCCACGGCCAAGTGTACCAAACCACAGCCAGGACCACTGGGCTCAGACACCAAAAGCGCTCCTCCTAAAGCCGGCAGCCACCAGGGCAGCACAGGGCAGTGCAAGGCTGGGCAGGGCCGGCCACCTGTCAGCATCCAGTGGCCTCTGCTGGATGCTGACGGGGGCAGCCAGGCAGGTGGGTCCATCCAGCAATCAAAGAGATCCTCCCTCTCCAACTTCCTCTCTAAAGAGATCCTGATCCTCCCTCTCCAGCTGCAGGGCCTGCAGCAGCCTCCTCCCTAGCAGGCCTCCCTGCCTGCCCCTGGCCATTCTCAGCAGCCACAGGGCACTGAGGTCCCACCATAGTGAGAATAAAATCAAGCCCTCACCAGGGCCTCCAAGGCCCGGCACGACCTGGCCCTGCCTGTCGCATTGGTGTCACCATGGCCCGTCTCTGAAAACACACTCCAGCCACTCCCACCTTCCCCAGGCTCCAGCCTCGGGCCTTCACACCTGCTGTTTCCTTTGCCAGGTTGCTCTTCCCTTGGATTTTGGCCTGGCTGGGTCCTTCTGGTCATTACAGCTTCAGCTCAGTGTCACCACTCAGAAAGGGCTTCCATTAATCCCCTCGCCACACACACAGATATGCACCCCCAGCAACCTGTTCTTAGCTTCTTCACAGTCCTCATCTAAAACCACCTATGGATTTGCTCATTTGTGGACTGCCTCTCAGTTCCAACTGTTAAGTAACAAGCGACCAGCGACTGTGTCTTTGTTGCTCCTCATTACAGGCCAAGCACCTAAGAGAGGGGCTGCACATAGTAGGCCTCAATAAACATTCACCAGACGGGCCAGGCACGGTGGCTCATGCCTGTAATCCCAGCACTTTGGGAGGCCAAGCTGGGTGGATCACTTGAGGTCAGGAGATCGGGACCAGCCTGACCAACATGGTGAAACCCCATCTCTACTAAAAATACAAAAATTAACCAGGCATGGTGGCGGACGCCTGTCATCCCAGCTATTTGGGAGGCTGAGGCAGGAGAATCGCTTGAACCTGGGAGGCGGAGGTTGCAGTGAGGCGAGATGGCGCCACTGCACTCCAGCCTGGGTGACGGAGTGAGACCCCGTATCAAACAACAACAACAAAACATTTGCCAGAAGAACTAAAGCAGCCTGCCTGTGTCTAACAGGAACTTAAGAGCACAAGATGAACTCAACCAAAGGACACACACAGCAGGCATTTCACAGCTGACACCTGTTGGTGGAGGGAGATTAGGAAAGTGGGGAGAGGCAGTGCCTGGGCATGGGGACACCCTGGGCATGGGGACGCCCTGGATACAGGGACACACTGGGCACGGGGACACCCTGGGCACAGGACGCCCTGGGAACGGGGACACCCTGGGTACGGGGACACCCTGGGCATGGGGATGCTCTGGATACAGGGACACCCTGGGCACGGGGAAACCCTGGGCATGGGGATGCCCTGGATACAGGGACACACTAGGCACGGGGACACCCTGGGCATGGGGATGCCCTGGATACAGGGACACACTGGGCACGGGGAAACTCTGAGCATCGGGATGCCCTAGGCACGGGGACGCCTCCTGCCACCTGAAACCCCGCAGCCCCATCACACCCGTCTGTTCCAGCAAATCGGTCCAAAGAGCATTTTCAAGCTTTCATGGCAAAGTTTCAGAGCCAGTGCCTCTTCGCTGATTTCGAGGGTGTGTTGTTTATTCAGTGTTCAAGTCAGAGTTTCCCCATTTAGAAAAAAAAAGAGGAGGGTGGCTCCACGGATGGAGGTATGAGGGCGTCCACAGGCAGAGGGAGTCTCCGGGCTGAGATCTGCGCCACTCTCTGTCCCAATTTCAAGGCGTAGCCTGGAGCCCAAATCAGTCTCCAAACGTGGGCCGCTGGTTAAGAGGAATCTCCCCACCCACGATCCCCTCCCATACCCAGCCCCCACTGCCCAGAGCATGCCAGCCTTGCCTGCCCTGGCCTTCAGGACCCCCTCAGGGACCCTCAGGCTCCAAGTCAGGGTGGGCTTGAACCAAGGCAGCCCCAGAATCTATGCCAATGCCCTTGCCAGTGGGAGACCCTGGGGAGCACCGTGCGGGATGCATGGGGCCAGGCGGGGGCACACAGCGAGCGGCTTCAGAAGCTCTGGCCGTTCGGAGTGGGGGGGTGCCCAGAGCAAGAGACGGGCCAGGAAGCTGGAGTGAGCAAGGAGGCCTCAGCCCCTGGTGGGAGCAGGCCGGGTAAAAATAAACTAACCTGAGGGCAGCAGCCAGCGAGACCACTACAGGAGGGGTGGTGGGGCCGGAGGGGTCCCAGGAGCCCAGGAGAGGGAGGCATTGCCAGAGGTAAGGTCGGCAGATGAGAGCCAGTGCTGGTAGGATTAACTTGCTACAGCAGCTATGGTTTATTCTTTTTTTTTTCTTTTACACATGTTCCTGGGGCTCATGGAATTTACTAGTTTATTATAAAGGATATTACAAAGGATACAGGGGAAGAGATGTGTAGGGCAAGGTATGGGGGAGGGACGCAGAGCTTCCATGTGCTCCCCAGGCGCTCCACCCTCCAGGAGCCTCCACATGCTCATCCATCCAGAAGCTCCCGGAACCCCATCCTTCTGAGTGTTCACGGAGGCCTCATTACGAAGGCATGATTGATTCAATCATTGGCCGCTGATGATCTGCTTAACCTTCAGCCCCTCTCCCCTACCTGGAGGTTGCGGGGTGGTGCTGAACCTTGTGATTCTACCTGGTCTTCCCTGGGAACCATCCTGAAGCTGCCAGCTGGTCTGTCAATCATGAGCATCCAAAAAGACATCACTTTGGAGATTCCAAGGATTTTAGGAGTTGTGTGCCAGGAAATGGAGATGAAAACCAAGTGTATATTTCACAACATGACAGTCAGTCTCTTTCAACCCCAGTCTTACTTCCTGCCGTGCTGCCGGCCTCAGCCCCCCGCGCCCCAGGGCCTTTGAACACATTGCCGGTTGCCTGCAGCGATCGCCTCTGCCTGCTGGGTTTGAGCCTGGTTTACTCCCCTCATCCTTCTGCGCTCAGCCCGAAGGTGTCCCCCCGAGGCAGCCCTCCTGACCTGGTCCTACGAACCGCAGGTTCTGTCCTGCCACTGGTCCCCTTTGTCACACCTGTCACTTCCTGTGTTTCACGTTTACTGATGTGGTCTTGCACTTGTGCAGTCCCATGAGGGCAAGGACTGTGTCTGGCTTTGTCCTCCACGGGACCCCAGCGCCAAGTCCACAGGGAGCACCCAATGCTGAATGAATGAATGAGTGACCGGCAAGGGAGGTTTATTTTGTCATGTTGGGGGTCAAAGGTTGCTGGGCGGACCACATGGGTGAGGTTGGGTGGGGAGGGAAGCAGAGATGACCCCTTGGAAGAAGGGGTAGGAGGCGGGGAGGTGGGTGTGGGGTGCTGTATAAGGATGGCAAGTGCTTCCAGGGGTGACAAGCCAACCTAGAGCACCAGGCAGCAGAAAAAGGCTGACACCCTCACGCCCCACTTCCACTTAGGGAGAGGCCAGGCCTCCGGGAAAGCCAGCTCCCCGTTGCTAGGAGAGCCCCAAGGGAAGCTTCATCAGCTGCTGAGTTGGTCACAGTGGAAACCCATGTGGTGGGTGGGAGGGGTTTGAGGCACAGGGGTTTGGGTGGTGGCTTCAGGATGGAGACTTGTGTCCAGATCATGAGGGGTGGCCCCAGGGATGACCACCTCCAAACAGGAAGCAGACAAAGGCACAGATGGCAGAAGCGGAGGCAGAGAATGGGCTGCAGGGGCTTCCCCAGAGGGAGAGCCGAGCAAGGGGACAGGCTGGAAACACTCAGCCTCCATGGCCTGAAGCACAGACAGCTGGTCTCACACGCAGGCCGGGCAGCCACACCACCTAGAACAAGGGGCATGTCCGCAGGGCAGGCCTCAGGACGCCCCGGGCTGGCCCTGCCATCAGCCTAGAAAGACGGCCCAGGCTTTCCCGGTAGGGAGCACGTCCAGCCAGGTCCTGGGCAGGAGCTGAGACTCCCTGGCTGGCCTGAGAGGGGATGATCGAGTGCAGGCCCAGCCCGGGACTTCCCCACTCCTCCCCGCCACCCAGCGGAACCAGCTGGGCGTGAGAAAAGAAGAGAAGTGAATCAAGAGCCCAGAGCATGAGGCTGGACCAGCCCTTACACCACATGCAAAAATCAACTCAACTTGCATCAAAGACCTAAACTCAAGAGCTAAAACCACAAAACTCTTAGAAGAAAACACAGGGGAAAAGCTTCCTGACGTTGCATTTGGCAATGATTTCTTGGATATGGCGCCAAAAGCACAGGCAACAGAAGAACAAATAGATAAAGTGGAACGTCATAGAAGTTTAAAATATTTGCATATCAGCCTGGGTGCGGTGACTCACGCCTGTAACTCCGGCACTTTGGGAGGCCGAGACGGGTGGATTACTTGAGGTCAGGAGTTCGAGACCAACTTAGTCAACACAGTGAAACCCCGTCTCTACTAAAAATACAAAAATTAGCTGGGTGTGGTGGCGGGTGCCTGTAATCCCAACTACTCAGGAGGCTGAGGCAGGAAAATCGCTGGAACCAGGGAGGCGGAGGTTGCAGTGAGCCAAGATCATGCCACTGCACTCCAGCCTGGGCAACAGAGTCAGACTCCATCTCAAAAAAAAAAAAAAAAATTGCATATCAAAGGGCACTAACAACGTGGGGAGAAGGCAATCCATGGAATGGCAGCAAATCATAGGTCAGATATGGGATTAGTATCTGGATATTAATCTACAGATCTCCTAACACTCAGCAACAACAATCATCCAAATCAAACACAGGTAAAGGACTTGGACAGACATTTCTGCAAGAATATGTGCAAATGAGCAATAAACACGAAAAGATGCTCAACATCACTAACCACTGGGGAATTGCAAATCAAAACCACAAGGAGAGACCCCTCACAACCATGAGCTCTGGGCAGGTAGGAAGACGCCTGGTGGGGAGTTGCCGGCTCCATGCTGTCCCCAGAATTCCTGCAGGGGCTAAGCCCGACCCCGACACCTCACCAGGAGCACAGAAACGAGTGGAAAAGGCCAAAGGCCACCCCAAAGGGCCAGAGGGGTCCAGCAAGGAGTCTGGGACATGGAACCATGCTGTGCATCCAGACACACGGGGACAACAGGGGGATGAAAGGTGGCCCCTAAAATTTACATCCACCCCAGAGCCTATGAACATGGCCTATTTGGAAAAAGGGTCTTTGCAGACGTTATGAAGTTAAGGATCTTGAGATGGGACCATTTTGGGTTACCCAGTGGGCCCTAAATCCGAGAAAGACTGTCCGTATGAGAGACAGACAGGGGGAGATTTAGGGCACAGAAGGAGGCCCCGTGACAACGGAGGCAGAGGTCGAGTGGTGTGGCCACGAGCCAAGGAACGCCAAGGGTTTCGGGAGCCGCCAGAAGCTGCCAGAGGCGAGAAGCAGGCTCCCCCTCGGAGCCTCCGGAAAGAACCAGGCCTGCTGATGCCGTGATTTCGGACTTCTGGCCTCCAGAACGGCGAGAGAAGAAATGTCTGGTGTTTTGAGCCACCCAGTTTGTGGCACTTGGTGATGGCAGCCCCAGGAAACCACTACAGGGACCAGAGTTCCCACGGGGCTGGGCAGGAAGCGGGTGCAGAGCGCGTCAGGCCAGGCCTCTCACCTCGGAGATGGAAAAGCAGAGCTGGAGAGGTTGAGACCGGACAGGCACCGAGCGTCCAGGGGTAAGAACTCCCAGGGGATGGCAGAGGCCATCGGGGACAGCACAGCGAGGGACAGGAGGGAGGGGTGAGGGCTGAGGCACCGCCCTCCAGGAGGCCTCGGTTCCCCGCCCACTGATGACCCAGGAACCCCGTAAGAGGAGCTGGGCTTTACCCTGTGCCGTACTGCATCAGATGGACCCTGGTGGGGACAGACGTCCAGCGACAGCGTGGCCAAGCCCCCTCCAGGACCCCGGGCCTGCATTCATGACCATGCACAGACGGCCACTTCCCCTGCCTGCAGCCCTCCCTCGTGGCCTGTTCCTAGCCTCCCAGCCCAACAGAGCTCCCCAGTGGAAAGTTCCCTTCTTGGAGACTCTCTCCCTGCTGAAATACAAGCTCTTGGAACAAGATAAAACTGCTTAATTTGTAAAAGCCACAAAGCCGTTCCAGAACAAAAAAAAAGCTCCGACCCTTGGCTGGAAGGAGTGGCCTTCCATGCCTCAGCGGCCAGTCACCACTCCATGACTCATGCCGGCCCTGCTGACAAACCCTCCAGCACCTTCCCAGGGGAAGGCCACAGCCCCCAGGGAGGGCGGGAGAGTACCCAGGCCCCCGTTCACAAACCAGACCGGAGCCAGACACTGCCGAGGGAGGGACAAGAGGGCAGGTCTTGGGGCTCCTAAGCCTTCCCTGGGGCTGGCAGACCACCGTGGACTCACCAGGGTAGGACCACCCCCTCCCACAAACCCTTCCTGGGCAGCTGTAGGGCAGCCTGAGCTGGACACGCCTCACACGCCAGCCCAGTGGGGCATGAGGCACCCACAGCCACGTCTGGAAGTCAGCGGGCCGGCATCTGCCGGGCAGGCCTCTGTCACACAGGCACAGCGTCCTCCCCATGGCTCCTCCTCAGGCCAGAGCATGCTTGGGGATCAGAGCAGCTCTCGCAGTGGCTTGCAGCCTGACAACGCGGCGTGAGCCATGCCCTGCAGAGAAGAAGAGCCCCTCAGTGAGGGAAGAGGCGCCCACAAAACTCAGGACACGCGCAGAAACCCGCAGGAGGTGGGGGCGCTGCCTAGGGGCCGTGCCGCTCCCACCCCTCACCTTGCAGATGACGGAACTGCGGCCCAGAGCTGCCAAGTGGCTTGCTCAAGGCCACCCAGCAGGGACAGGAAGGAAGTCACTTCCCCAGGGACTGTGCGGGAGTTCAGTGACAATTAAAGACCAGCGCTAAAGTTTGCCCAGGACGAGAACCTCATTAAGGGAAACAGCTCCGGGACTGTCGTGTTCATTCGGAAGGCAGCCAGTTTACAACTGAGTTTCTAAAAATGTACGTTTTCTTACATGAAAACACATCCGAATGGGATTTTGTAGAAAGCATCTTTCATCAAGGCACAGCCCGAGGGGAGGTCCCCGCTTCATCCCTGGCTGTGCTGTCCTCAGCCAAGGGCAGCAGGGATCAGAGTGGTCTCTGGGGCACAGCACTGGCTGCTTTCAAAGAGTGTTTTGTTCAGTTCATGAAAAGCCCGTGTTTTGTGAGCCTGGGAGGGTGCCATCACTTCCAGCTCCCCAGGGAGCACCACCCCCAAACCCACGCCTCTCTGCTCAGCTCTCAGATCCCCTGCTGGTCACCCATCTGGGCCTCGGCTAGATCATCTATAAAGTGAAGGCCGAACCCGAGGCTCCCCGAGGCCCCTGCCAGCCAGGCGGGTGGAGTGACGTCCTCCTGGGGCTGGTGGCCCAGGAGGCAGGGGACCCACTGTGGTCTGCCCAGGCTGCCTGGTGGGGTGGTCACTCCGAGGACGGCTCCACTGTGCAAGCCTGACGAAGGTCCCTCTCAGCGCTCCCTGCCCTGCGGCTCCTGCTGGGCGGAGAGCAGGACGCTGGGCTCCACACCCACCCGTCCCAGCGGGCCTGAGCCCCCGAGCTCAAACAGATAAGATGCAGTTTCACTGCCACCCAAGCCTTCTGCCGTCTCCCCTGGCCCCCTCCTGAGGTCCGCCTGCTGTGCCCGACTGGGTGTGCTCAGCGGCACAACACACACCCGCTCCACCAGTCCCAACGTGACAATCAAGATGTGGCCCTGAGGCCGGGCGCCGTGGCTCACGCCTGTAATCCCAGCACTTTGGGAGGCTGAGGCGGGCGGATCACGAGATCAGGAGATCGAGACCATCCTGGTTGACACGGTGAAACCCCATCTCTACTAAAAATACAAAAAAATATGGCGGGCGCCTATAGTCCCAGCTGCTTGGGAGGCTGAGGCAGGAGAATGGCATGAACTAGGGAGGCGGAGCTTGCAGTGAGCTGAGATCGCGCCACTGCACTCCAGCCTGGGCAACAGAGCCAGACTCCGTCTCAAAGAAAAAAAAAAAAAAAGATGTGGCCCTGGGAGCAGTGGTGGAGGGGACCACACGTCCTAGAGAGGAGCCACCGAGATGGGCCTCCCTCTCTCAGGCCTCTCAGGGACCCCCCAACACACACATAGTGGCAACCAACAGACCAGGGCCCAAGGCACGTAGGGGTTGACACTCTTAGCGACCTCCCGCTCCATGGCCCGTAGGTCACTTCAGAATACCCAAAGCCTGGAGCTTGGCTCAGCCACCCCATGTCTCCCAGCGCTGGGCTCAGAGGGCGGCATGAGCGGCAGAAACTGTCATCACTGCTAATTACCGATGACGGCGCTGGCCACGTGAGATGGCAGCCACGGCACCGCATGTGAGTGAAGGGACCAAGGAGGCTGGGCCTGGGAGGGAGGGCCTGGAAAGCTGGGGTGAACTAAAGGCAGGGGAGCCCCCTTTCTCTTCATTTGCCTGTTCACGCCCTGATGGGTCTGTGCCTGCGGCAAGGGGGCTGCCAGCGTGAATGGACACACGCACACACATGCACACACACGTGCACACACACGCCAGGCTCCTCTGAGCGCCGGGAGCTTCCCCCTCTATAATCAACTGCCAGGAAGGCACAGAAATGCTATTTTAGGTAGGAGACCGAGGCAGCCTTGAAGACAGACTTTGGCTGGAAGCAAAAAACAAACCACACAGTGGACAAACCAACCACCAGCCAGGTCCAAGCGCCGCCGCCCCAGACCCGAGCCAGGGGGGCAGGTCCCCCACACCCTCCCAAGGTTTCGGCGCCAACAGCCTCAGCATTGACAGTGGCCATGACATGCAAGAATGGCACACTGGAAAATGAAAGGGAAGTAGCCAGGAGAGAGGAGAGCCGAGTTTAAATAAAAGCCAGACTCAGGAGAGCTTAGCTTCTGAGACGGAGTTCATCCCACGAGCTTGGAACCGTCAAAAAGAAAAGAAATATTTCTGTGAAAAATGAGCAAAAGCGCCCTTTGCATGCTTATTCCCCCAGGCATAAATAAAGCCCCGAGTCCAGGGCAGTGGGGGGCGGCCGATGGGGAGGGGGCTGTCTGCGTACCTGAGATCCGGTCCCTCTCCATTCCTACGGATATATTTAGCAGCGGCGGGAGTCCCGGCGTCCCGCTCAGAGGCGGCCTCCCCTTTCTCACCCCCGTCGCCCTCCCTCTCTCAGCCTCCTCCTCCTCCTCCTCCTCCTCTAAAAACACTCTTTGTCTGGTCTAATTTCTTCAATCTGTTGCAATCACGAATGCATCCGAATTACCACATTTCCATGTGCTGATCATATGTTTGTGCTCCAAACTGAAGTAGCATTGTCTCTTCAAAACGGGAGGAAAAAGGGAGCAAAGGAGAGAAATCCAAAAATAGGAGGCAGGAGAGAGGGCCCGAAGTGGGCCCCGAGGAGTCCGGCAGACCACCGGGTCTGCCTGCGAGAGTCCCAGAGTCCCGGCCGCCCGGTCTGGTCGGTGGCTGCAGAGGTCCCGAGTGCGGCTTCCGGCAGCCTCCTCTCTCCACCTCCTCCAGCCCCCGCCGCCCCGAGGCTTGCTGCTCCTTTTTAATATCCACTTGGAGATGCTTAACTTAGACTCTTGGAAACCAACTCACAGAGTCAAATTCCTGACGACTTCCAAAGTCTTTCATTTTCCCTGTCCCGCGATGCTACGATTTCCTTGGGCTTAAGGGTTTAAAAAGCCCAGTTCCTGCGTGCCTGCCTCGCCTTCCTCTGTCCTGGGCTGGCCCCAGCCCTTCTTCACCCTGTACCCCAACGTGGCTGGGCAGGAGGAACGGCCGTGCCCCAGGCCAGCGTGCTGAGAAAAGGTTCCGGAGCACCTGCCCAGGAGGAACCCTGAGAAGTCACCCCCCTCCGTCCCATTAGTCTGCAGTGACAGAGGCAGTTGCCGTCCCCGCCCAGGCAGAGAGGGCGAACGGGACGGGGACTTCCTGGAAGATTCCTACCACACACGCATGAGTCAGTGAGTCTCTAGCCGTCCCCTGGGAGGGAGCGAGTCTTCCTCTCCGGGAACTCGGGGCCCCACTGGGGGATCAGTGCTGTTCCCCACTGTTCATCCGGGGTCCTCAGAGGCTGCTTACTTACCTGGGGGGTCCCCACCAGCACATGGTCAGGGTCCATGCTGAGGCCAAGGGCTCAGCAGAGCAGGTGGGGGTTTACAATGTGGGTCCCTGGGGTGGGAATCAGGGGCATCCTCTCTGTCTTTAAGCTTCACCTCAAGGGTTCATTCAAACCCGAGACACGGAGGCTGGTTCTGTTGGCCCAAGCCTGTTTAAAGAGAATGTGTGTTTGTGCCAAGGCTGAGAACTCAGGCAATCTCTCTGAAAACTCCAGACTGTCAGCTTCTGTTGAGAAAGGGAGGACGCGTGGCCGCACCACGGAAGCCTTCCTGCCTGGCCGCACAGGGCTGGTATAAGACAGTTCTGCTCTTCAGACAAAACACTTTTCAGTCTGTGCTGCTCCCCAAGGCCCCCAACAAATTTACAATATTTGCACCCCTCTACCTCGACACACCCCGCAGGCCTCTGAGTTTACAATCCCTGCCCCACAGAGCCAGGTGAGTTACCTGTGACCAGGTGAGGCCCATGCACAGCCCTCGGCTAGATGACAGAGCCAAAGGCCCTGAAGTGCCACTTCAGGCCACAGTCCCGTCCGCTCTCTGCCTGGGATAGGACCCCAAATGCAATCTCCTTGGCAGAAAGGACATCTTCCTGGGGGGTGGGGAGGACCATTCCCAGCCTTCTGGGAGACATCAAGCAACCACCTCCTCCCAAAGAGCCTGGAGGACAGCCCCACAGGCAGCCAGACAGTGAGGGAGGTGGGGACAGCATCTCAGCCGAGGTGGGAGGCTGGGGAGGAAGGGAGGGATCATAGTCACGAGAGAAGGCTGAATAATGGCCCCAGGGATAGCATGTCCTAATCCCTAGACCTGCAAATGGGACCTTGTTTGGAACAAGAGTTTTTGCATCTGTGATTCAGTTGCAGATCTTGCTGTGGCGAGAGCACCCTGGATGGTCTAGGTGGTCCCTAAAGGCAGTCTCGGTGCTCATACAAGACGGGGGCAGAGGGAGATTTGACACAGACAGGGATGGCCAAGTGGAGATGGGGCCCGGAGAGATCTGTAGATGCTGGTGTTGAAGGTAAGGGCCATGCAGCCACAAGCCAAGGGACACCCACAGCCACCAGAGGCTCAAAGGGGCAGGCGATGAAGGCAGTGGCCCCCAACCTTTTTGGCACCTGGGATCGGTTTCAGGGAAGACAATTTTTCCACAGACCAGGGAGTGGGGAGATGGTTTTGAGATGATTCAAGTGTATTATATTTATTATTTTATTTTATTTTATTTTATTGAGACAGAGTCTCGCTCTGCCACCCAGGCTGGAGTACAGTGGCACTATCTCAGTTCACTGCAACCTCCGCCACCTGGGTTCAAGCAATTCTTCTGCCTCAGCCTCCCAAGAAGCTGGGACTACAGACGCCTGCCACCGTGTCCGGCTAATTTTTGTATTTTTAGTAGAAACGGGGTTTCACCATATTGGCCAGGCTGATCTTGAACTCCTGACCTCGTGATCCGCCAGCCTTGGCCTCCCAAAGTGCTGGGATTACAGGCATAAGCCACTGTGCCTGGCCTTTATTTTTTATTTTTTGAGACAGAGTTTCACTCTGGGATTACAGGTGTGAGCCACTGCACCCGGCCACAAGCACGTTGTATTGATTGTGCACTTTATTTCTATTATTATTATAATATATAATGAGATAATTATACAACTCACCATAATGTAGAATCAGTTGGAGCCCTGAGCTTATTTTCCTGCAACCAGACGGTCCCATCTGGTGGTGATGGGAGACGGTGACAGATCATCAGGCATCAGATTCTCATAAGAAGCACGCAACCTAGATCCCTCACATGTGCCGTTCACAATACGGTTCACTCTCCTATAAGAATCCAATGCCATGGCTGATCAGACAGGAGGCAGAGCTTGGGCAGTAATGCGAGCAATGGGGAGTGACTGTAAATACAGATGAAGCTTCGCTCGCTTGCCAGTCACTCACCTCCTGCTGTGCAGGCCAGTTCCTAATAGGACACACGGGGCTGGGAACCCCTGCCCTAGAGCCTCCAGAGGGCTATGCCCAGTGGACACCCTGATTTCAGCCTGGTGACCCTGATCTCGGATGTGTGGCCTGCAGAGCTGTGAGAGGATGGCTGGGCGTTGTTGTGACCCAGCCAGCTTGTGGCCACTCGTTACAGCAGCTGCAGGAAACTGATGCAGCGCCACAGACGGAGCCAGGGCTCAGCTCACTGGAGTTGCTTTCTGTTATTCTATTTCTTCCTAAAACATTGTGTTAAGCCAACCACTAACAACCACTGACTCCGATGGGCAGGAATCGCAGAGGTTTCTTGGTTTGTTTCTTTAATCCCTTTTCCAATTTTGAAATAATATTCCTTGTTGGTTTTTCTGATTATAAATGTAATATCTTTCTTTGTATTGAGTTTAGAAACAAGAGAAAAAGTAAAAAGCAGAAACCCCAGCTGGGCAAGGTGGCACGTGCCTGTAATCTCAGCACTTTGGGAGGCTGCGGCGGAAGGATTGCTTGAAGCCAGGAGTTCGAGGCTGCTGTGAGCTATAATTGCACTACTGCACCCTGGCTGGGTAAAAAGAGTGAGACCCTGTCTCAAATTAAAAAAAAAAAAAAAGAAGAGGAAGAAAACCCATTAACCTCACTCGAGACTCTCCATACGAACTCCTGCTGTGGGGCAGGGAAGCCCAGGAAGGCCCCACGAGGCTCTGACCCAGCCTGGCTGGCGGTGGGAACTTGGGAACAGCCCCGAGTGAGGGGCCGGGCTATGACTGAGTTCATTCACCCAGCCACCTCCTGCACGCTGTGCACACTATGGGTTTGACGGCCAGGGCTGGAGCACTTGCTGAGCACAGCCTTGACCCTCAGTTTTACCCAGCATGGTTTGGCCTGAGGTCCATCTCCCCTCCGTGCCTGAAAATCCAAACATTTTGGCCCAGGCGGGGGATCACTTGAAATGGAAAACCTGGCAGCACCGATTGGCTCTGAAGAGGCAGGAGTTAGTCATGAGCCGGCTGGGAGGCGAGTGCAGAGGTGGTGAGGTAAGGCCAGCAGAGGGTGGGGGAGGCGAGGGCCAACCTCTCACCGCGCATGGTGTAAGCACTAAGGGGGCACTTCACCAGGCCAGTGCAGACCCAGGCCCCTGCGGTGGATCCCCCGCGGTCCCTCCCTCCAGAGGAACACTGAAGAGGTTTCTGTGGTCCTGTCTTAGATTCAGAGGCACATTTGCATACTAAACGCACTGAGTAATCCTACAGTGAGGGAGCCGGGCTTGGTTTAACCCACCTTTTCCCAAATTGGACCAAAGGTTGCTGTCCCAGGAAGGCAGGGCCCTCAGGCCCACGGCTTTGGGAAACTCTGGTTGTGCCAGCCTATGAGCCCAGCTCCCAGCCACCCCAGCCTGCCCACACCCTGGAGTGGGCACTGTTACCCAAAAGCCCCTTCCAGACAGTTCTCAGGGCGGCATCCCTGTCCTTCACCCCCCATAGACCCCTGGCCACTTTTCTGCGACATCAGCATCACTGGTTCACAGCTCCTCTTAATTGCAAAGTGGGGCTCAGCGGCACAGGCTGGGCCTGGCAGGGCGGGAAGGAAGAGCGAAGGCCACTTTGTCTCCAATAGCACTGGCCGGGCTCTGGAAAGGCCGGAACCCACAGACAGGAAGGAAGTGTCACACTCACTCAACCTGCTTTGCGTCAGCCAGGGGGCATCTTGTAGAAAGAAGTTAGGTGGTCGTGGCCGGGTGCAGTGGCTCATGCCTGTAATCCCAGCACTTTGGGAGGCCGAGGCAGGTGGATCACAAGGTCAGGGGTTCCAGACCAGCCTGACCAACATGGTGAAACCCCGTCTCTACTAAAAATACAAAAATTAGCTGGGCATGGTGGCGCATGCCTGTAATCCCAGCTATTCAGAAGGCTGAGGCAGGAGAATTGCTTGAACCTGGGAGGTGGAGGTTGCAGTGAGCCTAGATCACGCCACTGCACTCCAGCCTGGGCGACAGCGCGAGATTCCATCTCAAAAAAAAAAAAAAGAAGTTAGGTGGTCATTCTTCAGTCTCTGGCTTGGCCTAGGAACTGCTTCTTTTTCAAGATGCTATCAAATGCCTCCTCCATTAGGAAGCCTTCCCTGGTTGCCCCCTCCACTCCTGTCCTTGCCCCAGAACACGGCCCGGCCCTCACGGACAATCCTGACATCAGAGCCTAATAGAGATTTTCCTCTTCATGGAAATTCATACTCCAAACTGAATATGTGTGCAGGATAAGCCCCTGTTCCCATGTGAAACAAAAGTGAAAGGTGCGGATCACCTGCCTTTCCCCACCCCTTCTCACAACAATCTGGGCTCCACAGGGGCCCAGTAGGAGCCAGGTCCAGTTCAGCCGCCCCAGGTGCACCATCCTGGGCACCAGCGCCTCTGTCCCCTTCCACGAAGCACAGCTTCATCCCCTGGTACCCAGTGGGGAGGGGACACATACCAGGCATTCCCCAGGGTGGACTGTGCTCCCCACACCAGGCCAGGAGGCCCTGGGGCTGGTCCAGCCATCCAGAAAAGGGAGCAGGCGGTCCAGGTGACACTGATGTGGGCAGCAGGGGCCTTCGGGAAAGGGTCTTCGTAGGATCGGCCCCACCTTGCTCCAGGAGTACACACTGGGGAAGGGTGCTGCGCGGAGGTGGAGAGAACGCATCTTTGGCTGAAAGCATGCTTTCTGATGCTCTGGGCTCGGATTTGCTGCCATCTTCCATGTCCCCTCACCTAACACACGTTCCAGTAAATCCTCCATGCTGATGAGCGCCAAGCTATAGAGGACGCACAACCTCTCGCTTTAAAAAGTGACTTTTCCTGCTGGGTGTGGTGGCTCACACCTGTAATTCCAACACTTTGGGAGGCCAAAGTGGGAGGATCACTTGAGGCCAAGAGTTCAAGACCAGCCTGGGCAACATAGAGAAATCCCATCTCTACAAAAAAAAAAAAAAAAAAAAAAAGTCCAGGCACAGTGGCTCATGCCTGTAATCCCAGCTACTTGGGAGGCTGAGGCAGGAGAATCACTTGAACCTGGGAGGCAGAGATTGCAGTGAGCCAAGATCATGCCACTGCACTCCAGCCTGGGCAACAGAGCAAGACTCCACCTCAAAAAAAAAAAAAATTTTTTTTTTTGAAACAGGGCCTTACTCCCTTTGCCCAGGCTGGAGGACAGTGACGTGATCACAACTCACTGCAGCCTCAGCTTCCCGGGTAGCTGGAACTACAGGGCTGTACCACCACGCCCAGCTAACTTTTTGTATTTTTAGTCAAGACGGGGTCTCGTCATGTTGCCCAGGCTGGTCTGGAGCACCTGAGCTCAAGTGATCCTCCCACCTCGGCTCCAAAAGTACTGGGATTACAGGCATGGGTCACCATGCCTAGCCTGAAAACATTTCTTTTAAGAATTAGCCAGTCATGGTGGCGCACAACTGTAGTCCCAGCTACTTAGGAGGCTAAGGCAGGAGGATCCCTTGAGCCTGGCAGGTTGAGGCTGCAGTGAGCTATAATTGTGCCACTGCACTCCAGCCTGGGGGACAGAGAAAGACCCTGCCTAGAAAGAAAAAAGAAAAAAAAAAGACTTTTCCATTCATTTCCTGCTCATCCTCAGACTCAACCACTGAAGTTTGCTTCCCTGAATTAAAAATGAAGGAGCTCCGTCCTGGACTCCCTCCTGCTGACCCTGCTACTGTACCTGCCAGCAGAGCCAGCCAAGACCCTCCAGGCTGGCCCCAGCCTGGCCCGCCTACAGCCTCCCAAGCAAGACGGATTCCCAGGCTGAGGCCAGCTGCATTCCTCTCTGGAATCTTTCTCCACTTTTTATTGTGCCTCAGACTTTGGCTGTTCCTAAATAAATACAATCCAGCTATCTCTGCCCTTGGGGCCGCTGCAGGGTTTACTGGTGCAAACCGCCTGGGCAGGCCTGTTGCTTTAGGAGTCCTTCCAGGTCAGCGTGGAAGGAAACCAAGACAACGGGGAGAAGCAGCCCGGTTGGGCCCAATTCCACTCTCACATGCTCGTGCTCAGCCAACCATCTGGGCTGTAGCCTGACAGGAGCTGGAGCTGGCGCTCCATTCCTAGAGGGGGCCCCCGACTGCCCCTGCAGAGCGAGGGAGGTCTGGGGGTGCAGAGGCCAAGGGCCCTTGCAGAGTTTGCCCCAGGTCCCCTGAGTTTAAGCTTCTCTGCAGCCAACGGAAGACTCCCCCGAGAGCGGGTGTCTTTCATCCTGCTTGCTCAGTAGGTGCCCAGTAACCGTTCACTGGATAAACAATGAATTTGTGGATCCAACGTGAAGATGATCTAAACCAGCGCCCCCCCATAGAACTCTCCGCAATGATGTCAATGTTCTGTATCTGCCGTAGTCAATATGGCAGCCACATGTGGCAGTGAACGCTTGCAATGTGGAAGGGCTACCAAGGCAAAGAGTTTCGCATTTATGTTATAATTTAAACTTAAATAGTCACAAATGCCTAGCGTGTGCCCCGTTATACAGACCCTTTTTGTCACCTTCTTCTCCTCCCTAGAGACATTGCATTCGCCATCAATTTCTTACCCGGGAGGCAAACGGAGAAATGCTACTCTTTAGCCAACGCAAAAGAAGGCCAATATTTGCATTTTAAGCTAGTTTTTTGGGCAATTCTCCCAAGCATCTCCTATCAAGGTCAGTCCAGCAATATTTCCTGACTGCCTGCCACGCACCAGGAAAGCATCCCGCCGTGGCTCTGGTCCGAGGCTATGGAGGACACAGAAATAACCAAGGCCAAGCTGATAGAAGGGGTGTGACAAGATGGCCCAAAGTCACTGAGTCAGCTAGGAGGTCCAGGAGCATGGAAGCCCTGCTTTCCAGAGGACAAGTGGCAACCCATCCAGGGGGGGCCCGAGCACTCAGAGCCAGGAGCGCAGAAGCAGGGGGCTCCAGGCTGGAAAGCGGTATCAGGGCCAGGCTGGGCGGCAGCACGAATCCACCCTCGAGGCTTTGGGGGCGGAAACTAAGGGCTCTATGAGTAAGAAGACCCGGCCCAGGTCTAATGGAAATGATCGGGTGGAGGGATCCTATCACCCGGTCCCCAGCACACAGGGAGGGAAGTGGTAATCGTCCTCTAAATGTTGGCCGTGGAGGGGAAGGAGCCACAGCAGGGCAGGGGTGGGGAGGATGGCACCTGCTGGTCCAAGGAGGGATGATGGAGGCCCAACCAAGACATGACCGTGACCGGGGCAGCCTGTCCAAGGGTCAGTATGCAGAGGGCGAGTTGATGAGATCTTGGCAGCCTGTTGAGACCTGGGGGTGCTGGGGAGGCAGAGGTCAAGGTCAACTCTGAGATTTCCTGCTTGCAAACCTGGGTGGGTGGCAAGGCTGATATCAGAGAAATAGAGGAAGAGTGGGTAGCTATGGGTGAGAGAGGAAGTAATGAACTAGGGGTGCCTGCAAGAGCCCAGGGGCAAGGTCCTCGGGCAGCCAAGATGCTGGTGGTCTCTTCCACGACCAGCTCCCTCCACGTGGCACACTTTTGTCTGCATGGCTGGGCATGGGGCACCTGTTCGTCCGACACACTTTGAGCAGCTACTCTGTGCATTGAGGCAACGTGGCACGGTGCCCTGGGGAAATAGCGAGGAGGCACTGCACAGGCCCCACCCTTCTGGCATTTTCTGTCTCCTGGGGATGGTGGCAGTTAAATAAGTGACAGCCAATTGTCAGGAGAGTTTGGCTCTGATTCACCAGGTGGAGCCAGGCACTCCTGCCGGAAGAGGCATGGGAACTAGCATAGGATGAAGGGAGGCAGCGAGCACCAGCCCAGGCCTTGCCCCCACAGGGCCCTTTTTTCACACCTACTTGTGCAGGCGTCCCCTGTGAGGGCAGAGACACCTGCAGTGCTTGAGGGAGACTTCCTGCGGGCGGGGTCGTCCATCCACAGCGGCCAGGTGGGAGGTGCATCAGTGTCCTGTGGCTGCCATAATGGACCACAGCTGTGGGGCTTGAAAAAATGGAAGCGGGTTCTCTCCCATGCTGGAGGCCAGAGGTCCAAAATCAAGGTGTCAGCAAGGCCACACTCCCTAGGGAGGCTCTGGGGTGGGGTGGGGGGGGGGTCCTTCCTTGCCTCTTCCCAGACGCTCCCTGGCCTGGGGCTGCGTCACTCCATCATCTGCTCCTGCCTTCACGTGGCTCTCCCCGGTGTGTCTGTGGCCTCTCTGCTTCTTTTAAGGACACCAGTTGTTGGATTTAGGGCCCACCCTAATCCAGAATGACCTCATCTCAAGATCCTTAACTACTTACATCTGCAAAGACCCCATCTCCAACTCCCAGGTCACATTCTGAGGTTTTTGGTGGACATGAGTTTGTGGGGGACACGGTTCAACCTAGGACAGAAGGGATGATGGGGGCACTGGGGAAAAGGCCACACACCCCAGAGGTATTGGAAGATGGAAGAGCAGGACCTAGCGACACGGGATGTCAGGCAGAGGAGTTGGCTCCAAGGATCCCAGCCGGGGTCTGAGGGCCAGAGGGAGGGAAGCTCAGGCACCACTGAGATGAAATGCTCCGTGCACCGTGGGAAACAGGGCAAAAGTCCGCTGGACGCTCAGTCAGAGAGGCGGCTGCCTGAGGCACAGAAAATGAGCGAACATGGGAGAGCCTACCAGAAGGCCACTCGGGAGGGCGTGGTGGTAACATCTAGAAGGGCTGAGAAGCGCATCTCCACAGCCCAGCCAAATCCACCTGGGGAAACACACGTTCCCGGCAGCACTAGTAACAGAGAAGACCTTCGGCGATGTCACCAGTGGGCCACGGGACGGGCAAACTCTGCCTCCCCACACAGAGGAACACTCGCTAGCTGCCAAAATAAGTGAACCAAGGCTTCGTGGATCTACACGGATAAGTCTCCACGCCGTCACGTTGTGGGCACAGGCAGGGCAGCCACTGACTCCAGTGAGGCACCAAGGATGTGATGCTGATGACGGCATTCAAGAGGAGACAGACCTAGGCTGCTCAGTCACACGATGCTGATGACCGTATGCAAGAGGAGACCAGGCCGGATGCGGTGGCTCACACCTATAATCCCAGCACTTTGGGAGGCCAAGGCAGGTGGATCACCTGAGGTCAGGGGTATGAGACCAGCCTGACCAACATGGTGAAACCCTGTGTCTACTAAAAATACAAAAAAAATTAGCCAGACATGGTGGCGGGTGCCTGTAATCCTGGCTACTGAGGAGGCTGAGGCAGAAGAATCGCTTGAACCCAGGAGGCAGAGGTTGCAGTGAGCCGAGATGGTGCCACTGCACTCCAGCCTGGGCGATAGAGCGAGACTCTATCTCAAAAAAAAAAAAAAGGAGACCTAGGCTTCTCAGACACACCACTGCCCAGCACAGATGTGCCTGCCCGGGGCCAGATCCCAATCCAGAGGGGCGGGCACCGCAGCAGGAGTGGGGCTAGGATGGAGAAGGTCACCCAGGGCTGCGGCTACACCTGCAATGTCTCACTTCTTAAGCGGGATGGTGAGTACACAGGTGTTTTATTACCTTATTCTTTACATTTTTGTTTTGTAGCTCTAAGAATTCCATTTTTTTTTTAAAAGGAAAGAAAGTGTGTGAGCTGACCAAAGCGTTGATCATGGTGTCATTTAAGCTTTTGCCAGAAATGTCATCCCTGGCCCAGTCCCAAACACAACCTCGAGAAGAGCCTTCGTCCTTCTGGGGAGGGCAAGAGTCCCAGACATAGGAGATTGGCCAGATGTGGATCTACAGAGAAGCTGGGCTGGGAGGATGGGATGGCAGACAGTCGTCTGGGGAGTGTCAAATGGGGAGGCCGGAGATGCTGGGGCGTCTAGGAATGAACTCCTGCCTGGACCAGGGTCTTAGCAAAAGGGAGGCAGGGAGAAAGAAAGAAGCCAAGAAGATGAGGAAAGGGTGTCTCGGGCCAGAGCCCACAGAGGCCCACAGAGGGAGGACCCCGTGTGTCAGCAGGCAGTCCCACGCAAACCCAGATCACCAGCTTGCAGCTTTGGGATTCAGCAAATTATGCCTTAGGCTTCCAAGCTGAGCTGTGATCGTGGCTGCCAAGTGCTGACAGCACAGAACCAGCCAGTCTGAGCAGAGGGAAGCAACCGCCGGGGGAGGCTGTGTCCATGCAGCCCAGGGTGCCAGGTTCCCAAGATGCAACCCCCACAAGAACTGGGGGACCCTCCCCACCCATTCCACCAGAAGCTGGCCAATGAGAGGGAAGGAGATGGAGAGGCAGATCAGATGCGGAGCCGGAGAAAAGCTCCCCAGAAACACAGCAGCGGCTGGGCTGTCCAGTGGTTAGTGCCCAACATGACTGCGATGGGCGGAGCCCCTCTTAACCACAGCGCTGAATCATGCAGCTGCCCAGGGGCCTCCAGCCAGAGCATCACCCCCCTCTTCCCACATACAGTCCCATCCTGTACTGCAAGGGGCCTCACATGCACTCAATGTGGACACGGCATCCCCTCCACTCCCACTCCCTGTAAAAAGCCACCCTCTCCACTGTCCAGGCCTGGTGGTGCACAGTCCACGGGCACTGCATCCACCTCTGGAAGGCAGACTTAGGAGGCGTCTGTGCTGTCCCCACAGAAGCAAGCTCAGGATCAGAAGCAGGCTTTGGGTCTAGAATTCTGAGGTCTCAGGTGCCAGTGTGGTCTGGAACTGTTCAGTTTCATAGCCACTAGCCACACGTAGATATAAGTGGAAATCCATTTAAAATAAATAAATAATTCTATGCAAGTAAATGAGTGAATAAAGTAAACGTAAACATTTATACTTTGAGTGTGCAATAGACCCAGGCGGCTAAGCGGCTACCATACAGGATGGCGGAGTGCAGATGTATAGAACAGACCCACCATCACAGAAGGTTCTATTAGACGGAGCTGGTCTAGAGCATGGAGGTGGCGGCTCCAGATGGGCACATGCCCTTGCCCCCGTAGGCGCCTTGTCCTGGCAGGACGGCTGTCTCACCTTGTTCTGAAGGCAGCCCTGGTCCACAGGCGCTCTATTTGTGTGGATTTGACTCCGGGTCCGTGTCCTTTGGTAACTTTGTCTCCTCTAGAATGGCTAATTCATGAAGGCACAGTCCCTGCCTGTCTGCCACCATGATGGCAGCCAGGGGTCTGGCACCCAGTTGGCCCCCAGCACATATGCACAGGTGACCACGCCATCTCTGCTCTTCTCAGAGCTCCTCGTCTCCTAGGGGAGGTAAGTCCATTCATTGCTGTGACCCATCATCCTCTCCAAATAGAAAAGCCACTAGATGGGCACCTGTCCCAGCCTGGCCGCTGGAAGTGACAGCCAAGAACAACGTAGGCTCCCAGAAACAGAGGCACTAGCATGGCCACACTGGGGTCAGGCAGGGGAGATCAGGGACACCCAGTGGGGAGAAGATGACGCGCAGACTCAGCCCTGGGGGGCAAGGGCTGGAGGCAGAGCCCTGACCTCTCTGTCCCACTCCCTTGCCCAGGCTGCACCCAGTGTTGGTAGAGTCCCTTCAAGCCTATAAGCTGTAACTCGTGTCCTGGACGGCCAGCCCCAGAGCTCTGATGGGTGCATCTGTTTCCCTTCCCTACTGGTTAGTGTGGAAAATTTCCAAACACATGGAAAAAGCACAAGGAGTAGCACAGTGACCACTGCCAGAGGCCCACTTATTTCCTCCTAGATAACACCGGACGTATCTGCTCTATCCTGGAGCATCTTCCATCCTGCAAGGTTGCAGGGAGCCCACAGATACTGAACCAACACCGAGAGGCTCACGGCCAAAGCCACCTGTCCATGGCACATCTGTCCCCTCAGCATCTCAAACCAAATCATCCAGCCCTATCTATCTCCTGTTCTCTCCTCTGTCCCGCACACACGGGCTTGCTCCCTGAGCCTGGGGGTGGCTGCCCCTGCCCCCACAAGGATCATCTCCAGCAGGGCAGCGTCGACAGGCCTGGAAGCCACCTGAGTCCAAAGCCGTCAAAGACTGCGTCTCCCTGGGAAATGGGCAAGTGGCCCCACTCATCCAGGGAAGCCAGGTGGGGAGGCAGGTCCCAGACCAGAATGAAGGGACCCCAGCACAAACACACCCATGAGCTGGGTGGGGCCAGAGCGGAGCGAGCCACCTACCTGGGCCACTGGAGTCACCAAGCCTCCGGAGCCGGCCACTGGAGGTCCGCGTGCCTCCTAAAGACAGAGACAAAGGGCAAAGGTCACACAAGGCCACTGGCGCTCTCCCTCCGGGTGGATGATTAACACCAGGAATGTCCTCGCCTTTGCTCCTGCTGTGAGTTCCAGAGCCAGAAACGGGGCCCATCTGGGGACAGAGGCCCTACTCCCCCAGGTAACCCTGGACGCTGGAGGGATGACAGCCACTGCTGTCTGGCTGCTGGAGGGGCCCTGGGCCAAACCTTCACACACATCCTCCCCCAAGCCCTACTACCCCTGTTTTGCAGATAAGGAATCTGAGTCTCCACAGAGTGTCACTTCCCTGTGGCCACACAGTGAATGAGAGTTGCACACAGGTGAGCCCACGTCCATCAGACTCCAAGCTGGGCTGCACCCAAGCGTGTCTCTGCTGGACGGAGTCTCCTCCTTCCTCCATGTCCACCCGTCTTATGAATCAGGGTTTCCCTACACCAGGGTCTACAACTCACGGGCAGTCCTGACCCAGCCCCCTTCACTCCCAGGGCTGGGTGCAGCCGGGCTGGATTTGGGGATGGAGTGGGACAGGCTATTTTTACCTTTTGCCCCAGGAGGGAACAAAAACAGAACCTCAGATTAATGCAGCCTCCCGCGGCATGCGCTCCCTCTGCCCACACACAGGCCTTGGCCTGGGGCTGCTTGTTGGAGAGGCTCATGGCAGGCAAGTCCTAACTCGAGGAGATTTGCTGAGGTGCTAAGCCAAGCAAACCCGAAAGGCTGCCAGGAGGAGCGGCCCTGGGAGCACAGGCGGCCACCCTATTGCTGTAGAGCACGGCACTCTGGGGATGTCCCCTGGGCAATGCCATACAGCCACCCTTCAGAGAGCTTCAGGGACACATAACCAGCCCAGTCCCACCAACAGTGAGATAAGGGATCAGGCAGACCCAGACACCTCCCTGTATCTGATCACCATGCTGGCTGCTGGTCAAAGATGCCAGTTCCTCCCTGGAACCCTCCAGAAAGGCTCTTGCAGCATCCATCCATCCATCCACCCACTCATTTACTCCATTCACCCATCCATCCATCCATTCACCCATGGACCCCATCCACCCCACCACCCCTCCACACATCCATCCACCCATCCACCCAACCCACCTATTCAGCCCTTCACCCACCCACCCACCCACCAATCCATTCACCTGTCCACCTAATCCACCCATCCATCAACCCATCCACCCATCATCCATCCATCCATCCACCCACCCACCCACCCCCCCACCCACCCACTCATCCTTCCTTCCATCCATTCCACAACCCCACTCCTAAACTGTGACCAGATGGAAATGGGTGCAGCCAGCTTGTTTCTAAAGGCTCAGAGCGGAGGCAGAGTGAACTGCCCATCTGGCCTTCGTGTCCAGCAGCCCAGGCCTGTACACATGTTCCATAACTACAGGACACCAGACTCAGCAACTGGCAGCAGAATGAGCACAGTGTATCCTTCGCGGAACTAGTATTGACAGGGTACCCATCTCTACTAAGCCTGAGCTTCTCTGGTGCTGGAGGGAACCCCCAGATGGGCCCCAATTTTAGTTGAACCCATCCTCCAGGGAAAGCAACACCGTGAGAAATGCGTGTGACACAAGGCTCCAAAGAGGGTGTGGGTCGTGACTCCTGGAGTAACCAGGGAGGCTTCATGGAGGAGATGAGGACAAAGCTGAGCCTTGAAGGAGGGACCGGAGGACGCTGAGCAGGGACACCCACTTCTGCTTGCGAGGGTCTGACGGCAGGCTGTGAGCTGTACCTTAGCTCCGATTCACCCAACCCACAACCCCAGCAGGCAGGTGCTCCCGCCCCATTTCATAGAGGAGGAAGCGAGGCCCAGGGCTGGGCAAACTGCCCAAGGTCGCACAGCTGCGGAATTCACCTCCAGCACCCCCAGCCTGCCCCAGCCATGTCCGTGACCTCACCCAGCATCCTCCTCTTGGTGCCCACTCACTCTGCTCACTGCTAAGCAACAAAAACCCCACCAGGAAAACCCAGGGGTTCCTGGCCAGTCCCTCCAGACAGAAAGGCAGACCTCGGCGCAGATCTCCAGGAAGCAAGGATGGAAGGGCCAGCATCTGCCTCCCAGAAATGACAGCCTCCTTAAGACCAGGAGAGATGGCCCAGAGTGCAGCTCCGGTGGGCTGCCCAGGACCAGGAGGGGAGAGGAGCGGGGAGGAGGATGAACCCCACTCCCAAGGCTGCTGAGTGGCATACAGTGAGCCTGGACCCTCCAGCCCCAGCTGAGCTCACTTCCACGATGGCCATGAGCACCCCCTTCACACACCCGACTGGAAGCCGCACTGCATATAACGCACACGGGGTCACTATCCCCTGTTCCACACATCCCCACGCACACACCATCAGTGCACTACTGGGACATTCTGCTGTCCGGGGCTGAGAGTGAACCAGAACTCTGCCCATAAATCTAGCACACCCCACTGTGGAAACAATGGGGGGTAAGGAGGGGCCGCCCAGCAAAGAACAGGACACACGTTCCTGAGGATGGAGTCACTTCTGGCTGAGACATCTCTGCAGGGGATGCCGGCGACAAAGGCTGCCCTATCCTCCTCCCTGGGCCAGATGGACACCACCCCTGCCTTCTGCCCCCTAGCACCAGGCAAAAGGAAAATAGAAGAGGTTCCATCCAGGTTAAATACCCCAGGGCCTCTTATCCGTAGGAAACATGCTGGCCCACTCTCTCCAAACCCAGCATGGGGGTGGAGAAACGGTGGGGAAAACAGCATCTGTCTCAGATTTCTTGGGTGGAGTTTTTGTTTTATTTACACTGTTTATTTTTCTGATTTCCTAAAATGGGCATCTGGTGCCTGGCAGCCCTTGGCACAGAGAAGACGCAAAGCAAACCGTTCATAAGAAGGGGGCGAGCGCAGCCTGAGCATCCCCTGCTCTTGAACAAATTGCCAGGCTCAGCGCAGCCGCTGCCGCCACTGCTGTTCCCAGGAAGGGACCTCTGGCCACGAGCGGCTCCAGTTCAGCTCCTTGGACCTAATTATTCAGGCCTGTGTCTGAGTCCAGCAAAGAGGTAGCTAGAAAAGTCTCCAAGACATCTAACGATTCCGTGGCTCCAGTTGAGAAGTGAGTTATCTTTATGTGATTTTAAAATAAAACATACTCAGAAGGAGAGAAGACAATTGAAATCTAGCTGTCTGGAGTCATCCCAGATGAAAGTATTTGAGTTTTTGGGAGGCAAAGGAGGCAGGAAAGCCTGGAGTCAGATGATCAGAATTTGAACGCAGACCTCGCCAGGCCCTTGCTGTGGGCCCTGGGAGATGACTTCCATTTCCTGAGTCTCAGCTTCCTTGGGGACAGAGATGGTGCTTACTCATAGGTTGTTCCGAGTCAATGAGGTCACATGGCGCAAGTACTAGCACAGTGCCTGGCACAAAATTAAAACTCAATAAGTGATATTATTATTATTATTATTATTATTACTACTTTTGAGATGGAGTCTTGCTCTGTCACCCAGGTTGGACTGCAGTGGCACGATCTCAGTTCACCGCAACCTCCGCCTCCCAAGTAGCTGAGATTACAGGCACCTGCCATCACGCTCCGGCTAATTTTTGTATATTCGGTAGAGACAGGGTTTCACCACGTTGGCCAGGCTGGTCTCGAACTGACCTCAGGTGATCTGCCTGCCTCAGCCTCCCAAAGTGTTCGGATTACAGGCGTTAGTCACCGTTATCTGGCTGTGATATTATTATAATATCAATATTATAATAGTTGGCCAGGCATGGTGACTCACGCCTGTAATCCCAGCAATTTGGGAGGCTGACGTGGGCCAGTCACCCGAGGTCAGTTCGAGACCAGCCTGACCAACATAGGGAAACCCCATCTCTACTAAAAATACAAAAATTAGCCGGGCGTGGTGGCATTCGCCTGTAATCCCAGCTACTCGGGAGGCCAAGGCAGGAGAATCGCTTGAACCCAGGAGACGGAGGTTGCAGTGAGCCGAGATCACACCATTGCACTCCAGCCTGGGCGACAGAGCAAGACTCTGTTTCAAAAAATAATAACAATAAATAAATAAAACACACTTTGACGAGATATGGCAAAAGACAGCAGAAGGCAGGAGTCCGGGGACCCACCATGGGCCGGCGTTCCAAGCAGAAAGAAATGCAGTGCTCACAAGCCAGAGAGCAGATGCCGAAGACAGGAGACGAGCGGGGCTCCCTGGTCCTGGAGAGGAAAGGGTGAGCCTAGGCAGAAAGAGCAAACTTAGGGCGCCCTGTGCAGTGTCTTCCTTGTGGAACCAGCTCAGGGCACCAGCAGCACAGCCCCTTTCCAGTAGTGGAGACCAGGTCAACTGCCCAGTGCCCTCCCTGCTCTTTTGCCCCAATTCCACCAAGTACAGCCCCTCTTTGGGCACAGCAGCTTTGCAGGGGTGGACACTGACCCATGTATCTAGGAGCCCAGAGGCTTCTCTCCCTTTATTTATTTATTTAGAGATGGAGTCTTTTTCTGTCGCCCAGGCTGGAGTGCAGTGGCACCAACTTGGCTCACTGCAACCTCTACCTCCCAGGTTCAAGTGATTCTCCTGCCTCAACCTCCTGCGTAGCTGGGATTACAAGCATGCACTACCACGCCCGGCTAATTTTTGTATTTTTAGTAGAGATGGGGTTTCACCATGTTGGCCAGGCTGGTCTCGAACTCCTGACCTTGTGATCCTCCCACCTTGGCCTCCCAAAGTGCTGGGATTACAGACGTGAGCCACCACGCCCGGCCAGGGGCTTCTCTTAATGGACTTTCCCCAATGCATATAATTTGGGGAACCTAGATATAAGAAAGACATAGAGCATGAAGGTCTTTTATTGGTTTGTTTATTTTCAGAGGTGGGGTCTCAGGTGGCCCAGGCTGGTCTCAAACTCCTGGTCTCAAGCAATCCTCCTGCCTTGGCCTCACGCTGGGATTACAGGCACAAGCCACCACGCCCAGCTATTTTTTCTTTTACCTGGGTTGTTATGCTAGAATCTGGCAAGTCACAAGATGGAAATGTTTAAACAGGCACTCAGAATCTGAGCAGACACTATTTGATGTATCATTGTTGTTACTTTAATGATTGAAATGCACCCACCACACCCGCCTTCTCAAAGGTCATTTCAGATCCTTACAGACCCCACCTGTGATGTAAGACAGCCACTCCAAACCCCTCTGTGGGCTCGAATAGACCAGACTTCTGAACCCCTGGGCAGAGCAGGGATGGGGCTGTCTCAGAGGAGGGTGACACCGCCACACCCCTGCTCTGCCTTTGTGCTGACAATGAATGAGGCCTGGACAGTCTCTCCTCTATCAAAAGTCACATTTTCTCAAAAAGGAGCTTTTTAGGATGAGGCGTTATGACAATTCAATTGTGCATAAACATCCATTTTCAATAATGACAGAAGTCATCTACAGAAAAGAATCTATTCCTGGCCGGGCACGGTGGCTCAGGCCTGTAATCCCAGCACTTTGAGAGGCCAAGGCAGGCAAATCATCTGAGGTCCGGAGTTCGAGATCAGCCTGACCAACATGGTGAAACCCCGTCTCTAATGAAAATACAAAATCAGCCTGCATGTTTGTAATCCCAGCTACTCAGGAAGCTGAGGCAGAAGAAGCACTTGAGCCCGAGAGGCGGAGGTTGCAGTGAGCCGAGATCGTGCCATTGCACTCCAGCCTGGGTGACAGAGCGAAACTCTTTCTCAAAACACACACACACACACACACACACACACACACACACACACACACAAATCTATTCCCATTTTTTTTCTTGAAACTCCTGAGAGAGGCCAGGTGCAGTGGCTCACACCTGTAACCTCAGCAGTTTGGGAGGCTGAGGTGGGAGGATGGCTTGAGGCTAGGAGTTGGAGATCAGCCTGGGCAACACAGCAAGACCCCATCTCTATTAAAAAATAATAAAAGTTTAAAAAGCTCTTGAGATAGCCCCTGGGGAAAGGTGGGTCATGGAGACCCTCATCCTGGTCATCCGTGCCTCCCCCGTTTGTTTCCCTGTGGCTCCTTCCCACTTTGAGCCTGGGGTGGGGGCGGTTTGAGCCTAGGATGGGGGTGGTTTGAGCCTGGGGTGGGAGCGGTTTGAGCCTGGGATAGGGCGGTTTGAGCTGGGGTGGGGGCGCTTTAAGCCTGGGTTGCGGGCACTTTGAGCCTGGGGTGGGGATGCTTTGAGCCTGGGGTGGGGGTGCTTTGAGCCTGGGTTGAGGGTGGTTTGAGCCTGTGTTGGGGGTGGTTTGAGCTGGGATGGGGGCGGTTTGAGCTGGGATGGGGGCGGTTTGAGCCTGGGGTGGGGGCGCTTTGAGCCTGGGATGGGGGCACTTTGAGCCTGGGATGGGGGCGCTTTGAGCTGGGATGGGGGCGCTTTGAGCCTGGGATGGGGGCGGTTTGAGCTGGGATGGGGGCGGTTTGAGCCTGGGGTGGGGGCGGTTTGAGCCTGGGGTGGGGGCGTCCAGGATGCACAGGCTTCACTCCCTTTTTCTGAGGCTCAGTTTGCTCACAGGAGCTGTGAAGGGCTGGATCAAAGTCAAAGGTTTAAATTCCAGACTTATCTCCAGACTTAGTGGACAACTAAAATACTCAAGCTTATCTCCAAAGGAAGCTGAGATAAGGAGATAATGGCCACCTCCCTCTTCTCCTCCCCTCTGTCCTTGGCCTCTGCTACCTGGAGTTGTGTCCTGAAGAGGTACACTGGGCACCAGGCCCTCCTGGCCTTGCCCCCACCCCCTGCCTAGACACAGAACAACCTTTCCCCACCCTCAAGGCTGACACGTGGGGCTGTGGATCAAAGTCAATTTATTCATCCATGAGGGGAGCAACCTCCTTGCCTTAGGAACTTGCTCCTACAGGAGAATAAACACTGTAGAAGGCATTGTTCTCAGTGGTGGTGCACGCCTGTAATCTCAGCTACTCAGGAGGCTGAGGCAGAAGAATTGCTAGAACCCAGGAGGTGGAGGCTGCAGTGAGCCAACATCATGCCACTGCACTCCAACCTGGGTGAAAAGACCAAGACTCTGTCTCAAAACAAAAAAAGAACAGCACCCTGTGTCAAGGTCAGGGGTCTCAGCCATCCTCCCTGTGAAGCGGAAGGGGCACCACCAGCTCCTGTGAGAAGGAAACAGTCTACCCAACTACAAAATGCCAACCAAAGGAGGCAGCACACTGGTTCTGGTGCGGTGCCGTTGGCCTCTGTTTGGGGTAGGAGGAGGGCTGGGGGAGAGCCAAAAGCCAAAGAAGGCCCATGGAGGCCGCCCCTCTCTTGGTGACCAGCCCCTCTCTTGACGGCAAGCTGCCAACAGTATCTGGCTCCCAGGCTGGGGAAGGTGAGATCAGCTCATACCTGCCCAGGGCCTTGCTCTGCCTGCATGGGCAGCAGGCGTCCACCTTGCCAGATGGCCCTGCTCATCACAGGGCATCAGTGCCAGCCAAGGACCCACAGAGCCTCCCTGCAAAGGCTTACCAGTGGGCATTGGGACTCTGGGTCTCACCTATATAGGGTTCTCATATAAAATACAGGATGCTCAGTTAAACCTGGATTTCAGATAAACAATCAACAATTTTTTGAAGAGATAAGGATCTTGCTGCTTCACCCAAGCTGGAGCTCAGTGGCATGATCATGGCTCACTGTAACCTTGAACTCCTGGACTCAAGCAATTCTCCAACTGTAGCCTCCCAAAGCACTGGGATTGTAGGCATGAGCTACTAAGGCCAGCAAACAATGAATCATTTTTAGGCATAAGTATATCCCAAGTCTGTTGTGGGATATGCTTATACTAAAAATTAATCCTTGTTTATCTGAAATTCAAACTGAATTCATTGTCGGGGGAGATAATGGAGTGATGGATTGACAGAGGAGCACAGAGACAGCTTTTTTAAATTCTTAGCTGACCAAAGCCTGGCCTTTAGCTCCCTTGGGCCTCCAGAGATGCACTAAGGGTGGAAGCGACCAGGAGGGAGATAAAAACACTGAAGTCTGAGTGTTAGCACTGAGCCGTGTGGCCTTGGACAGGACTGCCCTTCTCCTGAGCCTCAGCTTCACATGCCACAACTGGCCAATAATAGCTACAAAGTATCCGAAGCCAATGGCTGGGAGCCTGCTCCAGGAGGTAGGTATCATCAGGATGCAGAGAGAGTGAGGAGCTTTTAAAGCCAGCCTAGGCCAGGCACAGCAGCTCATGCCTGTAATCCCAGCACTTTGAGAGGCTGAGGCGAGAGAATCACTTGAGCCCAGAAGTTCAAGGCTGCAGTGAGTTGCAATTGCACCGCTGCACTCCAGGCTGAATGACAGAGCCTTTGTTTCCAAAATAAAATAAAATAAAACAAAACAAAATAATAAAGTCAGCCTGTGTATTGGATTGCATGTTGTTCCAAAGCACCCAAAGTGAGAGAGGCCAGGAAGCAATGAGATGCAGAAAGGCAGGGGGAGGAGGTTCAGAGGCATCAGAGAAGACAGCTGACCCCCATCTCCACATACCCTTGGGGCATCCTGAGCCCCATTCACACACCCAGGTGAGAATCCCTGCACTTGTGAAAGCAACCTGAGGCCGAGAGAACCAACAGGAAACCGTCCCATCTCCCATGTAGGGTTTTCCCATAAACAAGGCTGAGCCGCAGTTCATCACTGCAGCTGAGCTCCCTGCAGCAGCTGCGGTGGGGAAGGCTCCCCAGGAGGTCTGAGTAACCCAGAAACATCCACAGCACACTCCCCAGTCCCCTTAGAGGTTTCTGCTGAGATGAAAGTGTCCTGGCCCGTGGCTAAAGAGTCCAGTACACTGGGCAGCTATAGCTCTCACTACATTGACCTGGTTATCAGGCTCTTATGAACTTAGTGAGGGGAGATGGGTTCCCCAGGGAAGCTTGCTGACTCCCTCACATTGCTGTAAATGCAAAGCCTGGTGACTCCATTATTCCTAGTAATTGTGATGTAGTAATAACAAGAACAGCCATGCTCACCGCCTACTGAAGGCATATGATGAGCCAGACACTGTGCTGGCATATGTGACTTTTGGAGGTAACACATTCTCCTTTAAGGAGGAAATGACTGAGCTTTGGAGGGAGGGTCCTCCATCTGGCCCCAGGCTCCTCTTTGACCTGCGTCTCCCTCCTCCTCCTCGCCTGCTCTACTGCAGCCCCTCTGGCCTCCTTGCTGTTCCTGGAATGCACCAAGCTTGCTTCCAGCCTAGTCCTTGCACTGCTGGCTCCTTCCTGTCTTCCCAATCTCAACTCAGCTGTCATCATCTCTGTGACCCCTCACCACTCATTCCAAAGCAGCCATCAGTCACTTTCTATGCAATCACCTTATCTTAATTCTCACCACAGCTCTTAGTCCTATTTTGATAGTTTCTAGAACTGATGAATTCATTGATTCTGTTTCCTTCTACTGCATGTAAACTCCAAGAAACAAGAGTCCTTGTTTGCTCACTGCTGTGCCCCAGTGCTTGTCACAGCACCTGGCATGCAGCAGGTGCTCAATGAATACATTTTTAAAAGAATGAACGACTGGAAGGAGCCTGAAAGAACGATGGCTTGTGCCAACAGTTCATCTTCAACTTCTTTAGACGGGATGGAGACCATCACCATGCAACCACGATTCTTCTGAGCCTGTGTGGTGGCTGACGGCAGGTGTCAGTTTGGCTGGATTAAGGGATGGCTGGTAACGCATCGCTTCTGGGTGTGTCTGTGAGGGTGTTTCTGGAGGAGATGGGCATGTGAGTTGGTGGGCTGAGTGGTAAAGATCCTCCCTCAATATGGATGACACCATTCCATTGCCAGACAACAAAAAGGCAGAGAAAAGGTGAATTCCCTCTTTCTCCTGGAGGTGGGATGCCTTCCTCTCCTGCCCTTGGACTTAGAACTCCCAGTTCTCCAGCAGTTCCCCAGGCTCTCAAACCTTTGGCCTTAAACTAAGAGTTACATCAACAGCTTCCCAGTCCTGAGGCCTGCAGACTTGGACTGAGCCACGATACTGGCTTTCCTGGGCCTCCAGCTTGCGGACGGCCTTCTGTGGTACATCTTGGCCTCCACAATGGTATGAGCCAATTCCCCTAATAAATTCCTTCCTATCTATCTATCATCTATCTTTCTAACTGTCTATCTGCCTATCTACCCACCCATCCACCATCTATCTTCTATCTATCCATCTATCATCTACCTAATCAATGTATCTATGTCTGCCTGTCCATCGGTCATTTATATCTATTTATCAATTATCTATCTACCTATCATCCATCTGTCATCTATCTAGCTATCTATCCATTCATCTATCTATCTTTTTTTTCTTTTTGAGATGGAGTCTCACTTTGTCGCCTAGGCTGGAGTGCAGTGGCGTGATCTCAGCTCACTGCAACCTCCACCTCCCAGGTTCAAGTGATTCTCGTGCCTCAGCCTCCCGAGTGGCTGGGATTACAGACATGCACCACCACGCCCAGCTAATTTTTCTATTTTTAGTAGAGATGGGGTTTCACCCTGTTAGCCAGGCTGGTCTCAAACTCCTGGCCTCAAGTGATCCACCGGCCTCAGCCTACCAATGTGCTGGTTATTACAGGTAAGAGTCACTGAACCCAACCTATCATCTGTCTGTCTGTCTGTCTGCCTGTCTGTGTCTATCTGCCTGCCTGGCTATCTATCATCTATCTATCCATTTGTCTGCCTGTCTGTTTGCCTGTTTGTGTCTGTCTGTCTCTATCTCTCTGTCTGCTTGTCTATCTAGCCATTTGTCTGCCTGTCTGTCTGTGTCTGCCTGTCTCTCTCTCTCTCTGTCCGCTTGTCTGTCTATCTAGCCATCCATCCATCCATCCATCTCCTATTGGCTGTCTCCCTGGAGAGCCCTGGCTGATGCAGACGGTGCCTTGGTAAGCTCAGGCTGCCATCCAGATTACTGTGGAGGGAGTGACTTAAACAACAGACATGTATTTCTCAGTTTGAGAGGCCCAAAGTCCCGGATCAAGGTGCCGTCAGGGTTAGTTCCCGGCGAGGCCCCTCTTCCTGGCTTGTACCCACCTCCCTGCTGTGTCCTCCGTCATTTTTCCTCTGTTTACAAGTGAGGGGGGAGGAGAGATCTCTGGTGTCTCTCCCTCTTCTTATAAGGACATCAATCCTATTAGATTAGGGTCCTGCCCTATGACTTCATTTAACCTTAATTACCTCCCTAAAAGCCCTATCTTCAATTACAGCTGCATTGGGAGTTAGGGCTTCAACGCAGGAATTCAAGGGGAAGGGCACAGTTTGGTCCACAACAAATGGGAAACCATGTTCATGACCAAACTCCCCAGAAGATATGGTCCATCAGCGTCGCCAATGATTGCAAGCAAAGGCCAGAGAGGAAAGGGGCCTCCGTGGGGTGGGGGGCGGTGGGGGCAGCTGGTGCCGGGAACAAGGTTCCTCTTCCTGTCTAACAGCAGGGAAGTGAGGCCGGCTGCAGATGCCATTTGGGGTGGGAAGAGAGGGGAGCTCCTGTTTGCACATCCTGTGTGGGTCCTGGCCTGATCCCCCTCCGTGCCTCCCACTTCTTGTGCCCTCCTTTGTGTGGGAGAAACGCCGACCTCTGCTGGCTCAGGTGTCCAGGTCCCCAGGCCTGCTGGCTTTGGGCTGGGTTCAACCAACGAGAGGCTTGGGAGGAACCTGGGAGGTGGAAGCAAGGGAGGGCGCGGGAGCTCTCCACCTCCTCTGCCTCAGACAGCTTCTCCAGCAGGAGAGGTGGTCCTCTGTGTAGTTCCAGCTCCTGCCAGAGTCCCACCTTTGTTTGGGCTCCCAGCAGGTGACTCTGGCCCCTGGACTCTGGTCACAGGACTTCCTCCCTCTCATCCCCACCTAGGGGTGGTGGTGGCACCCTGCTGCCAATCTCCAGGTCACCCCCACAATGCTAAGAACCCTCCCTCTACCTGCATGGTTCCCTCTCAAGGCACTGAGAAGGGCCCTAACCACATGTCCACAGGGTCAAACATTTTTTGTAAAATTTACAAAATGGAAAATATTTTCCCTACAATCAATTAACGTCCCCGTTCATTTCCAGTCTTGAGTTCCTGCCCGTCACATTTTCTCTTGTGTGAGGTGGAAACGGAGGCTTGCTGCCACGTGGGGGCTCCTGCTAAGGAGAAGTTGAACTGGAAAGATATTTAGTTTGGCTTTGGTCGGGTTATATTTATGTAGTTCCCATTTATTTCCATGTATAGTTCAGTTACTGCTCGCTATCCCGGTGTGGAAACGGATTCCAGCAATACTCGCTCCACTCACCGTTCCAATTCCACCTACCGCGCAGAATCAAAAATCACAAGACACGAACATATCCTGCGGTGCCTGGCGCCGGAAAAACGTGCGCAGTGGAGAGAAGCAAGATTTGAAATGCACGGGTCCAGAAGCAAATCTGTGGAAAATTACTCCCATCACCAGAGGTGAAGTTGTAAGCAAAGGATTCAGTTCCTTCAATGTGGAGTCAAAACAGAAAAGTCTCTCTGGTCAGAAATACATGCACAAATGCCTCATATGCAGTTAGAAATCTCCCCCATTTTCCTACTTCTTTCTTGATGGGAATCACATTTAAAAAAAAAGAAAAAAACAGGATTTACCAGAATTCCTGTGTATCTTGAACAAAACAATTGTAGCAGCACCACCAACTCCATGTTGACCGCCACTTTTGTATACATCCCAACTACCAAAAATAAAAACAAAATTTGATCAACTAAGGAGATTCATTCGCTTTATTTATTTATTTATTTTTGAGATGGAGTCTCACTCTGTTGCCCAGGCTGGAGTGCAATGGCACGATCTTGGCCCACTGCAACCTCTGCCTCCTGGGTTCAAGCCATTCTCCTGCCTCAGCCTCCCAAGTAGCTGGGATTACAGGCGTGCGTCATCACACCTGGCTAATTTTTTATGTTTTTGGTAGAGATGGGGTTTCACCATGTTGACCAGGCTGGTTTCAAACTCCTGACCTCAAGTGATCCGCCCATCTCAACCTCCCACAGTGCTGGAATTACAGGCGTGAGCCACCACGCCCAGCCTATGTTTTTTTTTGTTGTTTTTTTTTTTTTTTTGAGACATGGTCTCACTCTCTCACCCAGGCTGGAGTGCAGTGGCATGATCACGGCTCACTGCAGCCTCGACCTCCTGGGCTCAAGCAATCCTCCCACCTCAGCCTCCTAAGTAACTGGGACTACAGGTGTATGCCACCATGCCCTGCTAGTTTTTGTATTTTTAGTAGAGACGGGGTTTCGCCACGCTGCCCGGACCGGTCTTGAACTCCTGGCCTCAAGTGATCCACCTGCCTTGGCCTCCCAAAGTGCTGGGATTACAGGCACGAGCCACTGTGTCCAGCCTGATCAGTTTTCTGTTCTCGAAATAGAAAACGATATTACAAAGTCATCATATTGAAGAAGTAATGCCAAAAATGTGGGAGAAATAGAACTTTGGAGATATGACTGACAGTTGACTGGTACTCTTCTGCATGTAGTGATGTTTGTGATATTTAACAGCTGCTTATAATTTATAATTTGCTGTTATTTATTTTCTCATTCTAAATGAATCATTGCATCCATACCTTTAGAGGGCTGTATAAGCCCACACCACTTTGATTTCCTGCTGATTGCCTCTCTGTTCCCTGTCTGGCCTTCACCTCTCCCATCATCTGTGTAACTAGTTCCCCGCCTTTAAGTCCTTCTGTTCTAAATGCTCAAGTGGACCAGGCACTGTGGCTCCCGCCTGTAATCCCAGCACTTTGGGAGGCCCAGGCAGGAGGATCACATAAACCCAGGAGTACAAGACCAACCTGGGCAACATAGTAAGACCTTGTCTTTACACACACACAAAAAATACAAAAATTAGCAAGGCGTGATGGCACATGCCTGTAGCTCCAGTACTTTGGGAGGCTGAGGCAGGAGGATTGCTTGAGGTTGGGAGTTCAGGACCAGCCTGGGCAACAAAGCAAGACCCTGTCTCTACAAAAATAAAAGAAAAAATTAGGCAGGCATATAGTGTGCACCTATAGTCCGAGCTACTTGGGAGGCTGAGAAGGGAGGATCGCTTGAGCTCAGGAGTTCAAGGCTGCCATGAGCTGTGATCACACCACTGCACTTCAGCTTGCGTGACAGAGTGAGACCTTGTCTTGGGAAAAATAAATAAATAAATAAATAAATAAATAAATAAATAAATGCTCAAGCGGTTTCCATTTCCTGGTTAGACCCCATTACATACCCTATGAACAAACCGCATGCATGAGAAAGGTGAGCAGATGAACAGGGCAGGGCCAGGGGGCCAAGGGGAAGATCACAGATCACGTGGAGCGAGACCAGTGGTCAAAAACTGCCAACTACAGCCAGGCCTGGTGGCTTATGAAGGTAATCTCAACGGCCGGGCCTGGTGGCTCATGCCCGTAATCTCAGCACTTTGGGAGGCCGACGCGAGCCTATCACCTGAGGTCAAGAGTTCGAGACCAGCCCGGCCAATGTAGGGAAACCCCGTCTCTACTAAAAATACCAAAATTGGCCAGGCATGGTGGCGGGCGCCTGTAGTCCCAGCTACTTGGGAGGCTGAAGCAGGAGAATTGGTTGAACCCGGGAGGCGGAGGTTGCAGTGAGCTGGGATCTCACCACTGCACTCCAGCCTGGGCGACAGAGCGAGACTCCATCTCAAAAAATTTAAAAAAAAAAAAACAAAAAACTGCAGACTCCAACAAGGAAGAGCCACAGGACGATACCCCAGGATGCGGGAAAAGGCTACGCCAGCCTTGGATCCCTTCTGATTAATGGGCACCCCAGTCACCAAAGGGGTAGATGCGTTTCACTCAACCTTTATCCAGCCATCAGAGTATAACACAGGGATGTGCCATAGACAGAGATGGAGACCAACAGGTAGAGGGGTGATGGGGAGGAAGACTGAGGCAAGAGGAACAAAACGGGGACTGCAGAGGGTAGGTGGCAGGAGCCTGAGGGTTCCAGAAGAAACTGTTGCACAAGTAATGAGTCAGCAGGGTGAGTGACGGCCAGGAGAGGTGGCCCAAGAAAACAAAGAGACATCTCCGGGGGTACAGATGCGTCTTGAGGGGCCGAGGAAGAGATGGGGAAGGGGTGGCTCTGTGGACCCTCGGCATGACTGCCGTGGTGAAAAGGAATCAAAGACCTCGACAAGGGGATGACTTTTCAAACAAGGAAGCCCTGGGCCTTCGCAGGGGGACCAGCAGACTGAGGGCAAACGGCATTCTGTTCATTAAAGTCTTAATAAAATGTCAAGGTAAGAACACTTGTCTGGTTTTGGGGGCAATCCCAGAAATACCAGAAAAGGGACTCATCATGCGCAATCTTTTCTTAATTACCTGGAGAAATGTATGGTTACCTAAGACAGAGAAAGGCAGCCAAAGCAAGTGGAGGCCAGGCACAGTGACTCACGCCTGTACTCCCAGCGCTTTGGGAGGCTGAGGCAGGAGGATCGCTTGAGGCTGGAAATTCAGTACCAGCCTAGGCAACAACAAAACAAGACCCTGTCGCTACAAAAACAAAAACAAAAATTTTTTGAGACGGAGTTTCACTCTCTTTGCCCAGGCTGGAGTGCCGTGGCACGATCTCAGCTCACTGCAACCCCCGCCTCCTAGATTCAAGCAATTCTCCTGCCTCAGCCTCCTGAGTAGCTGGGATTACAGGCATGTGCCACCATGCCCAGCTAATTTTGTAGTTTTAGTAGAGACAGGGTTTCTCCATGTTGGTCAGGCTGGTCTCGAACTCCCGACCTCCTTGGCCTCCCAAAGTGCTAGGATTACAGGCATGAGCCACCGCGCCCGGCTGCTACAAAAATTTTTTAAAAATTAGCCAGGCATGCCAGGCGCGGTGGCTCCCACCTGTAATCCCAGCACTTTGGGAGGCCAAGGCAGGTGGATCACGAGGTCAGGAGTTTGAGACCAGCCTGACCAACATGGTGAAACCCCGTCCCTACTAAAAATACAAAAATTAGCCAGGTGTGGCGGCACATGCCTGTAATCGCAGCTATTCAGGAGGCTGAGGCAGGAGAATTGCTTTAATCCAGGAGCCGGGGGTTGCAGTGAGCCGAGATTGCACCACGGCACTCCAGCCTGGGCAACAGAGTAAGACTCTGTCTCAAAAAAAAAAAAAAAAAAAAAATTAGCCAGGCATGCAGCGCACACCTGTAGTCCCAGCTACTCAGGAGGCTGAGAAGGGAGGACCAATTGAAACTGGGAGGTCGAGACTGGGAGGTCATGATCACGCCACTGCACTCCAACCTGGGCAACACAGCAAGACCCTGTTTAATAATAATAATAATAAATAATGCAAGTGGGTATAAGAATTTATTTATTTATTTATTTATTTATTTATTTATGAGACAGGGTCTCACTCTGTCGCCCAGGCTGGAGTGCACTGGCGCAATCTCGGCTCACTGCAAGCTCCGCCTTCCGGGTTCATGCCATTCTCCTGCCTCAGCCTCCCGAGTAGCTGGGACTACAGGCGCCCGCCACTGCACCCAGCTAATTTTTTGTATTTTTAGTAGAGACGGGGTTTCACCATGGTCTCGATCTTCTGACCTTGTGATCTGCCCGCCTCGGCCTCTCAAAGTGCTGGGATTACAGGTGTGAGCCACCGCTCCCGGCCCTAAGAATTTATTTTATCCCAGCACTTTGGAGGCTGAGGCGAGTGGATCACGAGGTCAGAAGATTGAGACCATCCTGGCTAACATGGTGAAACCCCGCCTCTACTAAAAAAATACAAAAAATTAGCCGGGCGTGGGGGCGGGTGCCTGTAGTCCCAGCTATGCGGGATGCTGAGGCAGGAGAATGGTGTGAACCCGGGAGGCGGAGCTTGCAGTGAGCGGAGATCGCGCCACTGCACTCCAGCCTGGGCAACAGAGCGAGACTCCATCTCAAAAAAAAAAAAAAAAGAATTTATTTTAAGACAGCAAGCTCTAGGGTTGAAGCCAGTCTCCACCTAGCCCCAGGCCCAAAGCTATAAGCATGGCTACTGTAACATCTTTACTCAGGACACCACCCTTCAGGGGCCCAGACCCACACCATCAAGGAGGAGCGTCCACACCAGCAGCTGGGGAGAGGGTGGTTCCCTACAAGATGCAATGTCCACTCTGAAGAGCCATTATAGTGATAATCATGAAATCCATGCCTGAGATCTAATTTCAAGTGAAAAGAACAGAATTCAACATTCATTCTATGGGGAGTATAAAACTCTGAAAATATACGCCTTTCATAATTAAATCAAACCCTATGTCATGTTCCTGAGGAGACAAGCACTGAATGGAACACAGAAGAAATGCTACAGCCAATGATTGTTGAAGTTTTCCTTTCAATTTCCTGTTCATGTTGTTTGGCAATAAGTAATACAGAAAACTGACAACAAAAAGCAAAAGAGAAAGAAAAGATACAGTGTACAGTTTAGATTGCTTTCCTTAAAAAATTAAATAATAATAATAAAAAGCATAGGCCGGGTGCGGTGGCTCACGCCTGTAATCCCAGCACTTTGGGAGGCCAAGGCGGGCGGATCACCTGAGGTCGGGAGTTCGAGACCAGCCTGACCAACATGGGGACACCCCGTCTGTACTAAAAATACAAAATTAGCCGGGCATGGTGACGCAGGCCTGTAATCCCAGCTACTTGGGAGGCTGAGGCAAGAGAATCGCTTGAACCCGGGAGGTGGAGGTTGCAGTGAGCTGAGATCGCGCCTTTGCACTCCAGCCTGGGCAACAAGAGCGAAACTCCATCTCAAAAAAAAAAAAAAAAAAGCATAAATGCAAGCTGGGCGCGGTAGCTCATGCCTGTAATCCCAGCACTTTGGGAGGCCGGGGCAGGTGGATCACCTGAGGTCAGGAGTTTGAAACCAACCCGGCCAACATGGCGAAACCCCATCTCTACTAAAAATACAAAAATTAGCCAGGCATGGTGGCGCGTGCCTGTAATCCCAGCTATTCAGGAGGCTGAGGCAGGAGAATTGCTTGAACCCAGGAGGCAGAGGTTGCAGTGAGCCAAGATTGAGCCACCACACTCCAGCCTGGGTGACAGAGTGAGACTCCGTCTCAAAAACCAAACCAAACCAAACCAAACAAAACAAAAAAAAGAAGCGGCATAATACAAAGTCCCGGCAGTTAAAGCGTTAACCCCCAGCTACCAGGAAGGCTCTGCTATCCAATGACTCATCGCCCCAGCCAAGGTCAGCCACACCTTGGGTCTCTGATGCTGGAGGCAACATGATGCCAACACTGGCGAGAAATCCACCACCTCCTCCTCCCCGCCCCTCGGTGCCGGCCTCTGTGTGCACTTGCAGCTCTTCCACTACCGGTGCCTCCATGGTGTCTACGCCACCGGCTCACCTCCCAGCAATAACCCGACAGCCCGACACCTCTGTAGACCCTGTGGCTACAGAGCTAAAGTTCCCTGTTATTAGTGGGTTTTGCAGACAACCCTCCAAATCCCTCTGGGTTGAGTTAGTCAAGTCCTTAACAAGCTGGAAGATGACAGGGGTTGGATGTAACCCACTTCCAACTGGCTTGGGTTACATGGACATTATTCCTCTTCTGGGATCTGATTTGGGATGGAAACAGGAGCCATAGTTCATGGGAAGGCTGTGAAAGGAAGCCCCGGCCCCAGGGTGCGGATCAGGTTGATCTGCGGAACAAGGCCCCAGGGGCGGCCCACCCGCCTGCTCTGCCCAGCCCTTCCTGGTAACCACACTCACCCGGGGCCCATCTCAAACCTGGCAGGCAATGCTGCTGCTCCCATCTCAGCCGCTGCCCCAACACGCCTCGCCTGGCCAGGACAGGTGCCCAGGCATGGCATTCAGGGACATCCTCGGCTTCCGGGGCCCAACCCCTGGTTCCCAGGTGCAGCGCTGGGAAAAGCAGAGGGCCCCGGCCATGGCGCAGGCCTCGTCACAGGTCATTTAAGCAGCCTGGGAGGAGCCGGAAAGAGAGCAATGCACCCACCTGGACAGAGACTGAAGCCACATCCCCATTGAGAAAAGATGACACTCCTGCCTGGACCCCTTCTCTGAAACCCCAGGCCGGGGTGGGGTAGGAGTCAGCGAGAGAGTCCAGCGCTCCAAAGGGGACTTTCTGGCCCTCCGTGCCCCCTAACCCAGCACTTCTGGGGACCCACACACTCAGGGCAGAGTGGCCATCCAGGGTTCCTCTCACCCAGACACAAAGGCCACTGAAGGCCCCGGGCCAACACCGCTCTGAGGATGACCAGCGACTTGAGTTCCTGCCAGAGACAGCAGGCAGCCTGGGTCTAAGGGCCGCCCAGTGACTTGAAGCTGGGATCATCTTACATTCCCTGCGCCACTCCTGTTTCCTGTCCTGGAGGTTTTCAGGCTGCCAACAGTCATGCTTTGGAGAACCAGGTCAGATTAGGCTGGGAACAAAGCTCAGCTGTCACAGAGCTGCCGAGAGGCCATTGGCAAGCAGTGCCCAGGAGCCGCCCCTCCTCTGCCAGCAACAGCTCAATGTCTCCCTTCACAGGGGCTGCAAATGGGCCCATGCCCAGGGTGGGGTCAGGGAGATAAAGCAGAGAGAAACTGGGCTGGGAGCAGAGAGTGCCATGCTCTACCCTGGAGACCCAAGGCCAGGCCACCCTGCAGAGCTGGTGCCCAGAGCCTCCAGCGTACAGGAGAGGAGGCAAACAGAACCTGACACTCAGCAGCGCCCGGCAGACGCTTCTGGAATGAATGACCAAATCCACATGGAGAGTTGAAATGGGCTAGGAACCTCAGGGAGACGGGCAGCTCACAGCTCAGCAGGGCCGCTCCAGTAGAGCAGGCCAATGCCAGGCCTCCTGGCAAATTTCCCGGGGCCCAGGCACAACTGTCACATCAGGAAAGGGGCAGGGGTGACCAGCCCATCGGCCACGGGGGCACTTCACTGCTCCCACAGAAGCTCGGCACCCACAGGCCTGGGTGACACACGATCCCCATGCCTGGCATCACGATGGCTGCCCACCAAGTCCCTCCACCCACCAGGACTGACTCCCTTTGGTCAGCGATTCCAGATCACCATGACCTGGCAGTTGCCGTCAGGCCTGCCTGGCTAAGGACTCTCCCGGAGACTGAGCCACTTCACACAGCAAAGTGAGCCATGGGGCCACAGCGCTGTGTGCTGTGTACAAGCCCCGAGGGCTTCACCCAGGGATTGGCACCCACTGATCCCCATAAATCCCTGGCAACCGCCTAGAGCTGGGATGTTTCCAAGGTAATAGCTCCAACAAACAGAGGCGCAGGAACCCAGCGCGTCACTTCCCGCCTCACCCCAAAGGTTCACACCCCTAGGGGCCTGGAGCCTCTCTCTGGAGCCCCTCCTACCCTAAAGCCAGCTGGATCTGCCCAGGAACTGCCATCATCACCCCCTGGCCGGGCCTGCACTGATGTGTACTGAACTCCCCTTATCAGGTCCATCTTAGGCAAACTTCAGAGCCCACGCAACACTGCCTGTGGACAAACACTGGGGCGGAAACAGGGGCCACCTCTAGGTCCCAGTCACATGGGGCTGTCAGGGCTGCCTGGGATGGCAGGAGAGTGTCAGAGGAGGGCAGCCCAAGGACCAGGTAGGGGGTGGGAAGTGTCCCCTTCCATGGGTCCTCAAGTGAGATGTCCTCTGCAAACACCCACCTGGGATCTCCAAGCAGAGGGTTGGCTCCCATGTCACCTGGACCTGGATTCCAGACCACTGCCCCTAAGTGGCAATCCTGGGTCCCCCTGTACCTGTCCTGGCTTGAGCTGGTCACACTTGTGGGGGGTGGTTCCAGGAAGAAGGTGGACTGTCGCAAACGCAATGCTCCGCTGCCAGGTGCATTGCCCTCGGCTATCAGAATCCCTCTGGGCAGGCCGGGGAGATCTGACGGGCAAGTGCCTGCGGTCTGGCGTGAGCGGGCAGGGCAGGTGGCCCCTGCCTGGGCATGCCTTTCTACCTTTGCAACAGACTAGGGAGAGGGCTGGCCCCAGGACTTAGGCTCAGCCAGCTGTCTCACAACTGAGGGGCCTCGGCGGAGGACACAAGTCAGACAGAGCCACAGACTAACCGTACGAGGTGGCTTTTTCTCTCCAGTCCAGGTCCCCTGAATGCGCCAGAGCAGACAAGCTTGGACGTGAGGAGGCAAGAGGCAGCGAGAACAGGCGCGGAGACGGGGCTGGGGGAGAAGAGGAAGAAACCCTGTGCTTGTGCCCTTCCCACGCTCGCCTGTCACCGGGTTAGCTGACTGGGGAAGTGTTCTCTGAGGGTGCAATTCCTTGCCCTTCCCGTAAGTCAGCTCCCGGGGCGCTGGGTGAGGGTGCAGCCCTGTCCACCACGGCGAGCCAGCACACTGAATCACGGCAGAAGCTGCTTCCTGTGTGGGTGCAGCCTCCCTCCCTGCCCAGGACTCAGAAGTCACGACAGCATAGAGCTTTTTAATCGTGGCTGGTGCCCCTTCAGGAATCTCCTGAAAGCCACAGAGAAACTCCAGAGTGGCTGGGCACGGTGGCTCATGCCTGTGATCCCAGCACTTTGGGAGGCTGAGGCGGGTGGATCACCTGAGGTCCGGAGTTCGAGACCAGCCTGGCCAGTATGGTAAAACCCCATCTCTACTAAAAAATACAAAAATTAGCTGGGCACGGTGGCACATGCCTGTAATCCCAGCTACTCAGGAGGCTGAGGCATGAGAATTGCTTGAACCTGGGAGGCAGAGGTTGCAGTGAACCGAGATCGTGCCACTGCACTCCAGCCTGGGCAACAGAGCAAGACTCCATCTCAAAAAAATAAAAAATAAAAAAAGAATCTCCAGAGTAATTCCCAGGTGCCAGTAGGGGTGTGACGCAACCTCAGTCCCGCTTCTGTGGCTCATCGGCCTCGGGTAAGTCCTCCTGCCGCTGCCACCCACAGAGAGTTTCCAGGGGAGCCTGGGAATGACGGCAAGTTCCATGTGACCTAGTATGCAAAGGGAGTCCCAAAACTCAGAACCTAGAGAGCCAGGGCGGGTACAGTGCAGCTGGCTCCAGTGCTGAGGGGCTGGGGGAGAGACCCTGCACCATGCTCTGACCACAGTAAGGGAAGATCATGGAGGCTTCTGGAACGTCCTAGCAATGGCGTAACCCCAGCCTTCTCCATCCTCCTGTCAATGACAATCATGATCATGACAGCAGCTAACAGGTTACAGAGCAGGCATTTCTCAGCTTTTTCAAATATGAACTCGTTTAACCTTTACAACAACATAGCACTGTCCCATTTAACAAATGAGGCAGGCTGGGCGTGGTGGCTCATGCCTGTAATCACAGCACTTTGGGAGGCCAAGGCAGGCAGATCACGAGGTCAGGAGTTCGAGATCAGCCTGACCAACATGGTGAAACCCCATCTCTAGTAAAAATATAAAAATTAGCTGGGCGCAGTGGCACGTTCCTACAATCCCAGCCACTCAGGAGGCTGAGGCAGGAGAATCACTTGAACCTGGGAGGCGGAGGTTGCAGTAAGCTGAGATCATGCCATTGCACTCCAGCCTGGGAGACAGAGTGAGACTCCGTCTCAAAAATAAATAAATAAATAAAATTAAAAAACACCACACACACAAAAAAACAAATGAGGCAAATGAGATGCATGAGGTGAGAACCTTGTGCCACAGGGAGAGGCGCAGCCTGGTGAGATTTAATCCCAAGGGGCTGGCGGCTCTGAGCCCCCAAGTGTAACCACTGGACCACACTGCCTGTAGACTACCACTACCTCCACCCCATTGGAAGGCCGGGTGAGGCAATCGGGAAAGCCTGGAGCAGCAGTGGAGCTGCCAGAGAGAACCTGTCCCCAGTGTCCCCCTGGATCCTGCAGCTGCCCTGTGTGGGCCCTTGCTGCCTTCCGCATTGGAAAAGACCTTCTTACAGATGGGGTCTCATGACGCCACCCAGGCTGGAGTGCCGTGTCTATTTCCAGGCGCTGTCACAGGGCTGCAGCCTTGAACTCCTGGCTTCAAGCGATCCTCCTGTCTCAGCCTCCTGAGTAGCCTCCTGGGCTCAAGCGATCCTCGTGTCTCAGCCTCCTGAGTAGCCTCCTGGGCTCAAGCGATCCTCGTGTCTCAGCCTCCTGAGTAGCTGGGACTTCAAGCGCACCTGGCCAAGTCCCTTTTTATTCTCCACTACTCAAGACTTCTCCTTCCTCAAGGCCCAGCTCAATCTCACCTCCACCTAAAACCTCCGGGGCATTCCTGTAGTATTTGGAGGCTGAACTGCTCAGGAGGGAAGGGTGTTAATGAGCTGGTGTCTCGCCCTCATCCTGACTCCCGGTGAGAATGTAAGTTCTCTGCAGGCAAGGACTATATCTCATTACCATTTCTGTACCCACTCAGACTTGGCCATGTGTGCCCAGCACATAAAGTGTCTTCGATGACTGTCTATAGACCCACGGTACTTGAGATTGCCCCAACACATCCTTCTAAAATCTTTCTCCTTTTCAGAGGCTCACGAATGTTCAAACCAGGTCTACCGGGAACAACATTATGGTCATTCCGTTTATTCTGAAGCCCACATACAGGTCTGGAAGCAATAATCCCGCACAGTCTAGATGAAAAAATAAAGACCTTCCTGTTGTCCTTGGATTGTCAGAGCCTTGGGGGATTTTTAACATCTTTTGCTGCTTTCCTTAATTTCATGGTGTCGATGGCTTGTTGGGGGGTCAGCCTGACTCCTGCGAGTGCCCGTACCCGGAAAAGGGCTGGTGCCAAGACAGCTCCAGGACACTCAGAATGAGGGCAAGAGGCCACCCCCACCATCAGCCCCCTCCAGTCCCACTCCATACAACTGCAACACAGTGACCCAGCACACCTTGGGCCACTGCCAAGCAGGGAGCAAACCAGAAATGGTCTGAGCCCTCCCTTCCCCCATCCTCAGAGGGGCCTGCCCCTTTAGGTAAACACAAGGAGGCACCGAGGCTGCTGTACAAGAGTTGGTTCCTGCTCACTCCACAAACTCTACTTCCACCTACTGCAAAAGGTTCTGTCCTTTTTTTTAAAAAAAAAAAAAAAAAAGAAACCCAGTGAGGGGTGGGGTAGGTGTGTGTGGAGGAGAGGAGAAAAGGACAAGTGATGGTCTCCCCACCTCCCAGTAAGCCGCAGGTGCAGAGACTCCAAGCCTGCCTCAGGGCCCTTCCGGCATCTGTGCAGGAGGGTCTCCGCAGAAAAAACCCAGGACCCACGACCTGGGAGGACCCCGGTCACCCCCACTGTCTGGACCCACCAGTGGGAGGTAAAGTGTAAGAAACCAAGGGCAAAGGGCCCTCCCTGGGCGGGCTAGAGATCCCCTGGAAAGGGCCATGCACCGCGCGATCCCCACAACAATCTCAAGTATTTGGAGCATGTTGGGGAGGAAGCCCCGGTGCCAAAACCAAGCATGTGCCACCTGGAAGCCCGCTCCCGCCCACCAGCACACCAACCCACCCACGCTCCTGACAGAGCTGTGCTCCGGGTGCGTAGAGGGCCATCTTGTTCGCAACAACCGGGTGAAAGTTGAAATTCTAAGCTACTGACCCAGAAGGGTATTTTCGGGGAAGTTCTGAGTAATCCTCTTTGAGACAAGGTACTTTATCACTCATTTTGGTTCCTAAATATGGAAAGCCAGAGGAAACCGACAATGGCCCAAAGGCAGGGGGATGGCCCCGATGACTCCTTCACCTCCAACTAAGGCCCATGATTCTGTTCTCCTATCAATAAAAATTAATTCATGGATCCTTGGCAGGTACCTTTCTATCTGAATGAATTAAAGGAGGGACATTAAACAAACGGTTTCTAGATTTAGAAGAGGAGACGCTATTTATAATTTGAGGACTGAGGAGGACAAAGGATCCTGCCTGCCTGGATCCTTTGGAGAAAACCACAAAGGAAAAAAAAAAGGAAGGAAAAGACAAATAATGAAGATCTGGATTTCTCTTAACCTGCCCTTGTGGCCTCGGTGTGCCCATCTGTGAAATGGAACTTCAGAGTGCCAGAGCGGGAGCCTCTTATGAAATGAAAGCTCCTGAACCGGCTCATGGTGAGGCCCAAGTCAGGCCCCCTTCGCCTACTTAAGGCGGGCCCTGCTAGGGTGGAGTGAGGATGTCAGCCGCGGGCGGCGTCCTGAGCGCAAAACGTGAACCCGAGTCGCCAAGTTTGGGCGCTGCTGGACGGTCCCATCTGGAGGCCGTCCCGTGCCCCACTAAGTAGAGGAGAAACCGAAGAGAATCCGAAGAAAGGATGCTGCGGCCTGGACCACCAGCCCTAGAGGCTGAACCCAAGGACACCCCTCCACCTAGCCCCGACCCCATTCACCCACACAGACGCACAGGGACCCAAAGCACCCGGCCGACCTGGAAAGTCAGCGATTCCTGCGAGGGTGCAAGGGGCGAGGAAGAGGGAGCGTCCCCCAGGGCAGCCCCTCCGACACTCGAGCAAGGGCTGGAGACAGCGCAGGGGACGGTCGGCTCAGGTCGAAAGCGGCCCGACAGCGGCCCTGTCCTGGGAGGAACTCGACCTGCAGTGTGCCCGCCGCGGGGACTCGCTCAGCTCCGGGGGCGCCTCGCCACTCCCGGCCGCAGGCACTCAGGTGAGCAGCGCTGGTCCCGGGACACCGACCCCTCCCCACCCCGGGCGCGAAGCCCACCTGAGTAAGACTTCTTCATGGTGCCTCCGTGGCCGCCGCTCCCAGGAAAGTGTGGCGGCGAGGCAGCGGGGCGCGCGCTCCCAGGGCGCTAATCCTGGGCCGGTAGTAGGAAGGCGGGAAGAGGGGGCGGCCCGCCGTCTGGAGTGCACCGACCGGGCCCCGCCCCGGCCCCGCCCCCGCCCCGCCCCTCCCCGGAGATGCGCATAGAACCCCGGCCCAGCCGGCTGTGGTCCCGCCCCTGACCCGCCCCCTCCCCGCCCCGTGAACGTGCGCGCCGAGCCCCACCCCCGCCCACCCCTGCGCTGCGCTGCACCTGGCGGAGCGGGGCTGGCGGGCGCCGGGCCTGGGAGGGGGCGCCCCCGCGCGGCAGCGCAGACCAGACCAGACCAGGCCAGGCCGGGGGTGGGGGCCGCCTGCGTGGCCCGCCGCGCCCGCAGCTCTGCACCCCCAGCTCCCCGCGCTGGCGCCAATGGCTGGTTCCGGGAGTCGCCGCACTTCCCAGTCCCGAGTCCGGGCGGGGCGGGCCCGGCCAGGTGGAAGCGGGCGGAGGTGCGGGCGCTCCGGGCGGCCCCGCCGGGCGAGGCGGCGGCGCCGGGCACCGCGGCGGCGCCGGGCACAGCCGGGGGTCGGAGCCGGGGTGCCGGCTTAGTGGGCCGGGGTAGGGCGGGACAGGACACCTGTCCTGCTACTTTTCTGGTAATCAAAAGGGCAGAGTGCGTCGATTGAGTTGGAGCCTTAGTTTCCTCACCTGTAAATGGGCGCGTTGGACAGATGATCATTTGTTCTCCCTGCGCTGGGCACCGTGCGCAGCTCGGTGTATCGGTGCAGCGGGGCAGACACAGGGAGCCGCCCTTTACAACTCGGGTAACGCAGGCAGTGGTGAGAGGATGCAAAACTTGCACGGAAGAATTCTCTCTACTTGGATATCCTTAAAGTCTCCACGATAAAGCGGTGTTTCCAACGTACAGAGGAAGAAGTGACTAATTATGACTGGAGGGTGGTGTCAGAGTTTTATTGAGGCGAAATCAAAACAGGGTTTTAAGGAATGAGCAGGAATTAGCCAGGCAGCCAAGGTGATGGAAGGCAGCTGTTCCCGAAAGAGGGAAGGGCGTGGCGGAGCCTGGGAGGCCTGAGGTATCACAGCGAGTGTGGAGAGACAGAGGCAGGGCCGGGCCCTTGCACAGCTGCCAATGGAGGCCGTAGAGGACGAGAGGAAGGCGGGAGGCCAGTTGGGAAGCGCTCGCTAGTTCTGGGTAGGGGCGCAGCATTGCCTTCTCCTGCAGCCCTCCCAAAAATGCACAGGAGGCTGAAAGTGTCACTAACAGCCCCGAAAAATCCTCCTCCTCTTCCCCTCTCCTTTACTCTCCTTGGGGGTCCAAGAAGCATTTTCATTTCCTGCCTGAGTGTGGGAAACTTATATGCATGAGAACGGAGGCCTATGTGGCACCGTGGGTTCGTTCCGGCCCACCTGCTTCCTTTCTTGAGTAATCTGTCCAGCCACAGCCCTGCAGAGGGAGCAGCCCAGCCAGAGGAGTTTCCCCTCACCCCAGGTAGAGCTGATTGGACCGGAGTGGACACTGGACTTCAACTGAGTCCACCCCTTTCCTTATCTGGGGGTTAGAGGCTCAGGAGGCCTCGGGAGGGAAGTGCTGTAAGGGAGGGGAGCAGGGAGTATGGACGAATTGTGAACAGCGTCCTGGATTCTGGGATGTCCACACCCTAACCGCAACCCCCACCCACACGCCCACTCACCGCTTGTACCAGCACCAGCAGATTCCGGCTTAGGCCGTGTCCTGACTTGGCCAGCAAGCACCATGATGACACTGCCCCCAGCCTAGCCATGATGACACTGCCACGAGCCTAATGCCTGGGATTCCCAAAGTCCAGCGGTGTCTCAAGAATCTGGGTTATGGGTGCATTGCTGGCTTTGTCCATTTTACTCAGCACAAGTCAGAGGTGCCCTGGAGCACAGTCACCCTGAGGATGCCAGCCCTGGCTGTTCCCTGGCTTTGGGTAGGTGGGTTCCTCTGCGGATGCTCACGCTTCTGCCTGGGGTCACAATTCACAGGAACCTGGGCACCCAGGACCCAAGGACACCTGCGTGGAGTGATGTTGGACACATCACATGGGTGCCTCCTGTGTGATGGTTCCTGGATATCCGAATTTTCCTTCCGATTCCAAGAAATCAGAAAGAAGGACAAGAGAGAGGGAGGGAAGGCTGGGAATGAGGGTTCTACACATTTTTGAGATGCATGAAGCTTAATCTGTCATGAAATTAGAGTTAAAAAAAAAAAAGAAAAATTAAAGAGATGCACGAAGCTTAATTGTTTAAGCCTCAAATTTTGTTTTTATTTATTTATTTTTATTTTTTATTTTTTGAGAGGGAGTTTTGCCCTCGTCGCCGAGGCTGGAGTGCAATGGTGCGATCTCAGCTCACTGCAACCTCTGCCTCCCAGGTTCAAGTGATTCTCCAGCCTCAGCCTCTTGAGTAGCTGAGATTACAGGTGCCCGCCACACCTGGCTAATTTTTTTTTTTTTGTAATTTTTTTCTTTTTTAGTAGAGACAGGGTTTCACCATGTTGGCCAGGCTGGTCTCAAACTCCTAACCTGAGGTGATCCCCCCGCCTCAGCCTCCCAAAGTGCTGGGATTACAGGTGTGAGCCACCGCACCTGGTTTATTTATTTATTTATGAGACAGAGTCTCCCTCTGTCACCCAGGCTAGAGTGCAGTGGCATGATCTCAGCTCACTACAACGTCCACCTCCCGGATTCAAGCAATTCTCTTGCCTCAGCCTCCCAAGTAGCTGGGATTACAGGCACACGCCACCACAACCGGCTAATTTTTGTATTTTTAGTAGAGACGGGGTTTTGCCATGTTGGCCAGCCTGGTCTCCAACTCCTGACCTCAAGGTGATCCACCTGCCTAGGCCTCCCAAAGTGCTGGGATTACAGGTGTGAGCCACTGCGCCTGGCCTATTTTTTTTTTATTTTTTTAATTTAATTTTTATTTTTTGAGATGGAGTTTTGCTCTTGTCACCCAGGTTGGAGTTTAATGGCATGATCTTGGCTCACTGCAACCTCTGCCTCCCACATTCAAGCGATTCTCCTGCCTCAGCCTCCCAAGTAGCTGGGATTACAGGTGCCTGCTGCCACCAGGCCCGATTAATTTTTGTATTTTTAGTAGAGATGGGGTTTCACCACGTTAGCCAGGCTGGTCTCCAACTCCTGACCTCAAGTGATCTGCCTGCCTTGGCCTCCCAAAGTGCTGGGATTACAGGCATGAGCCACCACACCCGGCCTAAGCATCAAGTTTTAATTGTTTTTCACAGACAACTCTCTAAAACATATGACACAATCCCCTGCCTTGGTGAGAAGAGCATAGCAAACATATGACTCTTTCCCTCCTGGCTCAGGACCGTCACGATGGCACCTTGAACGGTTATCAACGCACACGCCGCCATCTTACTCCTTCGCAAATGTCCCCAGGCTACTGTGCTATCCAATTTTTAAAAATTGTCTTTCAAACACTCTGTTCCTCCTCCTCCTCCTCCTCCTAATTGAGTGCTTATGACCAGTTGTGTAATTTCCCCAATTCTCAGTGCCCACTCCTATGAAAGGGGAGGGCAGTACCCAACCCCCAACTCACACAGCTGGTGTGGTGATTAGAAAGCTAATGGGTCTGACGTGCCTCACTGTGCTCTGGTCACTAAAATATGAAACACATGGCATTGGCTTTAGGCGCAGGCAGTGGGCAGAAGCCTGGAGGAAGTTGGCAAGGGCTTGCAGGAAGGTTAAGAGATGATCCTGGCCCAAAAGTGCATGACCCTGCTACTCGGGAAGTTGAGGCAGGAGGATCACTTGAGCCCAGTAGGTCAAGATCACCCTGGGCAACATAGTGAGATCACATCTTTTTTTTTTTTTTTTTTTTTTTTTTTTGAGACGAAGTCTTGCTCAGTCGCCCAGGCTGGAGTGCAGTGGCGCGATCTCGGCTCACTGCAAGCTCCGCCTCCCGGGTTCACGCCATTCTCCTGCCTCAGCCTCCCGAGTAGCTGGGACTACAGGCGCCCGCCACCACGCCCGGCTCATTTTTTTTTTTTTTTTTTTAGTAGAGACGGGGTTTCACCGTGTTAGCCAGGATGGTCTCGATCACCTGACCTCATGATCCACCCGCCTCGGACTCCCAGAGTGCTGGGATTACAGACGTGAGCCACCATGCCCGACGATCACATCTTTTAAAAAAAAAAAAAAAAAAGAAAAGAAAAAAGAAAGAGGCCGGGTGCAGTGGCTCAGGCCTGTAATCCCAGCACTTTGGGTGGCCAAGGCAGGTGGATCACCTGAGGTCAGGAGTTTAAGACCAGTCTGGCCAACATGGTGAAACCCCATCTCTACTAAAAATAAAGAAATTAGCCGGGCGTGGTGTGGTGTGTCTGCAGTCCCAAGCTACTCAGGAGGCTGAGGCAGGAGAATTGCTTGAACCCGGGAGGCAGAGGTTGCAGTGAGCTGAGATTGAGCCACTGCACTCCAGCCTGGGCGACAGAGCGAGACGCCGTCAAAAAAAAAAGAAAATAAAGAAAATAAAATAAAAAAGGAAAGAGAGAAAGAAAGAGAAAGAAGAAGAGAAGGAGAGAGAGAGAAAAAAAGAAAGGAAGGAAGGAAGAAGGAAGGAAGGAAAGAAAGAAGGAAGGAAGGAAAGAAAAAAGAAAAACGCAAGCTGGGCGCGGTGGCTCAAGCCTGTAATCCTAGCACTTTGGGAGGCTGAGGCGGGTGGATTGCTTGAGCTCAGGAGTTCGAGACCAGCCTGGCCAACATGATGAAACCCTGTCTCTAATAAAAATTAAAACATTAGCTAGATGTGGTGGCTGGCACCTGTAATCCCAGCTACTCGGGAGGCTGAGGCAGAGAATTGCTTCAACCTGCGAGATGGAGGCTGCAATGAGCCAAGATCATGCCACTGCACTCCAGCCTGGGTGACAGAGCGAGACTGCATCTCAAAAAAAAAAAAAAGAAAAAGAAAAAGAAAAAAGAAAATGCTACTGGCTATTGGAGGAAAGGAACCCTTTCTCATGTGGTTGCAGAAGGTTTAATAAAACTGTTGCCTGCCATAGCATAGAAAGTAGACACCGAGCATACCTAGCTGACTTGTTGCTGTAGCTGATGAGTTTTCCAGGCAGGTCGTTGAAGGTGCTCCTGGCTCCTTCTGCCTATAATAAAATGGAAAAGGAGAGAGGGGAACTAGGAGCAAACGATTTCATTTTCCAGTGAAGCTGGGAGGAAATGTAAAGACCGGAACAGGCTTTTCAGCCAGCAAATGATTCTCAAAGTGAGAAAGGGCCTCAGGACAAAGAAGTCCAGAGGGGACTGTAAGATCCTTTATGAAGACCTCAGGGAAAAAAAGGAAAAGTGCCCCATAAACCCTTTCGGACAGACAAAGGCATTCTGAGGACCTTAGCGGCATTCCTTGCGGAGTTTCTCTGTTGAAGAGCAGGTCTTCTCAAATCACAAGGGTCTTTTCTCACTTGAAGCTGGGCGCGGTGGCTCACGCCTGTAATCCCCGCACTTTGGGAGGTGGGGTGGAGAAGAGCTTATCTCAGAAAGCGTTGTAGTGCTAAGGGAAAGAAGCCAACGTGAAAAGGCTGCAGCCTACTGCATGATTCCAACCAGACCATATTCTGGAAACAGCAAAGCTATGAAAACAGTAATCAGGAGCTGGTGCGAGGGAAGGAGGAAGGAATGGATGGTGTGCAAGGGATTTGTGGGGCAGTGAAACTATTCTATATGATGCTGTAATGGTGGATGCCTGACATTATTCATTGGGCAAGACCCATGTCGTGTAAAACGCAGAGTAAAACTGACTGTAAACAGTGGATCTTAGCTAATAATAATGTATTCATATTGGCTCATCGATTGTAACAAATGCACCACATTAATGCAAGATGTTAATGAGCAGGAAAGTTTCGGGGGGGTGAGCGGGGAGAGGAAGTTTTCGGGAATTCTCTGTACTCTCCAGGTAACTTTTTTGTTAACGTACAGCTGCTCCAAAAGAAAACATCTATTCTTTTTTTTAAGTTTTTTGAGGGAGGTTTTTTGTCTAATGGAATGAATTTTATTTTTATTTTATTTTGTTTTTTGAGACAGAATTTCGCTCTTGTTGCCCAGGCTGTGGTGCAATGGTGCAATCTCGGCTCACCGCAACCTCCGCCTCCCAGGTTCAACTGATTCTCCTGCCTCAGCCTCCCGAGTAGCTGGGATTACAGGCATGTGCCACCACACCCGGCTAATTTTGTGTTTTTGGTAGAGACGGGGTTTCTCCATGTTGGTCAGACTGGTCTCGAACTCCTGACCTCAGGTGATCCGCCTGTCTAGGCCTCGCAAAGTGCTGGGATTACAGGTGTGAGCCACTGCGCCTGGCCGGAATGAATTTTAGATTAGTACATAGGAAGTTCCCAAGTTGGGTTTTTTGTTTTGTTTTGTTTTTGAGACAGATCCTCACTCTGTCACCCAGGCTGGAGTTCAGTGGCGTGATCTCAGCTCACTGTGACCTCTGCCTCCCAGGTTCAAGCAATTCTCCTGCCTCAGCCTCCCGAGTAGCTGGATTACAGGCACCCACCACCATGCCCAGCTAATTTTTGTATTTTTAGTAGAGACAGGATTTCACCATGTTGGCCAGGCTGGTCTGGAACTCCTGACCTCAGGTGATCCACCCGCCTCAGTCTCCCAAAGTGCGAGGATTACAGGCGTGAGCCACGGCGCCCAGCCAAGTTTTTAAAGGAATTAATTTCTTGCACTAAATGGGATGAAGACAGGACAAAATGAAAGAGGCTTTTAGAGCCTCAACTTTTAAAGGAAGGAAATGGGCTGAGAGGGCTACTCAGTTGCAAACTCAGTTTTTTAAGAAAAGGGAAGAATAACTCAGGAAGGAGCCACGGGCACGGAGAAAACACCCCCGGGCTTGAAGAGCCCCCACGCCCAGGAGTCTCCTCCTCACCAGGCCTTGGTTTACACAGCTGGATCCTGGACCTCCAGTCTGAGCCCAAAACTAAAGTGGATGAGACTTCAGAAGTCTTGGGATGGGGCAAGTGGACTTCGCACGTGGGAGGGATGTGAGTTGTGGCCTGAAGATGGGCCGTGGCAGAGCAGGTTTTTCAGAACAGCCACAGCAAGATCTCCCATTCCACCCGCTTCTCCACCATGTGACCTTGAAACTCCTCCCACAGGGAGGAACTGTCCAACTGTAACTGACAGAGGAGGCAGAAGTGCCTGCCAAGAATGGAGGGTCTGGTCTGGGGACCAGCTGAAGGCTCATCGGGCTCATACTGCTGGCACCAGGGCTGTCGACCAGGGCACCTACTTGGGGGCTTCCCCACGGTAAGTTGCTTCTAAGATGACTATGCTGATCCTTGCCTCCCGGTACTCATGGCCTCTGTAACTCCTTTCTAAGCAACAGAATACCTCCATGCCGAGGGGCTGTTACTTTCACGATAAGGTTGCAAGAGATTCTCATTTGTCTTTCCAGCAGACTCCCTTCCTTGCTAGCTTTGATAGACTCAGCGGCTATGTTGGGAAGTCCTGCACAGGAGGAGCCCAAGGCTTGTGTCAGAGAAGGGGCTGCAGCTGCTACTGTGTTCTCTGGGCTCCTTGCATTCAGAGCCCGGAGCTACCAAGTGGGAGTCAGACCACCTGAGCCCTCATGTCGTGAGGATGCCCTAGGGACTGTATTAGTCATCTGTAACTGTGTAACAAATGACCACAGATTTCATGGTTTAAAACCACACACGTACTGTGTCACAGTCTCTATGGGCCAGGATTCTGAACGGGGCTTAGCTGGGTCTTCTGTCTCCTCTCAAGCTGGGGTTTCATCTGAAGGCTCAGCTGGGGAAAGATCTGCTTCCAAGCTCATGCAGTACTTGGCAGAATTTCATTTCTTTTTTGTTTGTTTGTTTTGTGTGTGTGTGTGTGTGTGTGTGTGTGTGTGTGACAGAGTTTTGCTCTTGTTGCTCAGGCTGGAGTGCAATGGCGCAATCTTGGCTCACTGCAACCTCTGCCTCCCAGGTTCAAACAATTCTCCTGCCCCAGCCTCCCAAGTAATTGAGACTACAGGCACCCACAACCATGCCTGGCTAATTTTTTGTATTTTTAGTAGAGATGGAGATTCACCACATTGGCCAGGCTGGCCTGGAACGTCTGACCTCAGGTGATCCACCCACCTTGGTCTCCCAAAGTGCTGGGATTACAGACATGAGCCACCGCGCCTGGCCTTGTTTTTTTGTTTGTTTTGTTTTGTTTTTTGTTGTTGTTTTGTTTTGAGACGGAGTTTCACTCTTGTTGCCCAGGCTGGAGTGCAGTGGCGTGATCTCAGCTCACTGCAACCTCTGCCTCCCAGCTTCAAGCAATTCTCCTGCCTCAGCCTCCCGAGTAGCTGGGACTACAGGCACCTGCCATCAGACCTGGCTAATTTTTGTGTTTTTAGTAGATAGGGGGTTTCATCATGTTGGCCAGCCTGCTCTCAAATTCCTGACCTCATGTGATCCGCCTGCCTCGGCCTCCCAAAGTGCTGGGATTACAGGCATGAGGCACCATACCTGGTGCAGAATTTCATTTCTTTAAGTCTTGAAGGGCCAGGTATAGTGGCTCACACCTGTAATCCCAGCATTTTGGGAGGCTGAGGCAGGAGGATAGCTTGAGCTCAGAAGTTTGAGACTAGCCTGGGCAACGTAGTGAGACCCTGTCTCTACACAAAATTTAAAGTTAGCCAGGCACAGCGATGCATGCCTGTAGTCCCAGCTACCCAGGAGGCGGAGGTGGGAAGATTGCTTCAGCCCAGGAGGTTGAGGCTGCAGTGAGCTGTGATTGTACCACTGCACTTCAGCCTGAGTGACAGAGCAAGACCCTATCTCAAAAATAAAATAAAAGTAAATAAAAATAAAAAGGTGGCTCAAAGACAGAGCACCTGAGTTCTTAGCCAGCTAGAAATGGGCTCCTCCTGTGTGGGCCTTCCCAACGTAGCCACTCGGCCTATCAAAGCCAATAAGGAAGGGAGTCTGCTGCCAAGAGGAAAATGAGAATCTCTTGCAACCTGATTGTTGCACAGAGGTATATTCTGTTGCTTAGAAAGGAGCTACAGAGGCTGTGAGTACCAGGAGACAAGGATCACTGCAGTCATCTTAGGATCAACACACCATGGGGAAGCCCCACGTAGGTGCCCTGGTCAGCAGTCCTGATCTTCAAATCTTCCCAGCCCCAGTGCCAGAAGTGTGAGCCGATGAGCCCCAGACGGTCCCCAGAGCAGACCTTCTCACACTGGCAGCAGATGTGAGACCTCCTGAGCCCGCCACTGCCTCTGACACCTGCCTCTGTCTCTGAGCTCTGCCACCTCCGCCTGCCTTTTCTTCTCTTCTGTCAACATTTTTTTTTTTTTGAGACAGAGTCTCACTCTGTCGCCCAGGCTGGAGTGCAGTGGCATGATCTCAACTCACTGCAACCTCTGCCTCCCAGGTTCAAGCAATTCTTCTGCCTCAGCCTCCCGAGTAGCTGGGACTACAGGTGCGTGCCACCACGCCCAGCTAATTTTTGTGTTTTTTGTTTTTTTTTTAGTAGACAGGGGGTTTCACGATATTGGCCAGGCTGGTCTTGAACTCCTGACCTTGTGATCTGCTCACCTCAGCCTCCCAAAATGCTGGGATTACAGGTGTGAGCCACCATGCTCAGCCTCTTCTGTCAACTTCTTTCCAGTCCTTTCCTCTGCCGCTTCCCCAGACTTCCAGGCCTGAATGATTAGACGTGGCTTTAACAGGCAACCAGGGAGATGGTTCCTGTCTTCTGGCTCCAGAGGGGCCCAGACACGCCAGGTCTGTGGCCACCTTTTCATCTTTGACTCAGTCAGCTGCTCTCTGCCTGCTTGGCTCAGCGTCTGCTGCTGACTGTACTCTCACTTTATGGCTGGCCCGGGGGCTTGCACTTGTTAGATGACTGAAGCTTTGCTACATGTGTGAAATTTATGGTGAAGGCGTGGCTACGCAGACCCTCCCATATGCCTGGTGCAAGTGTTCCGTGCTACCACCCTTCCGGAAAGCACTCTGGAAATATCCTCCAGAGCTTTCCAAATGCCCATGTGCTTTGTCCTGGTAATTACATTGCTTTTTCATTTACTGATTCAACATATATTTCTTTTTCTTTTTTTTTTTTTTTTTTTGAGACAAGAATCTCACTCTATCACCCAGGCTGGAGTGCAGTGGCGCCATCTCGGCTCACTGCAACCTCCCCCTCCCAGGTTCAAGCAATTCTCATGCCTCAGCCTCCCTAGTACCTGGGACTACAGGCGCCCGCCACCACACCCGGCTCATTTTTTGGTATTTTTAATAGAGATGGGGTTTCACCATGTTGGCCAGGCTGGTCTTGAACTCCTGACCTCAAGTGATCCACCCACCTCGACCTCCCAAAGTGTTGGGATTACAGCCATGAGCCACCACGCCCGGCCTCAACATATATTTCTTGATTACTCATTATGGGCCCCAGGATGGGGTGCTTATATTTTGATAGGGAAAACAGATGTTGATCAAATAATCTTAGAATAAATCCAAATAAAATGACAAGAGCTGAGATCAGGAATTCAAGACTAGCCTGGCCAACTGGTGAAACCCCATCTCTACTAAAAAATAGAAAAATTAGCTAGGCGTGGTGTCGGGGGCCTGTAATCCCAGCTACTTGGGAGGTGGAGACAGGAGAATCCCTTGAACCCCGGAGGCGGAGGTTGCAGGGAGTGGAGATCACGCCGCCGCACTCTATCCTGGACGACAGAGGGAAACTCTGTCTCAATAAATAAATAAATAACAAGAGCGGTATGGAGTGCTTATACGTTGGTAGGGAGAACAGATGTTGATCAAATAATCATATAATCCAAATAAAATGACAACAGCGGTAAAGGGTAAGTAGGTGCAAGGAGAGAGCAGGGACTCTCCCATGGTGGAGGGCAGGGAAGACCAGGTTGAGATGGGATGATGAGCAAGGATTAACCAGGAAAAACAGAGGGCTGAGGGTGCTGGCGGAGAATGGCCTGTGCAAAGGTCCTGTGGCTGCAAGGAGTGTGGTCCACACAAGGAATGGGAAGAGGGCCCTGGAGGTCAGAGCCCAGAGAGTCTGGAGACATAGTGGAGGAACCAGGCCTTGTAGACACATTAAGGAATTGGATTTTTATATTAAGAGGAGTAGGAAGTCAGAGAAAGTTCTGAGAGGGAAGCAGGGCTAGGCGATCTAATCTGCATTTTGCAATCTTGGTTCTCAGTGAGATGTGGAGTGACCGGACGGACCAGAGTCCGGTTAGGAGTCTAGGTTGTGCTTCAGGCAAGAGGAAATGCTGGCTTGGACCTAGGTTGGGGAAAGGGAGAGATGGGAATGTATTTGAGCAAAATTCCAAAGATAAAATCACCCAGAACTGGGGTTGGGCTGCATCTGGAGGCTGAGCTGGGGCGCGAATCGCCAGGGATGACTCTCAGGATTCCGGCGGGAGCAGCAGGATGGCAGGTGGCACCTTGCAGAGAGAGGACGGGCTGGCTCTGGGCGTGTCGTGTTGTGTGTTCAATGCATCCAAGGGGAACTACCAGGTGGGCGCTGGGATATATGGGTTGGTGTGCAGAGGCAGAGTCTCTGCTGGAAATATAACTCTGTGAGTCATCCAGGTAGAGGGGGGTACTGAGCTGTGGGACGAGATTGCTCAGGGCCCTGCCGTCAGGAAATAGACAGTCCGACCAAAGGTATGCACAAGGGTGTCTGTAGGAGCCCCATTTACAAGACCAAGAAATTGAAAACAAGCAAGTCTTCAATACTAGGTTGAGAGTTAAATAAATAAAAGTTCTCTGACTGGGTGGGAGAGTGTGCTCAACTGTGACAAGTGTCAATGAAAACCAGAGGAACCATCTCGGAACAGGTAGAGATGGTGGTAGCACAACACTGAATGAACTAAAGGCCCCTGAGTTGTTCATTTTCAAATGGTTCATTTTGTGTTATGTGAATTTCACTTTAATAAATTACTTTTTTAAGGCCGGGCGCGGTGGCTCACACCTATAATCCCAGCACTTTGGGAGGCTGCGGCAGGCAGATTGCCTGACGTCAGGAGTTCAAGACCACCCTGGCCCACATGGTCAAACCACGTCTCTACAAAAATATACAAAAATTAGTCGGGCATGGTGGCACGGACCTGTAATCCCAGCTTCTCTGGAGGCTGAGGCTAAAGGATTGCTTGAATCCAGGAGGCAGAGTTTGCAGTGAGCTGAGATCGCACCACTGCGCTCCAGCCCAGGCAACAGAGCAAGACTCCATCTCTAATAAAATAAAATAAAACATTTTTAAAATGAAGGCAACAGGTACTATATGTAAATAAAGATTTTACTTTATTTATTTATTTTGAGACGCAGTTTCACCCTGTCTCCCAGGTTGGAGTGCAGTAGCATGATTTCAACTCGCTGCAAACTCCACCTCTTGGGTTTGAGTGATTCTCCTGCCTCAGCCTCCCAAGTGGCTGGAATTACAGGCACGTGCCACCAGGCCCGGCTAATTTTGGTACTTTTAGTAGAGGCGGGGTTTCACCATGTTGGCCAGGCTGGTCTCAAACTCTTGACTTCAAGTGACCTACCTACCTTGGCCTCCCAAAGTGCTGGGATTACAGGCGTGAGCCACTGTGCCTGGCCGGATTTTGTTCTTGTAGAAAACAGAAACATAAAACATAATAAATGTAAAACATAATAAATGTAAAACATAAAAATACAGGAAGGCAATACACCAAATGTGACTTATTTTCTTCATTGTATTTTTCTCTGTTTTCCATATTTTCTATAATAAACTTACTTTCACATTTTGGAAAAAAAGATATACATGATATATACTGATATGTCCAGGAACATATCCATGTGTGATGAATATATTCATTATATTTTTATCCATGGACACATTTTTTGAAATCAATGTTAGTATATTATTTTATTTATTTATTTTTTTAGACAGGGTCTTGCTGTGTCTCCCAGGCTGGAGTACAGCAGTATGATTATAGCTCACTTCAGCCTCAACCTCCTGGGCTTAAGTGATCCTCCGGCCTCAGCCTCATGAATAGCTGGGACTATAGGTGCCCACCACCACATCTGGGTAATTTGCAAATTTTCTGTAGAGATGGTGTCTCACTCTATTGCCCAGGCTGGTCTGAAACTTCTGGGCTCAAGCCATCCTCCCACTTTGGCCTCCCAAAGTGCTGGGATTACAGGCATGAGCCACTGTGCCTATCTCAGTGTTATTATATACATACACTATATATATCGGGTTCAAGTAATTCTCCTGCCTCAGTCTCCCAAGTAGCTGGGATTACAGGCATGCACCACCACACCTGGCTAATTTTGTATTTTTAGTAGAGAGGGGGTTTCAGGCCAGGCATGGTGGCTCACGCCTGTAATCCTAGCACTTTGGGAGGCCAAGGCGGGTGGATCACTTGAGGTCAAGAGGTTGAGACCAGCCTGGCCAACATGGTGAAACCTCATCCCTACTAAAAATACAAAAATTAGCCGGGTGCAGTAGCTCATGCCTGTAATCCCAGCACTTTGGGAGGCCAAGTCGTGTGGATTGCGAGGTCAGGAGTTCGAGACCAGCCTGACCAACATGGTGAAACCCCGTCTCTACTAAAAATACAAAAATTAGCCAGGCCTGGTGGCACGTGCCTGTAATTCCAGCTACTCAGGAGGCTGAGGCAGGAGAATCGCTTGAACCCAGGAGGCAGAGGTTGCAATAAGCCAAGATCGCACCTTTGCACTCTAGCCTGGGCGACACAGTGAGCGTCTCTCAAAACAAAAACAAAAACAAAATTAGCTGGGCGTGGTGGTGGGCACCTGTAATCTCAGCTACTTAGGAGGCTGAGGCAGAAGGATCACTTGAACCCGGGAGGTGGAGGTTACAGTGAGCCGAGATTGTGCCATCGCACTCCAGCATGGGCAACAGAGCAAAAACTCCATCTCAAAAAAAAAAAAAAAAAAAAAAAAGAGACGGGGTTTCAACATGTTGGTCAGGGTGGTCTCGAACTCCTGACCTCAGATGATCCACCTGCCTCGGCCTTCCAAAGTGCTGCGATTACAGGCGTGAGCCACTGTGCCCAACCAGTGTTATTATACTTTAAAGGGTCTTTTGTTTTATCTTAAATTAATGAAAGCTTTTACAAGTAAACTCACTGTTATTAGGACCTAAAGCAAGTTTCGGTTTGTTTCTGGATTTAGGTGGTTTGGTCTGCAGCCAATTTTCAAGCAGTCTTTCGCCATCCGCTCCTGATGTGCGGTTTCCATGTACGCCTGCATTCTATAGAATATATGATGCAGAGTCTGAGATCACGCAGCTCACACACACTGATTCCCTCCCCACGAGGCAGGGTTCTGGGTCTGTCAGTAACTGAGGCCCACAGAGGCCTGAGCTTCCCCCCAGACCAGGCGAGCCAGGGCGCAGCCTCAAGCCCTGAGGTTCAGGCGCTCCTGGTCCTCCACACCAGGCTTCTGACAGCTGCTGGGCTCCCCCGAAGAGCGCCCCCTTCCTGGATTCATCACAAGCGCATCCTCAGAGAAGGCACTTCCCTCCCTCACCAGCAGCCTGAGCAGGGCATGGCTCCTCCTCATTAACTTGGGGACCACAGATGCTAGAGACACCCCCACTTCCCACCTTCTTTAGCGAATCACTCCACGGGGGGAGCCTGGTGCAGCCGCGCCCCTTGCGTTGCGCCTGCCTGCTGCAGGGTGCCCTCCGTCATGTGCATAGGTGTCAATGTCACACAGAAAAGAGGGCTCTGAGGTCACAAAGTGGCAACAGTTGAACGTGAAACAAACCTTCACAGGCTTCTCTTCATTGCTGGACTTCTCAGAGCCTGTAGGAGGCTCGTGGGGGCTGTGGGTGTCCATAAGGGCTACAGCATGCAGCATTTCCCAAATGTATTGACCCCAGAACCTTTTCATCACAAGGCACCTTGCCAGTTCCACGGGACACCCTTTGGGGAACATAGGCACTGTGGGATGGGGGTGGAGGGGCATCCATCAGCCACCGCAAGGCCACACACTAGAGGTCAGCCAGGTGTCCAACCCCAGCGCCAAATGTAGACTCCTCCCAACCTTGGCCTGGTCCTCCCTGCCTATGTCACCTCCTGCTGGCCTTGCCTGCTGCTCCTCTGTCCCTCCACATCCCTCCTTGCAGGGGGAGGAGCCAGGATGGGCTTTCTGTGAGGAAACTGCCACTCCAGGGTGAGAAGAAGATATGGGACTGGCGTCCTCCCTGACACTTCATCTGTGCCTTTTGCTCCAGGGGAAGAGAGGATCCCTGAGAAACATCAACAGAAAAGCCTGAGGCAAGCTCCCATCTAGCTCCCATCTAGAATCTCATCCTTTAGCTTCCCTCTAGCTCCCATCTAGAATCTCATCCTTTAGCTTCCATCTAGAATCTCATCCTCCAGCTTCCATCTAGAATCTCATCCTTTAGCTTCCATCTAGAATCTCATCCTTTTTTTTTTTTTTTTCTGAGATGGAGTTTTGCTCTTGTTGCCCAGGCTGGAGTGCAGTGGCATGATCTCAGCTCACTGCAACCTCTGCCTCCTGGGTTCAAGCAATTCTCCTGCCTCAGCCGCCTGAGTAGCTGGGACTACAGGCGTGCGCCGCCACGCCCGGCTAATTTTTGTATTTTTTGTAGAGATGGGGTTCCACCATGTTGGCCAGGCTGGTCTCGAACTCCTGACCTCAGGTGATCTGCCCACCTCGGCCTCCCAAAGTTCTGGGATTACAGGTGTGAGCCACCACGCCCAGCCTAGAATCTCACTTAATCTCAGCTTTCCCTCTTACTCGCCTCATGAGCCCTCCGGACCTGCAGGAGGGGCCAGTCACTGCCCTAGTGTCCCTCGTGCATTCCCACTCAGCGCTGCTCAAGCCATCCAGTCCCCGGCATGTTCTTTCTGCGGACTCTGATCTGTCCTCAGTGGAGAGGGGCTTCTCCTGCTGTGGGGCTGCCTCCTCTGAACAGCCGGAGCAGGCACTTGTCTCAATGGTGGGGGGAGGCCCAGGTCTCTCTGCACACTGGAATCTTCAGGAACTTTAAAAAGTACCCACCCCAGAACAATTAAATCAGAATATCTGGGCCTGGAGCTTTTTTCAGTGCTCCCTGGGCTGAGAACCATGGGTCTGGTAGAGGGAACCCAGAGATCAAGGTGGAAATTCCACTTCTGCTACAAACCAGCTCTGTGCTCTTCAACACGGTCCTTCAACATCTGAGCCCCAGTTTTCTTATCTGCTCTGTGGGGGACAGCAATGCCCGTGCCATGGGTGGGGTTGGGGATAATATACCTATTGTTTCACTCTTCCTGGGGCGCTACTGCACCCCCAGGTAGATGGTGAGTGATGGAGGGCAGGGAGCCTGACTATAGCCTGGACGCCAGTGCTTCCCTCAGTGCTGTGTGCAGAGACGCCTGATGAAGATTTGATGACGGATTGAAAAGCCACTGCGGGACCAGCCTGGGAAACTGAACCCCACGCAGGCCTCTCTCGTAGGCAACCGGCCAGGTAGAGAAAAGCCAGGTGTCTCCACTTATCACAAGGGCAATCGTAGCACAGCTCTCAAGAGTAAGTGAATCTTAATTTGCTTTCATTAAAAACATAAATAAATACCCCTGCCAAGCGGCGCTGGTGGGGGTGTTGCGAAACGGGCTCCAGGCCCACAGGGGCTGCAGCTGCAGGTGGCTCGGGTCGCAGGGAGCAGAGTCAGGAGACGAGAGTCACTCGGCCACTCGGCGCCCACAGGCATCATCTCAGGTCTCCTTAGCACACTCTGCTCAGTCCCAAATCTCCTTGAAAGTGTCTTTTGGCGAGGACTGCCTGATAAAATACAGGCCGCCCAGTTACACTTGAATTTCAGATAAGCGGCAAATAATTTCTGTTAGTATAAAATATTTGGGACATATTTACACTAAAAGAAATGATTGTTTATCTGAAATTCAGGTGTAACTGCGTAGCCTGTAGTTTTACTTCCTAAGTCTGGAAACCCAGAGGCTTCACCACCACCACCCCCATACCTCCCGCCACCCCGACCTACACAATTAGCCCTAAAAGAGATCACTGCTGACCCCTCCCCCGCTCCCAGCCATTCAGGGCTCCCAGACACCAGGCTGAGGGCCGAGGCCAGCCTGTGACAAGTTCTCACCTGTCCAAGGCAAAAGGAGATAAAAGAAGACAACGCAAAGAGGTTGTTTTGTAAAGCTGAAGGTGTTCAAAGGACTGGTCTTCATTCTTTTTTTTCTTTCCTTTGTGTGTGTGTGTGTGTGTGTGTGAGAGAGAGAGAGAGAGAGAGAGAGAGAGTGTCCTCAAAAAATAAAACAATGCTATCTAGTAACTGGCCACTGAAAATTTTTTTGTTGTTTTTTGAGACAGGGTCTCACTCTGTCACCCAGGCTGGAGTACAGCAGTGCCATCGTGGCTCACTACAGCCGTGACCTCCTGGGTTCAAGCAATCCTCCCACCTCAACCTCCCGAGTAGTTGGCACTACAGGTGTGTACCAACACACCTGACTAATTTTATTTATTTACTTTTTTAGTAAAGATGAGGTCTTGTTATGTTGCCCAGGCTGGTCTCCAACTCCTGGCCTCAAGCAATCTTCCTGCCTCAGCCTCCCAAAGTACTGGGATTACAGGCATAAGCCACCGCACCTGGCCTGAATTTTTTTTTGAGAAGGAGTTTCACTCTTGTCGCCCAGGCTGGAGTGCAATGGCGCGATCTCGGCTCACTGCAACCTCCGCCTCCCAGGTTCAAGTGATTATCCTGCCTCAGCCTCCCAAGCAGCTGGGATTACAGGCATGCACCACCATGTCCAGCTAATTTTTTTTTTTTTGTATTTTCCATGTTGGCCAGGCTGGTCTCAAACTCCTGACCTCAGGCGATCCACCTGCCTCGGCCTCCCAAAGTGCTGGGATTACAGAGATGAGCCACTGCGCCCGGCCGAAAATTTTTGTAAATAAGGAAATAAAACATGGCAGTAGCAAGTAGTGTGTGTCTTTAGAAATACATGTCTTTTTGGTCACATAAAAACTGAATGACCCCATCAAAGCCCTCTAGTTTTGAAAAAAAAAAAGAGATACAGGATCTCAAAATCCCAATTCCAAAGCCTGGGGAGCTAAGATGACTGTTCCAACCCCAGGGTCAGGGTCAGACCAGCCACAGGCACTCTCCAGCCCTGGCATCCCCCACAAGCCCTGCCCCCTCATCCCTCCTGGGCCCATCTGACTGACTTCAGTGTTTTGTGCTCAGTTGCCCTCAGCTGGCACTTCCCACCTTCTCAGCCCCTCCCCTGGCTGCAGCAGGGGCTCAGAGCCACTTCTTGAATGTGGGGCTGCAGATCTGGCCTGTGACCCTCCCTGCATGTCTCTTCCTTTTTTTTTTTTTTTTTTTTTTTTTTTTTTTTTTTTTTTGAGATGGAGTTTCGCGTTTCGCTCTTGTTGCCCAGGCTGGAGTGCAATGGCGTGATTTCGGTTCAATGCAACCTCCACCTCCCACGTTCAAGCGATTCTCCTGCCTCAGCCTCACAAGTAGCTAGGATTACAGGCCTGCGCCACCACGCCTGGCTAATTTTTGTATTTTTTTTTTTTAGTAGAGATGGGCTTTCTCCATGTTGGTCAGGCTGGTCTTGAACTCCCAACCTCAGGTGATCCGCCTGCCTCAGCCTCCTAAAGTGCTGGGATTACAGGCGTGAGCCACTGTGCCCAGGCTGCATGTCTCTTCCTAGCTGAGAACCTTGGGGAGAAAAAGTCACGTGACTTATCTGATATTTTGTTTCATTACCCATGAAGTGGAGTTAATGACCCCCGCCCCACGCCCGAGTTGTTCGAGATTTTTGAGCAGACGCTACATGGATATGTCCACATGTGAACGTTCATCATGTTGCACACTTACAATGTGTGCATTTTTCTATGTCGATGTTATAATTCAACAAAATAGTTTATCAAAAATTAGCAATTAACTTCAATTAGCAAGCAGGCTTCCAATAGAGAGAAACTGATAGCATTTATCTTGCAGGGAAATTTTATTACCTCCAACTTTTAAATAGGAACAGTTTTTTGTTTTTTTTTTTAGACAGAGTGTTGCCCTGTCACCCAGGCTGGAGTGCAGTGGCGCAATCTTGGCTCACTGCAACTTCCGCCTCCTGGGTTCAAGCAATTCTCCTGCCTCAGCCTCCCGAGTAGCTGGGACTACAGGTGCACACCACCACGCCTGGCTAATTTTTTGTATTTTTAGTAGAGACGGGGTTTCACCATATTGGACAGGCTGCTCTCGAACTCCTGACCTCAGGTGATCCATCCGCCTCGGCCTCCCAAAGTGCTGGGATTACAGGCGTGAGCCACCGCGCCCGGCCGGGAACAGTAATTTATTATTTGTGGCCTGCATGAAGCTGGCAGGGCCTCCCCACTGTGGGGAAAAAAAACACTCAGCTGAACTCACATTTGAGTTGGTTTGATGAGGCCTTATTTTTAAAAATTAACCTCCAAACCCATTACATTCCAAAAAACTAAAAATTTACACTGCTTTTCTATTTTAATGGGCTCACAATAAAAGAAAATATTTAAAGCATTAAAAAGATGGCATTTTAAGTTCATTTTTCAAGTCATCCCGTATAGCAAAGACAGATAAACTTTAAAAAGAAAAAATTAAAAGATATAGCCATAATTTTTTAAAAAGTAAGATAACCATCTCCATGTAACAGATACTAAAAATGAGGCAGGGCACTGGAGCCACTCATAGGGGTGGGGACAGGGCTTCCCAGCTGTGTACCTGGAGAGGGGAGAAAGCAGCCATGGCCTCAGAGCCCTGGCACCCAGGGACTCAGCACCCGGACAGCAAAATCCCCAGTAGCCCCCGGGAGGTGGGAACTCTGAGCCAACAACACACGACCTCACCATTTGGGGGAGAGAGTGGGGGAGAGAAGGTGCGGGGAGAGAGAGCAAAAAAGAGGAGAAAGAGAGAGGAAGAGGAAGAGGAAGAAAGAGAGACAGAGATTGACTGAAATGAGAGAGGCATTTACCCAAGACAAACCTACACACCTCACCCCAACCACATGGCAAAGCTGCTGCTAATAAAGACAATTAAGAAAAATCAACCCTTAAATCATTGCAGGTGAAATGGAAATAACGGAAGAATCTGAAAATGATTTCAAATTAAAATGTTTAGGATCATCAAAGAAAACAAGAAGTTGTAAAACCAAAACTGGCTTAAGGCCAGGCGCAGTGGCTCATGCCTATAATCCCAGCATTTTGGGAGGCCCAGGCAGGCAAATCACGAGGTCAGGAGTTCGAGACCAGCCCGGTCAATATGGTGCAAACCCCGTCTTTACTAAAAATATAAAAAATTAGCTAGGTGCGGTGGCGCTCACCTGTAGTCCCAGCTACTCAGGAGGCTGAGGCAGGAGAACTGCTGGAACCTGGGAGGCAGAGGTTGCAGTGAGCCGAGATCACGCCACCGCACTCCAGCCTGGGTGACAGAGTGACACTCTGTCTAAAAAAAAACACAAAAAAAACAAAAAAAACTGGCTTAAATAAGAACAGGTGGTCACGAAAAATAATCAGTGAGAAATCCTGGAAGTTAAAGGTATGATTTTTATTTATTTTAGTTTTTTCTTCCTTCTAAAATTTTTTTATATTCTCTTTTTAAAAAATGTTTTTCATGGGCCAGGCATGGTGGCTTACACCTGTATTCCCAGCACTTTGGGAGGCCAAGGTGGGCAGATTGCTTGAGCCCAGGAGTTTGAGATCAGCCTGGGTGACAAAGTGAGACCTCATCTCTACAAAAAAAAATTTAAAATTAGCTGGGTGTGGTTGATGCATACCTGTAGTCTCAGCTACTTGGGAGGCTGAGGCAGGAGAATCATTGGATCCCAGAAGTTTGAGGTTGTAGTGAGCTATGATTGTACCACTGCACTTCAGCCTGGGTGACAGAGTGAGACCCTGTCTCAAAAAAAAAAAAAAAAAAAAAGCTTTACATTTTAGTATTTATATATTACATTTTTCACCCTGTTGTGGTCTGTGTGCAAAAGGTGTAATTATTGAAATTAAGAAGCCAACAGACAGAATGTAGTTGGCTGGATACATTGAAGAGAGAATAAGTTAGTTGGCTGATGTCACCGAGAGTGTGGTAAAGAACAATATAGATGAAACAGGCCGGGTGCAGTGGCTCACACCTGTAATCCCAGCACTTTGGGAGGCCGAGGCAGGCAGATTACTTGAGGTCAGGACTTCCAGACCAGCCTGGCCAACACGGTGAAACCCCATCTCTACTAAAAATTCAAAAATTTGCTGGGTGTGGTGGCGGGAGCCTGTAGTACCAGCTACTCGGGAGGCTGAGGCAGGAGAATCACTTGAACCTGGGAGGCGGAGGTTGTGGTGAGACCATGCTACCACACTCCAGCCTGGGTGATAGAGCGAGATTCCGTCTCAAAAAGATAAAAGGAGCAGGATTACTTGTTCACCTCGTTCTCTGGGCACTGAGGATTGGCAAGTATGGTCCTCAGGCCAGTTTCTGTGGCCCCCAGGAAATTCTACAAATGCATGAATAATGGGTCAGGACCCACAGTCTCGGTGATCCAAAGCTCACAGGTGATGCACGCTCCTGCAGAATAGAAAGAAGGGACAATCCTGGCTCCTGATGGCGCTGATGGTTTGTTTTCATAAATGTCCATTTAACAGCTGCGACAGCTGGAGATCATTGTTCCTGGGGCATCTCGCTCTACCCCAGCTATGGTCCCTCTGAGCAGCCCCTACAAACACGGGAACCCACCAGAGGCCGAAGAGCCCTAGAAGAGACCAACCTTGGCAGTCCCATAACTGCACTGCCTTACTGTCCCCAAGGCAGACCATTCCCTTGCTCCCTCCAGGGGACACCCATAGCCCCCAGGGGCCACCTGGCTGCAGAAGGCCCCTGCACGGGGATGATTCTCAAGATTCTGATTTATTCATACCCTCCATATTTTCCCAGGCCGTATTCTAAGATGTCAGGGATTTTGTGCAGGGCACAGGGCAGAAGCTGATGTGAGACGTGGGTACCTCCTGTCTCTTCAGAAGAGCTGTGCTCGCCGGCTGCACATGGCGGATGAAGGAGGGGTGTATCTTAGTCCATTCTCATGCTGCTATAAAGAAATTCCCTGAGACTGGGTAATTTATAATGGAAAGGGGTCTTTTGTTTTTATTTTTATTTATTTATTTATTTTGAGATGGAGTTTCCCTCTTGTTGCCCAGGCTGGAGTGCAATGGCATGATCTTGGCTCACCGCAACCTCCGTCTTCTGGGTTCCAGTGATTCTCCTGCCTCAGCCTCCTGAGTAGCTGGAATTACAGGCGCCCGCCACCACACTCAGCTAATTTTTTGTATTTTTAGTAGAGATGGGGTTTCTATGTTGGCCAGGCTGGTCTCGAACTCCTGACCTCAAGTGATCCACCTGCCTCGGCCTCCCAAAGTGCTGGGATTACAGGCATGAGCCATCACGCCCGGCCGGGAAAGAGGTTTAATTGACTCACAGTTTTGCATGGCTGGGAAGGCCTCAGGAAACTTACAGTCATGGCGGAAGGTGAAGGGGAAGCAAATACCTCCTTCACAAGGTGGCAGGAGAGAGAAGAGTGAGCGAAGGAACTTGCCAAACACTTATAAAACCACCAGATGTCGTGAGAACTCACTCACTCACCGTCCTGAGAACAGCATGGGGGAACCGCCCCCATAATCCAATCACCTCCCTCCCTCGACACATGGGGATTACAGGTCCCTCCCTTGACACGTGGGGATACAAATCGAGATGAGATTTGGGTGGGAACAGAGCCGAACCATATCAGGGTGCCTTGACAAAGAGAGAAACCGGAGATCCCAAGCCGAGGAGAAGTTGGAGGTTGGTCCTGAGGGCAGTGGGGCTGGCCTGGTGCGTCTCTGAGGGGAATAGCCATATGGCGCCTGTGGGAGGGGCCCCAGGATTGGGTCCTAGTCTCTCCAGTGTGGACACAGAGCCACGAGGCAGAAAGTACCACGAGATTGTGACCATGTTTGTTTCAGCAGACCCGGCCAGGATGGACAGTGATCAGGGCCCACTCTGAAAGGCCTGGGACCTTTGCACAACCACGGTGGTGGTGACAGCTGTTGGGGGGAGTTGGGAGCAGGAACCCTAAATGACAGATGGTTTCCTGTCCACTCAGCAGGCTGAGGGTCCACCTGGAAGATACCAAGGCGATGGGGCTTGGTGCCGTCCTGAGTTTGCAGGCCGAGGCTCACGCTGCTCTGCCAACACTCACATACAGTATCCGCGTAAGCCAAAGAAACCCCCCGAACTTGGGACAGGCAGCTCCTTGCTGTGGGCCACACACGGGCTCGGGAAGGACCAGTGACTCAGGGGCTTTCATTGTTTCAGATCAAAGGCTGAGTGTGGCCAAGTGAAGGAGAAAGCCCCTGTGCGGGCACCTGCAGAGGCGTCCACCCTGCCCAGGGGCCTCTGGGGACGCAGCGCCCACCCTGCCCAGGGGCCTCTGGGGACGCAGCGACCCACTGACCAGTGAGCGCAGATGAGCGACTGCACCTCTCTGCTTCAGCTCTTCATGGCCAGATGGGAGGACAATCCCCACCTTGCAAGGTGGCGTTAAGGACTGAGAAAGAACGAGCACCAGGCCTGGCCCCATGAGCACTGCTGGGTCTGGATCCAGGCGCCGTCCACCTTCCACCCGGCAGCACTAATGCTTCCCTCCCCGGCTGCACTGGCCCTTATCTGGGGGTCAGGAACTCACGTGCTGAATAAAGAGCAACTCTTTTCCAGACAGGAACGTTGGGTGTAGCAGGGACAGGCACTGGGGCTGAAGTTGCTTTTCCAAGGAGACGGTTTGGAGTGGTGCCTTCCAGAAAGGAGCATGGTAAGGTGAAGGAAAGGAAGCTGGAGAGGGTGAGGAGGGGCTGTTTCAGGAAATGAAGCTGAGGGGAAGTGGCTCAGGATGTGGAGGTGGAGGAGGTGATAGAATGGAGGAGGTGATGGGAATGGAGGAGATGATGAGGATGGAGGTGATGGGGATGGAGGAGGTGGGGAGATGATGGGATGGAGGAGGTGACAGGAGGTGATGGAGATGGGGAGGAGGTGATGGAGATGAAGGAGGTGGGGAGGTGATGGGAATGGAGGAGGTGATAGAATGAAGGCGATGATGGGAATGGAGGAGGTGATGAGGATGGAGGAGGTGATGGGGATGGGGGAGGTGATAAAATGGAGGAGATGATGGGAATGGAGGAGGTGATGGGGATGAAGGAGATGGGGAGGTGATGAGGATGGAGGAAGTGATGGGGATGAAGGAGGTGAGGATGGAGGAAGTAATGGGGATGGAGGAGGTGATGGGGATGAAGGAAGTGGGGAGGTGATGGGGATGGAGGAGGTGATGGGGATGGATTCCATTCTGGCCTTCCCTCATACCCTATGGGCCTCCTTCATCACTTTGGTTAACAACTTAGGCAGTTCCCAAAGCTGTTCATCTAGCTTCAGCAAATGAACCATCTCATCTTGGCCAATCCAGGCTTGCTGTCCCATATTAAAATAACCAAACCAGTCTAAGTCAAAACTTCCGTCTCACATCTGATGGCAAGCTGCAGGGGGCAGTAGTAGGGATCAGCCCTTCTACCTCCTTGCTCCCCTCCACCCTCATACATGCCTCCTCTCTCCCATCCCCTGCAAAGGACATCCTCCAGGGCACCCCTCCCCCAGGCAGCCCCACCCACCCCAGCTGCTGGTCCTTGTGGTTCAGTGCCATCCAGGCAGCGAGCCCTTCATGAGCCTCCCACCTGAACCTACCCTCCTGGTGTTGCATGGCAACTTCGAGCACCCTTCCCTGGGAAACGCTGGAAATGTGGAGGGTGACCTGCCCAGGCAGCTCCAGCCACCCTTCAGAAGGCTCCAGGGGCAGGGCTGCTGCCTCTCTGCACCCAGCCCCAGCCGAGGTGGCCAAGCCCTCCCAAGAAAGCTCCCCACTTCTGCCTGGGGCCAGGACTCGAGTTCAGAAAACCACCAGCAGAGGCTCCTTTGCCAGGGGTGCTCGGGGGGCCCCCTATCCTGGCTTGAGTCCCTTCACAGTCCCATCTCTATTCCTCAAAACTTGCCTCCAGCAAGCCCCTCTGATATGAGCCCTCGTTTGCAAGTGGCTTTGGCTCTGGGCTTTATGCTGCAGATTCACTGACACCTCATCACAGTTCCTCTAGCACCCATTTCACAGATGAGGAAACAGAAGCACAGAGAGCTTAAGTCCCCTGCTTGAGGTCTCACAGCTTCTCTGCAGGGGAGCCCAAATTCAGTTCCTGGCAGCAGCATGCTTCCCGGTCTGTGCCCGTAACCCCACTGCAGCTCTCTGCTGGGACCGTATGCCACCTTTTGAGATGTCCAACATTGACACGTCAGGCACCCTGTCTGCACTGAGCAGACACGTCGGGCACCCTGTCTGCACTGAGCAGGCACGTCGGGCACCCTGTCTGCACTGAGCAGGCACGTCGGGCACCCTGTCTGCACTGAGCAGGCACGTCGGGCACCCTGTCTGCACTGAGCAGGCACGTCGGGCACCCTGTCTGCACTGAGTAGGCACGTCGGGCACCGTGTCTGCACTGAGTAGGCACGTCGGGCACCGTGTCTGCACTGAGTAGGCACGTCGGGCACCCTGTCTGCACTGAGTAGGCACATGGGCATTCTCTGCTTTCCAGCTTCATCCAAAATCCCAGGCATCTGGGAAAGTCCCTGGTCACAGGGAGCCCAGCGATTCCTGGTGTGGGAGGGTAAGGGAATAGAGGAGTGGTTCTTCTCCACCCTGCCTCTGCCCTGAAAGACTTATTCACTGGCAACGTCCCCTAGAAAGAGGCCTCTGAGCTCCTAACCACAGGGTGCAGGACCCAGTAGCTCATGTCTGTGCCTCGTGCCGGGTGGCACGCTGACCCGGCTGCAACCAGCCAGTGGTGACTCAGGCCTCGGAAATGACAGGCTTCCGTGGAGACAGAGGGCGCCGGGGTCGGGGAGGCAGCCCACGAGGAGCTTAAACCCCCACTGGGGGAGGGAGAGCAGGACAGAGCTGGATGGCAACATGAGAGGCCGGGGGTGTGAGTGAGGCCTCTGCCCACAGGTGACCCGGGTCACACCTTCCAGGAGCCACAGACAGGCCCCAGCAGGAGGAGCTGGGGGACACACACAGGCCCCAGCAGCAGAGGTGGAGTGGTTGCAGGACAGGCCTGGAGGGCAGGGGAGGGGCTGAGCCTCCGCAGTGGGCAAGAAGATCGGCCTCACAGCGCTGACGGTCAGGAGGCCCAGTCTGCCGCCCCATGCTGTGTGCCTATGAGGCCCCACGGGCCTCAGCTTCCTATTCTGTGACAGGGAGCAGCCCCCTCACCTGGCCAGGTGCCAACTGAGAGAGAGCTTGGCCCTGGGCAGGGCCACCTTCCTGTGTGCTGAATCGTCACCTGGAGGCAAGACCGGAAAGTGTTCTCACTGTATTGCATTCCTGGGCCCGAGGAGCTCTTTCACAGGGCTGAGCCGTGGATGAAGTGCTTATGAATTGGCACAAAGAGGGGGCCGGGTCTGATTCATCTGTGTGCCCCATCCGCACCCCATACAGGATCGGGCACAGAAAGACATTTCCCATGGTTACAGGAGGAAATAGAGTAGGATGGGGAAGAACTGGCCTCTGAGGTCCCTCTTTCTTCCCACCCTATCCCCCAAAAGTTGCCTTCCTGGACCCCCCTGCCCCCGTGTCCCCCACATAGGTGTTTACACGCTGATCAGTGGTGGAGATTCCAGGCAACAAGGAGCTGGGAGGCTGAACAGGTACTGGAAGCCAGTGGCCAATGCCCCTGGAACAGAGCCCTGTGGCCGAGCTGCGAGCTCTGTTAGGTCTCCAGCTTATGGCTCCCATGAAGGGCCTTGCCCTCCTGCCAGGGGCAGTATAACAATCTACCCAAATGCCCATGGACCCCTCTGGAGGCTTGTAAAGCCCCAAACTCCTGTTTGCTGCGAACTTACCAGGCTCGGCCACAGGGGCAGGGAGAACGTCCGGCCGGAGCGCAGGGAAGGAAGGTTGGGTCTCTGGAGTCCGCGGGGGTGGGGGGCTCCCTCCCAGGTCTCGCCCTTCAGCTTTTCTGTTTCCCACTTCAGGGCCACACGTCCGTCGTTCCGAACCTCCAATCACATTGGTAACCAACATCATGGGTTCCCAGTGGCCCCGTTGTGGGGTCTTTTCCTCCTGGGGTCTCTGCTGGGGCTTCTCCCTCTCCTCGCTTCCGGCCATCCCCTTCGCTGGGGAGCAGTTGGCTGCTTTTCCGCAGCCAGTGCCTTTCGCGGGTCCAGTTGATCCTATGAGATGCACCATGGAGGGGTAAATGCAGCCTGGGCTCCTCCAGAAGCCAGGGTGCCCACTGCTGCGTGGAGATGCTACCAAGCGTTCAAGTTGTGCGGGTTGTGGAAGAAGCTGGTGAGCCCTGGAGTCAGGCCTGGAACTCAGAACCGAGCGTGAGTCAATCCCTCTGCTTTTCACCGGGAAAAATCTTCCTGGCTCGAGGTCCTGGGTTCATCACTTTCTTCAAACAAACACTCAATCAAACACTTAGAGACTTCCGGTCTGGGTAAGATGGCCTAAACCCGACCCTCCCTGTTCCTGTCTGCTAAGCCCTGGAAAGAATGTAAGAGGCAACCCTAAGAGGGCCCTGAGGTGGAAGGAGCAGGAGAGCTGGTAAAGGACCCCAAGGCTGGGTCAGGAATATTTATCAACAGGGCATTATGACACCCCTCACCCCCACCCAATACAGGACCCGCCCAGGCGTGCATTTCCCAACTCCCGACCTAGCAACAGAAGGCAGCCAAGTAGGCTCCTTTCTCTCCTAGATTAAAGGCAAGTCGCCCCAACACACTAGGCAAGGCTGGGCCCGATTGCTCACAGCTGTAATCCCAGCGCTTCAAGACAGGAGGATCTCTTGAGACCAGGGATTTGATACCAGCCTGGGTAACCCAGCAGACCCTGTCTCTACAAAGAAAACTTAAAAATTAGCCGGGCATAGTGGCAGCTGCGTACAGTCCCAGCTACTCAGGAGGCTGAGGTGGGAGGATCACTTGAGCCCAGGAGATCAAGGCTGCAGTGAGTTATGATCGCACCACTGTACTCCAGCGTGGGCAACAGAGTAAGACCTGTAAAAAAAAAAAAAAAAAAAGCTGGGCACAGTGGCTCACACCTGTGATCCCAGCACTTTGGGAGGCTGAGGCGGGTGGATCACCCGAAGTCAGGAGTTTGAGACCAGCCTGGCCAACATGGTGAAACCCCGCCTCTACTAAAAATACAAAAATTAGCCGGGCGTGGTGGTGGGTGCCTGTGGTCCCAGCTACTCAGGAGGCTGAGGCAGGAGAATCGCTTGAACCTGGGAGGCAGAGGTTGCAATGAGCCAAGGTTGCGCCATTGCACTCCAGGCTGGGCGACAAACTCAAAAAAAAAAAAAAAAAAATGAACAACAAAAAACCCACCAAGCAAGCCAGGCAGAACCACCAAAGGGGTTGGCCCAGCACCCTCCTGCTAATTATTGGCCAGGGTTAACCCTTTCCTCCTCACTGGACCTGAAATTCCACTCCCCCACCCAAAATCATGGCACAGCAGAGAGAGGGGGAGACGTTGATGGCAGGGAGAAAGCCCACCACAAGCAGAAGGCCTGTCTGTCCCTGTGAGCGGGAGACTCCCTTCTCCCACCTGGAGGCAATGAATGTCCAGCCTGGGAAAGCTCCTTCTGCCTCCTTAAGCAGCACCACACAAGCCGAGCTGACCTCTATAGCACGGCAGAGGCTCTGCAAATCAGATTTTCATTGGAACCACAGCCCCCAAAAGTAGCCCAAGACCTGGGTGCTAAACCTAAGCAGGGCCGCTGCTACCAAAGTAAAAAATGCAAACAGGACCTGAAGTCTCCTCACCTAATAGCCACAATGTCCAGGATATGGTGAAATTCACTCATCCCACCAAGAACTACGAAAATCACAATGTGAGTGGGAAGACCGTCAACTGAACCCTGAGATGAATCAGACGTTGGAGTTACGTGCCCAGGATTTTACTCTTTTTTTTTTTTTTTTGGAGACAGTCTTACTCTGTCACACAGGCTGGAGTGCAGTGGTGCGATCTCAGCTCACTGCAACCTCTGCTTCCTGAGTTCAAGCGATTCTCCTGCCTCAGCCTCCTGAGTAGCTGGGATTACAGGCATGTGCCATCATACCCGGCTAATTTTTGTATTTTTAATAAAGACAGGCTTTCACTATGTTAGCCAGGCTGGCCTCGAACTGCTGACCTCAAGTGATCCACCCTCCTCGGCCTCCCAAAGTGCTGGAATTACAGGCATGAGCCACTGCGCCCAGCCATGTGACCAGGATTTTAAAGCAACCATCAAAAAAAACACATAAAAATAAAAAATTCAACAAGCAATTGCAAATTCTCTTGAAACAAATGAAAATATAGAAATTCTCAGCAAAGAAATAGTGGGTATTTAGAAAGAACCAAATGGAAATTACAGAACTGAAAAATGTCATTGCAGAAATTTTAAAAACTCCCTGATGGGCTCAGTTGTAGAGTGGAAATGACAGACGACAGAATCAGTGAATCTGGGGACAGATCAATCCAAAGTACCCAGTCTGAACCACAGGGAGAAAATAGACGGATAAGAAATAAACAGAACGTCCACATCCAATGGGACCATAACAAACAAATCTGACACTCACATCATAGGGGCTAAGGAGGAGAAGAGAGTGAGGCTGAAGGAGTATTTGAAGAAATAATGGCTGAAAACTTTCCAAATCTGGTAAAAGACATAAGCTTACAGATTCAGGAAACTGAACTTCAAACAGAAGAAGCCAAAGAAATCTACACTGAGATATCATCATTAAACTTCTGAAAACTAAAGACAAAAAATCTCCTCAGAACAGCCAGAGAAACAACACATTACCTATAGGGACACCAGTTCAAATTATCTCATCTGAAACTACGGAGGCCAGAAGTGATGTGGATGACTTGAGGTCAGGAGTTTGAGACCAGCCTGGCCAACATGGTGAAACCCCGACTCTACTAAAGTTACAAAAAATAGCCGGGTGTGGTGGCACATGCCTGTAGTCCCAACTACTTGGGAGGCTGAAGCACGAGAATTGCTTGAGCCTAGGGATTGTGGGGCCAAGACTGCTGATGGGGGGTGGGGTTGAGCTGTGATGGTGCCACTGCACTTCAGCCTGGGTGACAGAGTGAGACTCTGTTTCAAAAAAAAAAAAAAAAAATCAGTAACAGAAAGACTACAGGAAAATCTCTAAACACTTGGAAATTGAACAGTACACCTCTAAATATCCACGTCAATGAGGAAGTCTCAAAGAAAATTAAGAAATCTATAAAACTGAATGAGAATTAAAGGACAGCATACCAAAATATGTGGGATGCATCTGAGGCAATGCTGAGAAAGAAATTTTCTTATTTTTATTTTTTATTATTTTTTTGAGACAGAGTCTTGCTCTGTTGCCCAGGCTGGAGTGTAGTGGTGTGATCACAGCCCACTGCAGCCTCGACTCCTCAGGCTCAAGCAATCCTCCCACCTCAGCCTCCTGATGAACTGGGACTACAGGAACATGCCCCCCACACCTAGCTTGCTTTTTTTCTTTTTTTGCTAGAAACAGGGTTTTGAGGTTGCTCAGTCTTGAACTCCTGGCCTCAAGTGATCTTCCCGCTTCAGCCTCCTAAAGTACTGGGATTACCTGTGTGAACCACTGTGCCCAGCCGAGAGGGATACTTATAGCACTAAATACTTACATTAAGAATAAAGATATCTCTAGTTTCAGCTACTTGAGAGGCTGAGGCAGTAGGATCGCTTGAGACCAGTCATTTGAGGTTGCCGTATGCTGTGCTGGCACCTGTAAGTAGCCACCATACTCCAGCCGGAGCAATGTGGTGAGGCCCTGACTCTAAAAATAATAAATAAATAAATATAAATTAAAAGAGAGCAGTCTCGTCTGGGCGTGGTGGCTCACGCCTGTAATTCCAGCACTTTGGAAGGCTGAGGCGGGTGGATCACGTGAGGTCAGGAGTTTGAGACCAGCCTGACCAACATGGTGAAACCCCATCTCTACTAAAAATACAAAAATTAGCTGGGTGTGGTGGCGGGCGCCTGTAATCCCAGCTACTTGGGAGGCTGAGGCAGGAGAATCACTTGAACCCGGGAGGTGGAGGTTGCAGTGAGCCAGGATTGCGCCGCTGCACTCCAGCCTGGGTGACAGAGTCAGGTCCATCTCAAAAAAGAAAAAAAAAATTAGGCAGGCGTGGTGGTGCATGCCTGTAATCCCAGCTACTTGGGGGGCTGAGGCAGAAGAATCGCTTGAACCTGGGAGGCAGAGGTTGCAGTGAGCCGAGATCCGTACCATTGCACTCCAGCCTGCGGGATAAGAGCGAAACTCTGTCTCAAAAAAAAAAAAAAAGAGAGAGACAGAAGTCTCAAATTAACCATTTATTGAGGTGGGTTCTGTGCTTGGTGCTGAGATGATAATTGTGAAGGCCCAGTCTCTTCCAAAGGGGCTTACAGCTTGAATGGGCACAGAAACAAGGAAAGGAGGAATTCACACACAGTGTGGTCAGGGGTGTAATTCACACACAGTGTGGTCAGGGGTGTAATTCATACACAGTGTGGTCAGGGGTGTAATTCACACACAGTGTGGTCAGGGGTGTAATTCACACACAGTGTGGTCAGGGGTGTAATTCACACACAGTGTGGTCAGGGGTGTTGGTTGAGGGTAGCCTAGGGCTAGGGTGTTGGCTTAGCCAGGTCAATACAGGCAGATGGCATCAAATCCAGGCTTGGGGAGCAAAGAAGTCTTCTCAGAGGAGAAGCTGCACCCTGATAGGTGAGGTGGGCCCCCCAAAATGGGGAGAGGGCTGTCTGGGCTCAGAAAGCTGGGACACGCAAAGGCGCTGAGGGGAAGAGGACATGGCCCATCAGGGCACTGTCAGTGTGGCCAGACAGAGCAGGCAAGGCGGGGGAGACCCTGGGAGACAGAGCCAGACCCAGAACGAGGGGCCCCTTCCCAGACTCTGAAGGAGTTTGGGCTTGATCCTAAGACAATTCAGAGCCAATGAAGAGTTTCAAGATGACAAGGTCTCATCTGTGTTTTGGGAAGACCCTTCCAACTGTTGGAGGAGGGCTGCTCCTAGATGCAGGGGGGCCAGGAGGGAGGGACCCAGTGGGCCATTTGGGAGAGGTGGACGCTGGACAGGGCAGGGGCGGCAGGCAGAGAAGAGGAGTCCACAGCTCCTGGGCGAAGATCGCCAGGATTTGAAGATGAGATCTGGAAACGACGGCCCGGGGACATCCAAGCTGAGCCTGGGCCAGTGGGTAAATAAGCGGTCATTCACTGAGTAGGGAACATGAAGGAACAGATGGAGATGCTTTGTGTTGCCTTTGGTGGGGACAGAGCAAAAATACAATGATGGCATTTCCATCTGGGAGATGGCGCATCAGGGGCCAGGAGGCACGTCTTAGCCGGGACATGGAGGTGACCTAATTGACATGTGGCTGTGGCTGCAATCGGGGATTTGGGAGAAACGCCACTGAGATGAATCAGAGGAGAAGGGCCAGAGACCAGGTCCTGGACGTGGGGATGTCCACATTTAAGGGGAAAACAGAAAAAGAAGGGTTGGGGAGAAGTCAAAGAGCCGGGAAGAAATCCAGGCGAGAACTGCACTCGTAACCAAGGGACAGAAGGTTTAGAGAGTGACATGCCAGGGAGAGCTGCAGCTCGCTGGGTTGGCAGAAGGGGCAGATGGTGAGTAGGGGGAGGTCATGGAGGAGGGATGAGGTGGAGGGGCAGGGAGTTCACGAGAGAGAGGAGGTGGACCTGGGAGAGGAGACAACTCCTTGGTTTTAGAGCAAAGAACCTTGAGTTAACATATTTACGCCAGGAGAGAGAATGTCTAGGCTTGAAGGGGGAGGTGAGGGCTGATGGCACAAGGCTTCCAGCAGAGGATGGACAGCTCGGCCTGGAATAGAGAGTGAGACACAGTTTCCACGGAGGTGGAGAAGGGGACACAGTCCCTCGTCTGTGATTAGATGCCAACGGAATCCAGGCACAAGGGAAAGAGGGGCAGCACCTGCCCTCTGGAGGCTTCCAGTCTAGCGGAAGCTGATGGGTGGGAGGCAGGTGCAGAAAGATGGGGATCAGGCCTGGGAAGCAGTGCAGGAGCCAGGAACACCCAGCCCTCTTCCTGTCCCTGGGGTGCCCAGCACCAGGGAGCATGAGTGGTGACCAGAGGTGCAGGTGGGTCCCCCCTGGTTAGTGGGAGAGTGGGGGAGGGCAGATGGAGTGGGGAGTCTTGAGTGACAAGCCAGCGCCCCTGGCACCCATCTCTGAGCATGGCAGACATGGTCCTGCCTCCACGGTGCTCCAGGTCCAGCTCAGCATCTTCCTTGGAGGGGCACCCCAGAGGGGCCCCCAGCCACATCCTGTAAAATATGGGCTTCTGATGACTCTCTGACCTGGCTCTTCCTCCATAGCTCTCAGCCCCCTTGGAAATCAATTTTAAAATGTGCACTTAAAGGTTTGGTTCACTACAAAGGGCAGGTGAACAAGACAGACACAAATGATCCTTGGGAGCCCACGTCAAGGGGTAGGAGGCAGACAAGTGAACAGACTGTGATGATCCAGCCCGCAGAGGGCCGGTAGGCCCACATATAGCAGGAGCGCCCACCCTCACATGGAGGGGGAGGGAGGGCTTCCTGGAGGAGGCGACATCTAATGCTACCCAAAGGGTAAGTAGCAGCTCATGAGTTAGGCAGGTGAAAAAATCTTCAGGCAGAGAGAACCACAGGTGACACAAGCCAGCATGCCTGGGTTCCAATCCCAGGCCCTCCCCACCCCGACCCCCGGCGGTGGGACTTCTCTGTGTCTCAGTTTCCCGCTCTTTAAGAGGGAGCCAGAACAGCACCAACTCCATAGGTCTGAGAGGACCACACACTTGGAAGACGGCCCTGCGCCTAGTGTGGCCGCCACTCTGAGAGCGCCCGTCACCATCGCCCGGAGGAGGAGGGAGGTCGCTGTCGCCAAGAGCCCGAGGACCAGAGCCGGCGGTCAGACCCTTCTCCACGCCCTCCAGGCTCTCGGCCTCGGTCCTCAGAGGGCAACGGCAGTGGGCCCTTCCTCCCAGAACTGCTAAAACATCGCCCTGCGGAAAGGGCCCCTCGCAGCCCAAGACGCCGGGGAAGCGCTGGAGGCGCCGAAGACTCGGTCGGGGGTCTCGGGCGCAGCCCCAGGACCTGCGGAACCCGGCCCGGTGCGCAGACGCGCACACTCCAGCAGGTGGCGCTGCCTCCCCTGGAACGAGTCGGCTCCCGCAGGCGGCGCCCGGGGCGGGAGGGAGGCAAAGGGAGGGACCGGAGAGCAGGGCGCCTCCCTCTGCCCCGCCGGCCCAGGCGTCCGATGCGGCCCCTGCGAGCCCCCTCCCCGGGAGTTCTCATTGCCTCCCCCTGCCCCCGCTCCCGGCCGCTCCGATGCCTGTGGCAACCGGGATCCCGCGCCCGCCTCACCTGGGTGCGGGGGTGCAGGGTGACCTTTCACGCCGGGCCAACGCCAGTACCCCCTTCTCAGCACACCTGGGTCCCCGAGCGGGCCAGGTGGTTCCGTGGGGGCGGCCGCCACCGGCACACCTGGGCTGGATCCCCGCACACCTGGGTCCGCCCGTGTCGGGCTCGGGTACAAGTCCTGGCCGTGACACCTGGACCCCTCCACAGCCCTGCGGCTCCTCACTTCCCCCCTGCAGGGGTGGTTAGAGGAGCCACTCTAATAAGATCTAATAAGATCCCTGCAGGGCTGGTTAGAGGAGCCACTCTAACGCACCTGGAAGGTAACCGGCCATTCACAGGAATAGGACACCTGTCCCCTTCGTGCTAAAGGACGTTGGGGACAAGCAGGCCCCATCCAAAACATGGGGAAAGTGACCACTGTCATCCCAGGGAAGAGGTAAGAGGGAGCACAGGACTTGGTAGGGGCAGCTGTCACGGGGATGAGATGGAGAAGAGTCATGGGACCACCTATAGCCCTGTGTCCCCAGAGCCACATGCCACAAACACACATACAAACATATACACATGTGCATAGGGACACACATTCACATGCTCATATGCACACATTCATACACACATATATGAACACACATGCATAGACATACATGCAAACACACGCTCATATGCACACATTCATATACACATATAAACACACATGCACATACACGCACATACACACACGCTCAATGCACACATTCATATGCACATATAAACACATGCACACATACATGCACACACATACATATACAATGCTCATATGCACACATATACACATATAAACACATACACACACGCTCATATGCACACATTCATATACACATAAACACATGCACAGACACACGCACATACACGCTCAATGCACACATTCATATGCACATATAAACACACATGCACACACATACATATACAATGCTCATATGCACACATACACATATAAACACACATGCACACACATACACCTGCTTATATGCACACGTTCATATACATGTATATAGACATGCACAGACATGCTCATGCACACATATACACATATGTACACATACACACGTGGACACATACGCACTTGCATAGACATACACATGCTCATATGCACACATACACGTAAACACGCACACACACATACGCATGCTCATATGCACACATTCATACACACATGTACACATACATGCACATACACATGGGCATACAGACACAGACACATGCTCATATGCACACATCCATACACACATATGTACACATACATGCACATACACGTGGACACATACATGCACACATATACACATACACATGTGTGCACACAATGTGTACACAGATATACACATATATATTTACACATGCTCATACACATACTGACATACATACTCATATAAACATATGCACACACACACACACACCAGGCCAAAGGCTGGTCTCGGCCACAGGGAAGCCCACAGCTGCTCCCTGGGGCTCTGTGGAGGAGAGCGAGGGGTCTAGGTCTGGGCGGGCTGTGCGTGCCGCCGTGTCCTGCCAAAATGACTTGAAACCCTTCTCTCTTCCGGGCACTGTGCTGTCTCTCAGTCACGTCACCTCCTCACCATGCACCCGACCTTTGCAGAGATGAACTGTGACACCTGTCCCGCGCCTACACGGACTCTCAGAGTCTGGCTGGGCCCTCCACATTTCCTTCCCAAAGCTCTAACCACATCCCCTCTCCTTTCCCCAACTCCCTCTGCTCCCTCTCTTTTTCTCTCCACCCTCCTGTCTTCTACAATGTTGATCACCTCTGCCCTCCCCTCCCCGTCCCCTCTATCACCCTGCTCTGATTCTTATCACTCTGCTCCACGCTCCTGGCTGAGCCCCCCAGCCCAGCCCACCCTCCATGCCTCACTGCTCCAATCATGTCAAAACCCCAGTAGGCCACAGGGTTTCAAAGTGGATTCTTTTTTTTGTTTGTTTGTTTCATACTAACCTCACTATGGGGATTTTTCAAAAGTAATTTATTTTTAGTTATGATTATTATTATTTTTTGTAGAGACAAGGTCTCACTGTGTTGCCCAGGCTGGTCTCGAACTCCTGGCCTCAAGCAATCCGACCACCTCAGCCTCCCAAAGTGCTGGGATCACAGGGTTGAACCACCGCATCCGGCCTTCAAAGTGGATTCTTAAGGAACCAGTTTTATAGAATACTACACACAGGCGGCCCTGAGGTTTGGAACCAAGGCTGTAAATGCATCTGGGGACCTCCTTCCATTAAGAAATGCTTTGAATGCTGGAGGAACGTTTATTATGTAGTGGGGTGACTGCCCTGAGCCCACATGGGGTTCAGCCCCTGGTGTGATGAGTGTGCAGGGAGAGACTGTGGAAGCCCAGCCATGTGTTGCCATGGATTGTTTTGGGGTGAGGGGATATTGGTGACAGGCTGGCAGGGAGCTCGGCGCTCACCCTGTGCCAATGTGTCCTCCCGGGTTTACTTGGTGCCTCCAATAGGGAAGAGGTAGCTCTAACAATGGAGAGGACCAGCTCTCACCTCAAAACCAGGGACCAACCTCAGAATCCCGAGAGTCATGATGTGCCTTCATTTTTTTTTGGAGACAGAGTCTCACTCTGTCGCCCAGGCTGAGTGCAGTGGTGCAATCACAGCTCACTGCAGCCTCAACCTCCTGAGCTCAGGAGATTCTCCCACCTCTGCCTCCCAAGTAGCTGGGATTACAGGCACATGCCAACACACCTAGCCACTTTTTAAAAAATTTTTGTAGCAACAGGATCTTACTGTATTGCCCAGGCTGGTCTCAGAACTCCTAGGCTTAAGCGGTCCTCCTGCCTCGGGCTTCCAAAGTGCTGGGATTACAGGTGTGAGTCACCACATCTGGCCCATAATGTGCTTCTGATGACCTATAAGACCCTCTGGCCTGAAAGCACAACCTGAATCTTATCAGACCTAGTTTAGCTCTAACTTCAACTTCATAGGCCACAACAAGCAACAGCGTATGTATACCACAGCCAGAGGAAGCAGCCAGGCTGACCCTGAATGGATGCCTTGCAAGTCCACAGCCCGCCAACCCAGTCTCTTCCACAGTCAGACATGAAAACACAGGATGGCCGGATGCGGTGGCTCACATCTGTAATCTCAGCACTTTGGGAGGCTGAGGCGGGCAGATCACCTGAGGTCAGGAGTTCGAGACCAGCCTGGCCAACATGGCAAAACCTCGTCTCTACTAAAAATACAAAAATTAGCCGCACGTGGTGCCAGGCACCTGTAATCCCAGCCACTCAGGAGGCTGAGGCAGGAGAATCGTTTGAACCTGGGAGGTGGAGGCTGCAGTGAGCTGAGGTTGTGCCACTGCACTCCAGCCTGGGCAACAGAATGAGACTCCGTCTCAAAAAAAAATTAAAAGAAAAAAAAAACAAAGGAGGCAGCAGGTTAAAGGTGACTAAGAGATGAAACCACCAAATGCAACGCATGCACCTTATCAGGATCCTGGGTTTTGTTTGTTTATTTTTATTTTTTAAGACAGAGTCTTGCTCTGTCGCCCAGGCTGGAGTGCAGTGGCATGATCTCAGCTCACTTCAACCTCCTCTTCCCAGGTTCAAGTGATTCTCCTGTCTCAGCCTCCCAAGTAGCTGGGATTACAGGCATGCTCCACCAGGCCCGGCTAATTTTTTTTTGTGCTTTTAGTAGAGGTGGGATTTCACTACATTGGTGAGACTGGTCTCGAACTCCTGACCTCAGATAATCCGCCCACTTCAGCCTCCCAAAGTGCCGGGATTACAGGCATAAGCCACCGCGCCCAGCCTGGGATCCTGTTTTGAACAAACCCAGCTGGAAAAGCCATTTGGGAGACAACCAAACAAACATGGACTGGGCAGGCCATGATATTAGAAAATCAGGGTTAATTTTGTTAGCTGTGATCATGGTATTGTGGTTCAGTAAAAGAAAATGTCATTTTTAAAAGAAAATGTCTAAAAAAGATTTAGGGGGAAATGTCACAGAGACAGTAACTGACTTTAGATTAGTTTAGAAAAGAAAACCAGATGAAGCAAATATGGCAAAATGTTAGCGATTGTTAAATATAGAGGCTGGATCCGGAGGCGTTCATAAGGCTGCTGTCTGCACTCTCCGGAGGTTGAGATTTTCCATAATAAAGAGTTGTTTTCAACGTTTAATAAAGTGTGCACACAGGGGAGGACGCAGGCGTGAAAGGACAATGTTTAGAACACATTTACAGTCACACAACAATAAGGAGCGATTTATGGGTCTTCCGGAAGAAGTGACTGGGTTTGAAATTCCACGTGGGTGCCTGGGGGAGTGTGCACTTGTCAGAGGACAAAAGCCCTCGACGCTCTTGCGTTCACTCAGTAGCCATGGTTCACGCGCCCCACGGCAAGTGCTGCGAGGGGGAGAGACACAGGGAAATGGCCCTGAAATGGCACAGGGAGGTGCCCAGGCTCCGAGCAGCCCGGAGGACTCTGGAACCGTGGGGAAGCTGCCGGTATGGAGCCCAGTGAGCTCCTGGAACAGCACTACCGCTCCCCAAGACCTCCACCCACTTCATCGCTTATGGCACCTGCTGCGGGGTTAGGTGCCTGTCCACCTGCCAGGCAACCTAGTTCAAGCTGTTCCTCCAATCACATGACCCTGCAGACCAGCCCTGTGCCCTACCAGGCGGCGCCAGCCACCCCAGCTCACTTCTGGTGCCCTCAGGAGGATTTTGTCCAGTTGTTTGAGGCTGGCAGAGGTTTGTTGGGACACAGGGGGGTGTACAACAGGCCCCCCTGAGCCATTTCTGTTGAAGAGGTGTTTACTTGCCCTCCCAATTAGTTCCCAAGAGACTGGAAGTGTTGGAGTCTTGTTAGGAAAAGTGTGGATAAACTGTAAACGCCTGAGAAAGGTCTTTGGGCTGAAGGCTTTCTGGTGATGGTGGCCAAAGGGTCCTCCCAGGCTGGCACCCCACAGCGTGCAGAGCAGTCTAGTCCACAAAAGGAGCCACACTCGCTCATGTGTCCCCACATCAACCATCCCCAAAACCGGACTCAAGGGCAGAAGTGTCGTGGCAGCGTCTCTAAGCAGCGCGGGCTAATGCAGAGGCCGCTGCATTTACCTGGGGTGCCGCGCACAGCCCAGACGTGCTGGGGAGTGAGCGATTCTGGGGTTGGCCCTTTAGAAGTGCTGGAGGTGTCATGTGAAATCCTAACTCGGGGGCAGCCTCCCCAGGAAGCAGGCCGGGTCTAGGGGGCTAGACTCTTTGATTTTTAACTATCCAATGCAATTCTGCAATAGATATTGGAGAGTGAATTTTAAACTGCTGTGTTCATTAGCTTGCCTCTCAATTATCAGCAGAGCTTTTGGCAGGACGGAAGTTGATTTATGTTTGTTTGCATGGAGGGGCCCCTAAAATCCCACCCCGCTTCAGCCTTGGACAGTCCTGTGCCTTTTCTAACAGATGGAGTGGAACAAGCTGAGTCACCCCACGCCGGGCCCGCTTGGGAACGCCGGGGTGGGGGTACTGCTCGGCTGACCCTCGGGTTTGGGTTTGCTGAGCAGGGTGGACAGGCCAACAAAGGGGGTCTACCAAGGTGCTGGGTCAGGGAGAAGCAACGTCCAGGGGGGCTCGCTGGAGGGGAACCTGGTGCCTCTAATGGGCTCCCTCCCCCCGCCGCACCCCCTGCAGTCACCATCTTCCCACAACATGTTCAAAATAAATTCTTACTAATCCATAATGGAACTGGTTCTCTTTGGGGCCACATCAGAACTGAGAACAACCTCAAGGCGGATGCGGCTGAGAGGGACTGCCTCCTGCGGGCGCCGCCACACACACTGGGAGTCTGCCACGTCCAAGGGACTGGATATGCTTCTTCCTTCCACACCTGCGCCCCCCACCCCCAGATGGCTTCATGCCCTCAGCAGCGGCTGGAGAAGAACCCGGAGGCTCAGATAGTAAAAACTCCTAGAGGCGCAGATGACGCTCCTTAGGAAAATGCAAAACTGAGGCTCATGCTTTCGTCTAAGCTGAAGTCCCTCTTGCTTGAGCACTTAAGCCCATAAGGCCTGATATTTCCCCAGGGGGAAGCACGGATTCTTATCATGCGCACAGTTGAGGCTCCATGTTCTACTCCCTTCCTCATGGAAGAGATGATCTGACTTTTAAAATGACAGTATGCAGGCGTGGTGCAGAGGTTCACACTGGTAATCCCAGCACTTTGGGAGGCCAAGGCAGGAGGGTTGCTTGAGCCCAGGAGTTCAAGACCAGCCTGGGCAACACGGTGAAACCCCATCTCTACAAAAATACAAAAATTAGCCAGGCATGGTGGTGCACACCTGTAATTCCAGCTGAGGGAGGCTGGAATTGGGAGGCTGAGGCAGGAGAACCACTTGAATTCAGGAGGCGGAGGTTGCAGTGAGCTGAGATCATGCCGCTGCACTCCAGCCTGGGCGACAGAGCTAGACTCCAGCTCAAAAAAAAAAAAAAACCGAAACTCCCATGGGCTCTGTTGCATGCCTGCCCCCCGGGGAGGCTGGTGAGCCCGGCCTGGGAGTAGAGCCTCTGCTGCCCAGTGCTCTCCAATCTCCTTGTTTTGTGCCAGAGCCACTAACTCTAGGATTCTAAAATTGAATGCATGCATGAATTCATGGATCCTGTCCTAGTACAGACAAACTCAATCCTTAGGGTATGTCGGATCCCCCAGTGCACACACACTGCTTCTCTCCAGAACTCTTAAATACGTGTGTGCTTTCAGAAAATTCCTCACCAGGCCGGGCGCGGTGGCTCACGCCTGTAATCCCAGCACTTTGGGAGGCCGAGGCGGGTGGATCACGAGGTCAGGAGATCGAGACCATCCTGGCTAACAAGGTGAAACCCCGTCTCTACTAAAAATACAAAAAATTAGCCGGGCGCGGTGGCGGGCGCCTGTAGTCCCAGCTACTCGGGAGGCTGAGGCAGGAGAATGGCGTGAACCCAGGAAGCGGAGCTTGCAGTGAGCCGAGATTGCGCCATTGCAGTCCGCAGTCCGGCCTGGGCAACAGAGCGAGACTCCGTCTCAAAAAAAAAAAAAAAAAAAAAAAAAAAAAAAAAAAAAAAGAAAATTCCTCACCATGTGTAATTTCACGTATTAAACAGAAAATCAGGAAGCGATCACAAGAGAAATCTGGCATTGGAGAAGAATTCTTACTGGGGGTTCTTTCAACAGCCTTTTCCCAGAACACATTTTAAAATATGAGTTCACGCACCGGAAAGGTGTTTATTGAACAAACTGCGGTCTGCCTGCCTCATGAGAGCAACATGGTATGCACCAGGGGGTGGAGTGGAAGTGCTCTTTTTTTTTTTTTTGAGATGGAGTCTTGCTGTATCGCCCAGGCTGGAGTGCAGTGGTGCTATTTCAGCTCACTGCAGCCTCAGCCTCCCAGGTTCAAGCAATTCTTCTGCCTCCGCTTCTTGAGTAGCTGGGACTACAGGTGCATGCCACCATGTCCAGCTAATTTTTGTATTTTTAGTAGAGACGGGGTTTCACCATATTGGCCAGGCTGGTCTTGAACTCCTGACCTCGTGATCCACCTGCCTTGACCTCCCAAAGGTTTGGGATTACAGGCATGAGCCACCATGCCCGGCCTGAAGTGTTTTGTTTTTTTTTTTTTGAGATGGAGTCTCGCTCTGTCGCCCAGGCTGGAGTGCAGTGGCGCTATCTCGGCTCACTGCAAACTCCGCCTCCCGGGTTCAGGACATTCTCCTGCCTCAGCCTCCCGAGTAGCTGGGACTACAGGCACCCACCACTGCGCCTGGCTAATTTTTTCTATTTTTAGTAGAGACGGGGTTTCACCGGGTTAGCCAGGATGGTCTCGATCTCCTGACCTCATGATCCGCCCGCCTCAACCTCCCAAAGTGCTGGGATTACAGGCGTGAGCCACCGCGCCTGGCCTGAAGTGTTTTTTATATTGACAATGAAGACACCACCATAAAGCTAAGCGAGAGAAATAGGATGGATGCTGGCATTATTCAGAAGTGAACCCTTTGCCATCTGGCCCCAGAGTCCCAGTTCCTGATCTGGAAGCCTGTGTTCTCTGCCCCATCAGGGCGTGGACCTTCCATCTTAGGAGAAGCTGCTCAGATTATGCTAACGAGGGCAGGATCTGGTGGAAGAGTGTCTACACCTGCCAAGCCCTTGGAAAAAGCTTCTGCAGGGGCCTGGAATTGAATCACCTTGGCTCTTTGTACCACCAAGGAGATTAATGTCTGTCCTGTCTGAGCATTGTGATCTCAGGGTCGTCTGTGGGAGATTTCAACCTTAGGTGGATTCCAGTCTCATCTTTCATCAGAATCACGCACACCACACCTGCTGCCCCATTTCCGAAGATGGAGCCCCAATCTGGGAGCTTGTGCTAGGGGCCCAGCCCCAGCTCCATCCCAGGGGCTCACTGTGTGACTTCAGTCAAGTGTCTTAACCTTTCCGGGCCTCAGTTTCATCCTCTCAGTCATAAAAGTGCTAGTTTAGATCAATGATTCTCAGCTAGGGGCAGTTTTGCCCACATGGGGAACATTAAACAGTGTCTGGCTGGACACGGTGGCTCACACCTGCAATCCTAGCACTTTGGGAGGCCGAGTTGGGAGGATCACTTGAGATCAGGAGTTCGAGACCAGCCTGGCCAACATGGTGAAACCCTTTCTCTACTAAAAATTTAAAAATTAGCCAGGCGTGGTGGTGGGTGCCTGTAATCACAGCTACTCGGGAGGCTGAGGCAGGAGAATCGCTTGAACCCAACCCAGGAGGTGGAGGTTGCAGTGAGCTGAGATCATACCACTGCACTTCTGCCCGGGTGACAGAGCAAGACTCCGTCTTGAAAAAACAAAAAAAAAAAAACAGTGTCTGGAGACATTGTTGGTTGTCACAGCTGGGTGGGTGCTAGTGGCATCTGGTGGGTAGAGGCCAGAGACGCTGCTAAACATCCTAGAGTGCACACAGGACGGCTCCCCCCGCAGAGAATGACCCTGCACAGCATGTCAGCCGTGCCTGCTGAGAAACCTGCCATAGACAAACCCAGCCCATTGCTGGCTGCCACGGTGGTCAGGACGGCCCAACAGCACCAAGACCGTCCCTAACTCTCGGTGGGCAGGACCTGAACTAGGGAGGTGGAGAAGGCTCACTGCCAAGCTCACCACTGTCCCTGATGCCTTCCAGGGAACTCTGGTGATATTCCAGTAGGATTTCCTTGGAAACATCCTCCTGCTCTGCAAACACTGGAGATTGCATGAGGAGCAGATGGCTGAGCCCTGAGCATGTGACAGCCAGCGCTGGGAACTCAGTGGGACAAAAGGTCACACTGGGGCATCAAGGTGACCAAGTCCTGGACCTGCTGTCTTTCCTCCATTCTGCCTTCTTTTTGGTTTCTGTATGAGTCCGTTCTCACACTGCTCTAAAGAAATACCTGACACTGGGTAATTTATAAAGGAAAGAGGTTTAATTGACTCACAGTTCCACATGGCTGGGGAGGCCTCATGAGACTTACAATCATGGCAGAAAGCAAGAGAGAAGCAAAGGCATGTCTTACATGGCAGCAGGCAAGAGAGAGTGAATGAGCGAAGGAGGAAGAGGCCCTTATAAAACCATCAGATCATCTGAGAACTCACTCACTATCTCGGGAACGGTATAGGGGAACCGCTGCCATGACCCAATCACCTCCCACCAGGTCCCCCCTTCAACACATGGGAATTATGGGGATCACAATTGGAGATGAGACTTGGGTGGGAACATAGAGCCAAACTAAATCACTAAATCAGTCTCTTTCTTTCTTTTCCTTTTTTTTTTTTTTTTTTTTTTTTTGAGACGTAGTCTTGCTCTGTCACCCAGGCTGGAATGCAGTGGTGTGATCTTGGCTCACTGCAACCTCTGCCTCCTGGGTTCAAGCAATTCTGCCTCAGCCTCCCTAGTAGCTAGGATTATAGGCGCCTGCCACCATGCCTAGCTAATTTTTGTATTTTTAGTACAGATGGGGTTTCGCCACGTTGGCCAGGCTGGTCTTGAACTCCTGACCTCAGGTGATCCGCCCGCATCAGCCTCCCAAAGTGCTGGGATTACAGGCATGAGCCACTGCACCCAGCCTCTTTTCTCTTCTGTTTTCTTTCTCTCTCTTTTCTTTCTCTCTCCTTTCTTTCCTTCCTTTTTTTTCCTTCCTTCATTTTCCTTCCTTCTTTCTTTCTTTTTTGACACAGGGTCTCTCTCTGGAGTGCAGTGGTGCCATCACAGCTCCCTGCAGCCTTGACCTCCCAGGCTCAAGCAATCCTCCCACCTCAGCCTCCCAAATAGCTGGGACTACAGGCATATGCCACCATGGCCGGCTAATTTTTTTGTATTTTTTTGGTAGCGACAAAGTCTCCCTATGTTGCCCAGGTTGGTCTTGAACTCCTGGGCTCAAATGATCCTCCCACCTTGGCCTTCCAAAGTGCTGTGATTACAGGCATGAGCCACTGCACCTGGCCTTGCTGGTTCTTTAAGAGCCCCAGCTAGGACACTTGGAGACGAATGGGTCTTGCCTTTTTACCTCAGCTGGCTAACACTACAATGCCCCTTAGATTGAGAG